>NC_000005.10:169094657-169397687 GCF_000001405.40 Homo sapiens | reverse complement strand
GACTACATCTTACTAATTATTATATCTATGCAGCAACTATTAAATCTCTTTTGCAGGAGGAAAAATGATCATAAAATTAGCATCTCATTGAGAACTTTGAGTTATGCAAATTGAAAGAAAACATTTTCCCAGTTCAGATTTACTTCTGTGGCTAAAATAATCAGGAGGGAGTGGGCAGAAATCATTAAAGAATGGTTTGAACCCTTTTCTACTTCTTAAAAAGTTTTAACTAATTATCCATTGACTATAGAAGAGATATTTGACTGGTTTGTTTTTTATCTCATGTTTGTATCTCATATTTTTTGTTTCTGCTGGAAAATAAATCCTATTGGTCTTTCTAGTCTTCATCTACTTAACACTCTCCAAGATCACATGGTCTATAGGAGAGGCAACACAGTGTATTAATTTCTCAAAATATGGAATGAATAAAAGGTCACGAAGCTTATGGAGGTACTTTAATTTCTTCCCCTTTCACCTTTCAGCTGAGAGCTCTCTGTTGGCAGGAGCGACTGCCAAGTTTAGTGAGACTGGAAATGAGATGATATCAGTTTGGAGATTCAGATACCTGTCCTCCCATATCCAGTGGCTCTAATGACTTTTGCTTTCCTATTCAAGAGAAATAAAGGGTTCCAAGCTCCTTCACTGCTCATCCTGCCCCATTCTGTGTGAGGCCAAGGCAATCTGAACGCATTAGGCTTATGTTCCATTTAAGTTTCACTATTAAAACTATGCAATAATGACAGTAGTAAAATATAATTATAATCACTGACATGAATTATTAAATACTTTACATGTTTAAACTCGCTATGATCACAACAAATCCATGAAGTAATAGATGCAAAGAAAGTTTAATTAGTCATCCACATTGACACATTTAGTAAGTTCTTACATAGCTTTTAAACTTTATATTCTCCATCTGTAAAATGGTAAATAGTAATTAGCTTTGATGGGATGATTGGATAAGGTAATTATGCAATATGCCTGGCATGCAGTAGTACTCAATATCGTTACTTGGCTACAAAGGCAGATACATTTATGAACAGACACCTTTCAAAAGAAGACATACATGCAGCCAACAAACATACGAAAAGAAGCTAAACATCACTGATCATTAGATAAATGCAAATCAAAACCACAATGACACCGGTCATCTAACACCAGTCATTATGGCTACTATTCAAAAGTCAAAAAATAACAGATGCTGCCGAGATTGTGGAGAAAAAGGAACACTTATACACTGTTGGTGGGAGTGTAAATTAGTTCAGCCATTGTGGAAGACAGAGTGGCAATTCCTCAAAGACCTAAAGACAGAAATACCATTCAACCCAGCAATCCCACTACTGGGTATATACTCAAAGGAATATAAATCATTCTTTTATAAAGACACATGCACACATATGTTCATTGCAGCGCTATGCACAATAACAAAGACATGGAATCAACCTCAACCTAGTTTATCAATGACAGTCTGGATAAAGAAAACGTGGTACATATATACCATGGAATACTATGCAGCTATGAAAAAGAATGAGATCATGTCATTTGCAGGGACATGGATAGAGCTGGAGGCCATTATCCTTAGCAAACTAACACAGGAACAGAAAACCAGATACCACATGTTCTCACTTATAAGTGGGAGCTAAATGATGAGAACACATGGACACATAGAGGGAAACAACACACAATGGGGCCTTTTAGAGAGTGGAGGGTGGGAGGAGGGAGAGAATCAGGAAAAATAACTAATGGGTACTAGGCTTAAAACCTGGGTGATAAAATAATCTGTACAACAAACCCCCGTGACACAGGTTTACCTATGTAACAAACCTGCACTTGTACCCCTGAACTGAAAATAAAAGTTGGAAAAAAAAAAAAAGAACTGTAGATTCCAATAGACCATTTTCTTCTTTGGGTAGGCTATCTCGACTGTTATAACGTCTCAGTGCCTAATACAGTCCCCGATAAATATTTTTTAAAATAAAATCACCTAAATCTTAGAGTTATAAAAGGACCTTAGAAGTCATCTAATTCTACCTGATTCAATGAAAGATTCCTTTTTGGGGGAACATCCAAAGAGGGAGGGCAATTAATTGATTCACCATTTTTGCAAGGCAACACAGTCTATTGTTAAAGAATTCTTATTCTTAGAAAAGTCTTCTTTTATGATAAGGCAAATGATCTGCAAATTCAGAGTGTTAGCACTGATTCTACATTCTGGAGGTACATGGAATATGTCATGTTTCTTGTTTGTTTGTTTGTTTTTCAGATATTGTACTATAACTCAAGCTCATAGATCTACTTGATACCTTCCATTCCAGGCCAGACATGCCAGCAACTTGCATTATTACTCATGTAAACCAGATGTCAACAGAGGACACTTTGTCCTTTGAGATTTAAATAAAATTGGCTAGAGCCTCCTATCCCACATCCTGCGGGAAATCCAAAGCTCAAACCAAGGTTTCTGTGAATTCCTGGGGATTTATGTTCTTAAGGTGACCCCTTGTTTTGAGTTCCTAGTTCCACAGAGCTCATGTGTGGGTTTTTATTTTTATTTTGCCTTGGATTTTCTCAACTTTCCACATGGCCATCTTGACATAGTGGTACTCAGCCCCTTGAATCTCTAAACTGCATTCACAGAGCCTTTGGGTGCATGGCAGAGTTTTCCGACGGTGGTAATAGAGGCAATTTCTGCCGCCAAATAATTAATTTGAAAATAAAATATTTGACATTATTGTTCTTCAAATCCCTTATCCATTCTGTCACCAGGAATTAGTTATTTGCCTTTTTCCTTAGGCTATATTGTCTAGCATATTGCCCTAGTTCCCCCTCTCCATTACTCTCCCCATTTCCTACTCCTTTCTCTAACAACATTCAAATTCCTGCTCATTACTTACACAGAACTCTCTCCTTCAAAGCCATGCCCACAGGGTCTTATCTTCAATACCAAAGCTATTTATCAAAATATTTTCCTAAACAACAAAATTATCTTCCTAACAGCGCCCCTGCCACATATTTATGACATGATTTCAACCCTTCTGTCTCCTGGATGTCCTCATTTAA
This sequence comes from Homo sapiens, assembly GCF_000001405.40. NCBI lineage: Eukaryota > Metazoa > Chordata > Mammalia > Primates > Hominidae > Homo > Homo sapiens. Next base: position 169,394,630 of record NC_000005.10, on the reverse strand, counting down.
CAAGCTTTATTTGTTAATCTCTGTCTCAGAATAGAGCTCCCAGAAGGAACATGGCGAGATCTGAGAAATCAGCTTTTGTAATGTAAAAAATGTACCTGATAGAGTTCCAGAATGGTGCTTAAATAGGGCCCCGCATGTAATATAAATGCCAGACATGAATAACATGGTGTCTGTTATTTCTTATCCCTCAAGGTGTTTCAGGCAGCTAGAGGTTTAATTTACATATGTATGCACCAGTAGAATCCTTAGTCGTTAGTCCAGCAAATATTCTGCACTAGGGATGGGACGCAGACACCTTGGACACATGACTCCCATTCTAAGTGATTAACATGTTTTCTTAATCTGCATGTTGTTGGGGAAAGTTCTATTAATGTTGCATGCATACTTTTAAATCTATACTTGATTGCTTAGGGATGTCAAGATGTGACTTGGACTTTTTAAAGCATCAGAAAGCAATCAGAGAGATCCAGAGTGATAATAGCCACTTAGGAAAGCCCCAGTTTTGGTCCACTAGTCATCATTTCTGTAGACAGCTTTGAAGGTACCTAGAATGCTAATTTGAGATTGTATTCATAACTGATGGCTTGAAGGACAAAGAACCTGGGACATTTTCAGCTATAATCGTGTATATTTCCTGAGTACTTGTTTTGGGGCAGGTACTGTGCTAAACACATTGCATACACATGACCTCATGTCCTCCTACCAAAAGCCTTAGGCTATAGGTAACTTTGTTCTCTGCATTTTATAGATGAGGAAACTGAGGTATAGAGAGATGAAGCAATGTGCTCAGGGTACCACGGCTAAGAATCAGGAGAGCAAGGAGCCAGGCCATGCTGGCTTGAGACCCAGTATTCTTAACCACTGCACTGCCCTCCTGTCCCACCCAGAGGCGGGAGAAAAGAGACCAGTCAGAACATTCTTCCTTATAATTTCTTTTTTTTTTTTTTTCCCAACGTGCTTCAATAGCCTCCTTTTGGGTCTCTAACATACCATTATTGACAAATCAAAACCAGGTGGCTGGTGGCTTTTTTCTCAAAGGGAGCCTGGGAGAGGAACTGCTGCTTTGTGGGAGCCAGAGCTGCACAAGAAGGAATGGAAGAATTCACTGAATCTTAAAGTGGAGTGAGGCTACAGCTCTGAGAGGGCATGAAGAGGTGACCAGAAATAGGCAGGGGGTCACAGCTATCAGAGATGAACTAGCCGCCACCTTCGTCTCTGCGGAAATGTCAGTCTCATTCAGAAATGATTGTTTTGAATCTTGATTAAAGTGTCTCAAGAGATGAGCCTTATTAAATAGAACCAATGGGTTGAAAGCGTGTAATTAAATGAAAGCATTTTTGTTCTTCTTAATGCCTTAAATACCTGTCTGTGTGGAGGCCTGAACATTGAATAACTTCCTCGGGCAAGACAGTGGGAACCATGGAGCTACAGTAGTGATAATTCTCTGCATGACCAAGAGCCCTCATATTGGCGCAGGGGCTGGGTCCTCCCTCCAAAACTCTCTGCTCCTATGTCACAGAAAATACAAACACGCATGTGGATACCCCCAGTCTGGATTAGACGAATGAGAGATATTTTTGGAGATTTCATCCACTCATTGATTCATTAATTGATTGATTCATTCATTTATGCAATATTTGGTAAGTGTGTGTCAGGCAATAGGAGCCAAGGAGTATATAAGATACAGTCCTTGACCTTGGGGAATTTATACTCTGTGTAGAAAGCACAGCAAGCTTCTTTGAGTGTTCTGCAGGGATGCATCCTGAGTTCCTTTCCTGTGCTTCTATTTTCCTTTTCTATTCTCACCTAGATGAGCTTGGTCATCCTCACAGATTCGCACCATTTCTATGAAGATGACTGAGAAACATATATCACCTGTCCTGTCCTCTCCCTGGAGCTTCACACCCGCATGCCTAACTGTCTATATGTTTTCTCAACTTAATGACTCATGAATCTCCAAGTTTACGTGTCTAAAACTCAACTTTTAACTGCCCTCCAAAACCGTTCTCCAATCTTGATAAATAGACCCATATTCCACCCAGGAGTCCAAACCAGAAACCTGGAAAACATGCTAAGCTTCCTTTTTCCTCTCACCTGAAATGGTTCCACAAAGCTTCCCCATGCTACTTTCGAAACTCATTTACTGAGACAATGTCTCTGCATCCTTCCTGCCACTGCCTTCCTCTGAACCTCGGGCATTTCCACCAGAACTACTACCCTGGCCCCCAGCTTCCATTCTCACCCATCTTCAACCTATTCATCACACAGCAGCCACAGGGGTCTTCCCAAAGGGTAAATTAGACCTCTCCATACTTTGTATAAATTGCATGCCGCTCCTAGTAATTACAGTGGTCTTTTCAAATCTACCTCAAATCTAGCCCCTGCCTACCCCAGCTTCTTAGAAATCTCAGACCCCACAGGCCTGGTGGGGTGTGGTGGGGAGATTATGTAAGAGAGTCTAAAGTCCTTGTAATAATAGCTACCATATGCTCAGCCCTGCACTTATAGAATTTATCATCTCAAAGCACAACCCTCTGCAAGAGAGGAATCACATACCCATTCTACAGATGAAGAGATGTAGATGTGAAGTCACATAGCTAATGGGTGACTGGAAGAACCTGGGACCCACCCCAGGCCCCTTTCATTTCCAGACAGATTCCATGTCTGGTTTGTCTCTACCATGTTTCTTCGTACCCAGGAAACATAATGCCTAAATTATACAGTATACAATATAACTATCTGAATCAGAATTTAAACTCAGAACTCCACAGCCTGGGCTTTTTTCAATGATGCTGTGATGACATCTCCTCTTCTACTAGGAAGCCTTCCATAGTGACCAGAAAGCTACAGGAATAGTCCTCGCTGTGCAGAAGGATTTTTAAGTTTGTCTGTCAGTGTCTGTCATCATAAGAGATCACCTGGAGAGTTTTTATAAAAGAATGGTGGTCCTACCCACAGGTAGTCTGATTTAATTGGACTGTCATGGATTCTGGGCTCCAGCTTCAGGTTGAGATGACCCTCTGGGGCTCTTTCTCATCTCCCTTTATGGTCAGCAGGCAGCTTCAGTATTGGATGACTAGAGTCTGATGGGGAGACCACAGCACTCCAAGTGCTGTTCTCGGACAAGAGAGTTCTTTGAGAAGCAGCCACAGTAAAGAAGGTTTTCTGGGGGCTTTTTGGTTACACTGGATCATGTGAACTATAGTTTTAGATCTACTCTGAAAATTCATTTCATGCTGAAAAACCCCAAGAGAATGCAATTCACATCTCTCTTCCTCCCATCCTCCAGCAATTTGTTTTCTAGCAGGAGATGACTGGTTCCTGGAAGTCCATCTCTAGGGGCTCCGGTAGCAGCAACTTGGTGAGCCTAGTTGCTTCCTGTGGGGAGTCTTGGGGGAGGATGAGGAGTTTAGGAAAAGGGTTGGATAGGGGAAGAAGATATTAATAAGCTCTCTCACTTTCCTATTCCACCAAGCTGCCCCTGTGTAGACATCACATGGTTCCTCAGCACATTAAGCTGGGAGTTAAAACACACTGTTTTCATTTTAAAGACTGGGAATAGCATTCATTTTGTTTGCAGTCTGTAGATCTTATCTTGTGGTGCAGAGATTGCCTTGACAATGAGCACCATCCTCCTCCTTCTCACCATCACATCATCATTGATCGCTGTCACCAGCATCCAAATCATTGAAGTCCCTATTTGCTCCCTTTGTAAGGGTAGAGCTGTATGGTTAGGCATCTGAACACTGGGGCTTGATTCTCTGGCTCATGAGAATCTGCCCCTTATGAATGGAATGACTTTAGGCAAGTTACTTTGCCTTAGATTCTTCATCTATAAAATAGGCACTCTGATTTATCTCATAAAGTTGTTAAGGGATTACAGGAATTAATATGCATAAAGGAATTACAGTAATTCCTGGAACTTAGCAAATGCTATATGAATATTTGTTGTAAAATATCATAAAATAAAGCCCACAACCAAATAGACTAACTGCCAGCTTGCCAAGCTCCTGTGAGGAATCCAGGAAAATGTTTGGTCTTTGAGTTAGGTAGCATTTCCCATCTCATCCACATTCTGCCATGAGGTACAGAGCAGAGAAGGCTTCTTGTGCCATCCAGCTCATCTGACAGGCTTGGGATATCAGCTGTAGCCTGGGGTGCTCCATGGAGCATGCCCCAGTGGTCAACAGAGGCATCTCACATCCCTTCTTAGGTGCCACTTTGTCTGTCTGCTCCCATATTTTCTTAATCCTTTCAATTCTTTTGTTTCCCCTATGTTTACTTCTTACCTTTCACCAAGATTCTGCCTAATCATTTGCTCTGACCAGCACAGTTAGTCACATATACAGCTCTTTTGCTTCCAACATTGCTTAAAGGTAGGAGGTTAGATCTTGAGAATGGAGCTAGGAAGGGAAGAAGATGCCTTTATCATGACTTAGCCACAGAATGAGTTTCTAAATGATCAGAACTTTCATCCATCAATATTAAATCTTTGCAGGTATATGTTTTATTTGGTATTGTGCTAAAAGTTTTTCTCTTCCACTTATTATCCTGGCTTACTATATGCCAGCTTCCATGGGAGGTGTATCTGTCCCACCACAAAATCATAACTAGTAGCTATTTTTTGAGCACCTACTATGTGGCACATATGAACTATATTGATACTATACATCCTAAGACCCCTCAAAAGGAGGCAGGTATTACTATTCTAATTTATAGTCAAAGAGATCAAGAATCAGAAGAGCTGGGTGCGATGGCTCATGCCTGCAATCCCAGCACTTTGGGAGGCTGAGGCAGGCAGATTCCTTGAGCCCAGGAGTTTGAGACCAGGCTGAGCAACATGGAAAAACCTATCTCTACAGAAAAATACAAAAAATTAGCCAGGCATGGTGGCATGCACCCATAGTTCTAGCTCCTCGGGATGCTGAGGTGGGAGAATCACCTGAGCCCGGGAGGTCAAGGCTGTAGTGAGCCATGATTGAGCCACTGTACTCAAGCCTGGGTGACAGAGCAAGACCCTGTCTCAAAAAAACAAAAATAAGTCAGAAAGGATTCCTTTTTCCATGTGCTGTTGCTTTTCAAGACGTCAAAAAGTGAGTCACTTCAAGAACCACAGCCACCACGAATGAAAGACTACTTTAACCGCATTTTTACATTTATTCTTTGAAACATCACAGTGAAGCATTTATTATCTTTCCCATTTTGTGAACAAGGAAACAGAATTGCAGAGAACTTAAAGGGCATGCCCCAGGTGACACAACCAGTATAAAACTGCGACCAAAAGCCAGGTTCATTGATTTGAATCCAACATCTTGTCTATCCTACCAGTTACTGTCATGATGTTGTGGCCTTTCTTAGGACAAAATTGGAGACTAGCATGCAGTAGATGATCATCAAATATTCGCTGAATGAATGAATGAAAAAGTGGAGCCCCCGGAGTCCCTTCTTCATTCCTTTTCCTGTGTACTCCCTAGAAGGCTCATCTTGGTTGACACTCGGGAAATATCTACCCTGTGACTTCCAGGAAGCTTCCAATTCCCCAAACCCATAAAAACATAGCCATCTTTTATCCTACTTTTACTAGGTTATAAGAACATAAATTATAAAACCAGAGAATAATTATTGAGTTAATTATACAAACTATGCATTAGGTACTCACTTATCCTATTAAACTCTTTTAGCAAATGTAAAGGTTTAGGATCATTATGTTCATTTACAGACAGAAAGAGAGAGACCTCAAAAATTACATGATTTACAGAGCTAGAAAGTGTAGGATTTGGTATTCTAACTCAGATTTATCTGACTCCTAAAGTTGAGGGTCAGCCTTGCTGCATTCTCTTGCCTCCACACGAAGCTGTCAGTGACTGCCAAGAGTTTATATTTTTACTCATCCCTTCTAGAGGGCATTTGCATTTTAATAAAGTTCTTCAACACTTTAGCTCAACGGTTATCAAAGTACAGTCTAGGGGTCTCCTGGGCCCTAAAAACCTTTCAGGAAGTCTGCAAAGTCGAAACTATGTTCTTAGTAATACTTAGATGTTATTTGCCATCTTCACTGTGTTAACGTTTGCACTAATGGTGAAAAAGCAATAGTGGATCTAACTGCCAGCCTAACAAATCAGGGTAGTGGCACTCAGCTGTTATTGCATTCATCAACATCATCCTCATAGGGGGGAAAAAGTCCATTTTCCTAAGAATATTTATGGTGAAGCAGTAAATATTATTAATTTTATTGTATCTCTACCCTTGCATATACTTTTAAATATATTCTGCAACAAAATGGGACGCAAACATAAAGCACTTCTGCTGCATAACAAATTTTCAAGGGAAAGCACTTGTGTGATTCAGCTGTGAGTTGAGCTAGCCACTATTGTCATGGAACACCATTTTTTTTCATGAAAAAATGACTGACAGGCCAACTGGTTATTCAGACTTGGGTATTTGGCAGACATTTTCTCAAAAATGAACAAAGTGAGCCTGTCGTTTCAAGGAAAGCGACTGACAGCATTTGATGTCAATGATAAAATGTGAGTGTTCAAGCAAAAATTAGAATTTTGAAAAATTTATATCTGCCACAGTGAGCTTGGCAGTCTCCCAATAGTTACAGATTTTTTTTTTCTGGTAAGATCAGTGGTGATATTAATAGATGTGATGTTTTTATATTATACAATGAAATGTGTCAACATCTAGAAAATCTACATAACTCAGAAAATCAATAATTTTCAAATGGTCAATGTTTGATTTTAGAAAATCATGCATGGGTAATAGGTGCAGCAAACCACCATGGCACATGTTTACCTATGTAACAAATCCACACATCCTGCACAGGTCCTCCAGAACTTAAAAAAATGTCAAAAAAATAAATACCCTGCACTGAGCTCCAGCACATTCATAGTGCAAAGACAAACCCTGAAGAAAAAAACAGGCAAAGGATAGGAATAGCAGTCGAATGGGAAATCCAAAGAGCCAAAAAATATGCTTAACATCATCAATACCATTCTGCCTCACAAACTCAAATACCATTCTGTCTCACAAACTCAAATTAAGAACAAACTCGTAGCCGATGGAAAGATGCTTACTAGTAAACAGGAAAATACAAATTAAAGTCACACCAAGATTCCATTTCTCATCCATCAGACTGGTGCACATTAAAAAGACTGCTAACTACAAGTGCTGGTGGGGATGTCAGAAGAGGGGTGCCCTGATCCATCATTTGTGTAGATGTGAATTTGTATAGCTGTTTGTGAGAATTAAAAAAGCAAAAACAAAAGCATGTCTTTGGTCCAGCAATCCTACCTCTGGGAATTTATACTTGCAGAAATCCAAGTACCTATTCATAAGAGTTTTTAGTAAAATATTTATGGAAGTGTAAACCAACAATACAATTCTAAACCCCTCCCCCCAAAAAGATTCATTCACAGTTCAAGACAGATCAATAGATTTTTTAAACTAATAGTTCTCATTTTATTTATTTATTTTTATTTTTTATTATACTTTAAGTTCTAGGGTACATGTGCACAACGTGCAGGTTTGTTACATATGTATGCATGTGCCGTGTTGGTTTGCTGCACCCATTAACTCGTCATTTACATTAGGTATTTCTCCTAATGCTATCCCTCCCCCATCCCCCCCACCCTACGACAGGCTCTGGTGTGTGATGTTCCCCGCCCTGTGTCCAAGTGTTCTCATTGTTCAATTCCCACCTATCAGTGAGAACATGTGGTGTTTGGTTTTCTGTCCTTGCGATAGTTTGCTCAGAATGATGGTTTCCAGCTTCATCCATGTTGCTACAAAGGGCATGAACTCATCCTTTTTTATGGCTGCATAGTATTCAATGGTGTATGTGTGCCACATTTTCTTTATCCAGTCTATCATTGAGGGACATTTGGGTTGGTTCCAAGTCTTTGCTATTGTGAATAGTGCCGCAATAAACATACATGTGCATGTGTCTTTATAGTAGCATGATTTATAATCCTTTGGGTATATACCCAGTAATGGGATCACTGGGTCAAATGGTATTTCTAGTTCTAGATCCTTGAGGAATCACCACACTGTCTTCCACAATGATTGAACTAGTTTACAGTCCCACCAACAGTGTAAAAGCATTCCTATTGCTCCACATCCTCTCCAGCACCTGTTGTTTCCTGACTTTTTAATGATCTCCATTCTAACTGGTGTGAGATGGTATCTCATTGTGGTTTTGATTTGCATTTCCCTGATGACCAGTGATGATGAGCATTTTTTCATGTGTCTGTTGGCTGCATAAATGTCTTCTTTTGAATAGTGTCTGTTCATATCCTTTTCCCAATTTTTGATGCGGTTGTTTGATTTTTTCTTGTAAATTTGTTTAAGTTCTTTGTAGATTCTGGATATTGGCCCTTTGTCAGGTGGGTAGATTGCAAAAATTTTCTCCCATTCTGTAGGTTGCCTGTTCACTCTGATGGTAGTTTCATTTGCTGTACAGAAGTTCTTTAGTTTAATTAGATCCCATTTGTCTATTTTGGCTTTTGTTGCCATTGCTTTTGGTGTTTTAGTCATGAAGTCCTTGCCCATGCCTATGTCCTCAATGGTATTGCCTAGGTTTTCATTAGATTTTAATGAAACAAAACAGAGTTTTAGAAGCTTACCAATGTGGGTGCATATCCCACAGTGCAACTAACCTGTTTGGTGAAGTTCAAGAAAAAAAAAAAAAAGAATCTCCACAGTTACTAAAAAGGCTGTTGAAATACTTCTCTCTTTTCCAGTTACATACTGTGTGAGGCCAGACTTTCTTCATAACCTCCAACCCAAACAACATATCACAACAGATTGAAAGCAGGAGCAGATATTCAAATCCAGCTGCCTCCCATTAAGCTAGACATTCAAGAGATCTTCAAAAATGTAAAATAATGCCAGTCTTCTCACCAAATATTTTTGTTTTGGAAAATATATAGTTATTTTTCTGAAAAAAATAATTTATGTTTACATATAATGGTGGATTATTTTTAAATGAACTAATACATTTTTATTTTAAAACTTGCTCAGTTTTAATTTCAAATATGGTTAATCTTGAGAGATAAAACTCACTACACAAAAGTCCTTTTTGGGGTCCTTGATTATTTTTAAGAGTAAAAAGGGGACTGAGGTGAAAATGTTTGAGAACCACTGCTTTGACCAAGGAGGTGATGATTTGGTTGTTTGGTTGTTTGTTTAAGAAAAACAGTGGAGTGCGTGTTGAGTAAGAGGGGCTTTTTATACTCCCTCCAGGAACCAACTGGACAATCTATGCCTGATCATCTGAGAGCACTGGCTCCCAGGGATCCCCCCACTCCCACCACACCGATCAAGACTTGAGTTCCATGCTCTGTACATCACCATTTCCACAACACCAGCTAATTATGTGCTCAGGCATCACCTGGGGGTGGTAGGCATTTGATTCAGACTTTTTTCATGGATCATGACCTTTAGACTACAGGAGAGGGCAAAGAGGGAGGCTATCTATATAGTACTGCTGGCAGGGTCTCTCTAACCCCCCATATGAACCTCAGTCTGCGAACAATTCTTGGCTGGGTCTGTGAGTCTGTATCTAATTAATCACCTCGTCAGTCACTCCAGTGGACGGCCCTTAGGGCAGGAAGGGAGAGGCCTGGGAGGTAGAGCAGAATAAACATCTTTATCCAAATCAAGACTGAGGCCAGCTGTCCAGGCTGTTCTTGTGGCCACAGCTCCCGGGGCTGCTACCCGCTGCTGCCTCTGCTCTGTCCCACTGTCCCTTGAAGGTGCCTCCTTTCCTGTCCTTCCCACAAAAGCAGCCAGCCCAGTGCAGGAATTTGTGGGTTGAACTCTAATTGCTAGCTGCACTGGAAAGCCTGCCTCCCTCTAATTCAGCTTTGACACAAATAGCTAGAAAGCTCACTTGCAAAGCCACAACTCCCACAGCAATGCACCGAGTTGGTCCCCTTCTAGAGAGTGGAGTTCTATTCCACTCAGGTCAACAATTGCTTACTGATTAGCATTGAGTTGGTGTTCAGTATACCCTGTGAAAAATGCATTCCAAAGACTAAATGGACAGAATCATAAAGGCTGGGAATTTCCAAGTATCTCAGTTTACAGTTCTACCCACACACAGGGACCACCGGCTTCAACTTGAGCCACTTGAGATATTTTTTAAAAGATTTCACTGGTAGAAAATTCTTTCTGTTTCTCTGAGAGAGGCAGCATAGCTCAGTGGTTAAATCAAATAGTCCTGGGTTTTAATCTGACCTCAGTCACTTACTGTGTGTATGAGCTTGAGCAGGTTGCTTTATCTACCTCTGTCTCAGTTTCCTCATCTGTAATGGATAAATAACATCTGTAATGGATAAATGGATAAATAACAAAACTCACCACAAGCCATTGTTGTATTCAAAGATATTATGCATGTGCAATGTATTGCCCATGTCCTAGCACCAATTAGCCTGTTTATTAAGTCAGTGTTCCATCATGTAGTCCTTTGGCCTTTGGCAAATTTGGTGGCTTCAGGCTCTTTTGTAAATGAAATAATGCCTACATCACAGGGTTCTGAGGCACCAGCTGACCAGCCTAGAGCACTTTGAGACCATCAACTTCATTATATGTGATGCAAAGCTTCTTAGAATACAGCCAAAGGTTAAATGGTAGACATGCCATATTGGTAATTCATACTGAGCTTGCAATCAACTTAAATCCCAAAGTCATTTTCACATTTACTGCTGATAAGCTATGTCTCTCCAATTTCATTCTCATGAAATTTAATGTTTTTAATTATAAATATAGGACATTTTCTCTTTTTTGTTTTTTATTCTTTTCAGCTGTATCAAGGATTCAATGTGTACAATGTGATGTTTTGATATATGTATGCATTGTGAAATGATTACCACAATCAAGCTAATTAACATATCCATCACTGCACAGTTACCTTGCACATGTGTGCATGTGCAGGTGCGCCTGTGCGTGTGTGTGCCTGGCGAGAATACTTAAGCTTTCTCTTAGCAAATGTCAAATACACAGTCCATTATTATTTTTTTGTTTTTATTTTTTCAGATAAAATACACTTCATTTCTTTTAAATTTTTTATTTCCATAGATTATTGGGGAATAGGTGGTGGTTGGTTACATGAGTTCTTTAGCGGTAATTTGTGAGATTTTGGTGCACCCATCACCCAAGCAGTATACACTGCACAATTTGTAGTCTTTTATCCCTCACCCCACTTCCTGTCCTTTCCCCCTGAGTCCCCAAAGTCCATTGTGTCATTCTTATGCCTTTGCATCCTCATAGCTTAGCTTCCACTTATGAGTGAGAACATTCAATGTTTGGTTTTCCATTCCTGAGTTACTTCACTTAGAATAATAGTCCCCAATCTCATCCAGGTCTCTGTGAATGCCATTAGTTCATTCCTTTTTATGGCTGAGTAGTATTCCATTGTATATATGTATACCACTGTTTCTTTATCCACTCGTCGATTGATGGGCATTTGAGTTGGTTCCACATTTTTGCAATTGCGAATTGTGCTACTATAAACATGCGTGTGCAAGTGTCTTTTTTGTATAATGACTTGTGTCCCTCTGGGTAGATACCTAGTAGTGGGATTTCTGGATCAAATGGTATTTCTACTTTTAGTTCTTTAAGGAATCTCTACACTGTTTTCCATAGGGGTTGCACTAGTTTACATTCCCACCAGCAGTGTAGAAGTGTTCACTGTTCACCGCATCCATGCCAACATCTATTATTTTTTCATTTTTTTTAATGGCCGTACTTGCAGGAGTAAGGTGGTATCACATTGTGGTTTTGATTTGCATTTCCCTGATCATTAGTGATGGTGAGCATTTTTTCATATTTATTGGCCATTTGTATGCTTTCTTTTGAGAATTGTCTATTCATGTCCTTAACCCACTTTTTGATGGGATTGCTTTTTCCTTGCTAATTTGTTTGAGTTCCTTGTAGATTCTGAATATTGGACCTTTGTCAGATGTATACATTGTGAAGATTTTCTCCCACTCTGTGGGTTGTCTGTTTATTCTAGTGACTGTTGCTTTTGCCTTGCAAAAGCTCTTTAGTTTAATTAAGTCCCAACAATTTATCTTTGCTTTTTAGTGCATTTGCTTTCGGGTTCTTTGTCATGAAATCCTTGCCTAAGCCAATATCTAGAAGGGTTTTTACAATGTTATTTTCTAGAATTGTTATGGTTTTGGGTCTTAGATTGAAGTCCTTCATTTATCTTGAGTTGATCTTTGTATAAGGTGAAAGATGAGGATCCAGTTTCAATCTCCTACATGTGGCTTGTCAATTATCCCAGCACAATGTGTTGAATAGGGTGTCCTTTCCCCACTTTATGTTTTTGTTTGCTTTGTAGAAGATCAGTTGGCTACAAGTATTTAGGTTTATTTCTGGGTTCTCTATTTGGTTCCATTGGTCTATGTGCCTATTTGTATACCAGTACTATACTACTTTGGTGACTATGGCCTTATAGTATAATTTGAAATCAGGTAATGTGATGCCTACAGATTTGTTCTTTTTGCTTAGTCTTGCTTTGACTATATGGGCTCTTTTTTGGTTCCATATGAATTTTAGGATTGTTTTTTCTAGTTCTGTGAAGAATTATTGTGGGTGTTTTTTTGTTTTTTGTTTCTTTGTTTGTTTATTTTTTGACGGAGTCTCACTCTGTTGCCAGGCTGGAGTGCAGCGGCACGATCTCAGCTCACTGCAACCTCCACCTCCCAGGTTCAAGTGATTCTCTTGCTTCAGCCTCCTGAATAGCTGGTACTACAGGCACGTGTCACCACATCCAGCTAATTTTTGTATTTTTAGTAGAGACAAGATTTCACCATGTTGGCCAGGAAGGTCTCGATCTCCTGACCTCGTGATCTGCCCACCTTGGCCTCCCAAAGTGCAGGGATTACAGGCATGAGCCACCACTCCCAGCCGATGGTGGTAATTTTATGGAATTACATTGAATTGGTAGATTGCTGTTGGCAGTATGGTTATTTTCACAATATTGATTCTACCCATCCATGAGCATGGGATGTGTTTCCATTTGTTTGTGTCATCTATGATTTCTTTCATCAGTGTTTTGTGTTTTTCCTTGTAGAGGTCTTTCACCTCCGTGATTAGGTATATTCTTAAGTATGTTATTTTTTACAGCTATTTAAAAGTGGTTGAGTTCTTGATATGATTCTCAGCTTGGTCACTGTTGGTGTATAGCAGAGCTACTGATTCATGTACATCAATTTTGTATCCAGAAACTTTGCTGAAATTTTTTTTATCAATTGTAGGAGCTTTCTGGATGAATCTTTAGGGTTTTCTAGGTAAATAATCATGTCATCAGCAAACAATGACAGTTTGATTTCCTCTTTACCAACTTGGATACCCTTTATTTCTTTCTCTTGTCTGATTGCTCTGGCTAGGACTTTCAGTACTGTGTTGACTAGAAGTGGTGAGAGTGGACATCCTTGTCTTGTTCCCGTTCTCAGAGGAAATACTTTCAACTTTTCCCCATTCAGTATTATGTTGGCTGTGGTTTGGTCAAAGGTAGCTTGTATTACATTGAAGTATGTCCCTTGTATGCTGATTTTGCTGAGAGGTTTTATTTTAATATACTTTATGTTCTGGGATACATGTGGAGAACGTGCAGGTTTGTTACCTAGGTATACACGTGCCATGGTGGTTTGCTGCACCCATCAACTCATCATCTACATTAGGTATTTCTCCTAATGCTATCCGTCCCCTAACCTCCCACCCCCCGGCAGACCCCAGTGTGTGATGTTCCTCTCCGTGTGTCCATGTGTTCTCCTTGTTCAACTCCCACTTATGAGTGAAAACATGTGGTGTTGGGTTTTTTTGTTCCTGTGTTAGTTTGCGAGAATGATAGTTTCCAACCTCATTCATGTTCCTGCAGAGGACATGAACTCATCCTTTTTTATGGCTGCATAGTATCCCATGGTGTATATGTGCCATAATTTCTTTATCCAGACTATCATTGGTGGGCATTTGGGTTGGTTCCAAGTCTTTGCTATCGTGAGCACTTTGCTATAGTGCTGCAGTAAACATACGTGTGCATGTGTCTTTATAATAGAATGATTTATAATCCTTTGGGTATATACCCAGTAATGGGATGGTTGGGTCAAATGGTATTTCTGGTTCTAGATGCTTGAGGAATCACCACACTGTCTTCCACAATGGTTGAACTAATTTACACTCCCACCAACAGTGTAAAAGTGTTCCTGTTTCTCCACATCCTCTCCAGCATTTGTTGTTCCTGACTTTTTAATGATCGCCATTCTAACTAGTGTGAGATGGTATCTCATTGGGTTTTGATTTGCATTTCTCTGATGATGAGTGATGATGAGTTCTTTTTTTTCATATGTTTGCTGGCCGCATAAATGTCTTTTTTTGAGAAGTGTCTGTTCATATCCTTTGCCCACTTTTTGATGGGGTTGTTTTCTTCTTGTAAATTTGTTTAAGTTCCACATAGATTCTGGATATTAGCCCTTTGTCAGATGAATAGATTGCAAAAATTTTCTCCCATTCTGTAGGTTGCCTGTTCACTTGGATGATAGTTTCTTTTGCTGTGCAGAAGCTCTTTAGTTTGATTAGATCCTATTTGTCAATTTTGGCTTTTGTTGCCATTGCTTTTGGTGTTTTAGTCATGAAGTCTTTGCCCATGCCTATGTCCTGAAAGGTATTGCCTAGGTTTTCTTGTAGGGTTTTTATGGTTTTGGGTCTTATGTTTAGGTCTTTAATTCATCTTCAGTTAGTTTTTGTATAAGGTGTAAGGAAGGGGCCAGTTTCAGTTTTCTGCATGTGGCTAGCCAGTTTTCCCAACACCATTTATTAAATAGGGAATCCTTGTTTTTGGCAGGTTTGCCAAAAGTCAGATGGTTGTATATGTGTGGTGTTATTTCTGAGGCCTCTGTTCGGTTCCATTGGTCTATATATCTGTTTTGGTACCAGTACCATGCTGTTTTGGTTACTGTAGCCTTGTAGTATAGTTTGCAGTCAGGTAGCATGATTGATGCCTGTAGCTTTGTTCTTTTTGCTTAGGATTGTCTTGGCTATACGGGCTCTTTTTTGGTTCCATATGAAATTTAAAGTAGGCTTTTCTAATTCTGTGAAGAAAGTCAGTGGTAATTTGATGGGGATAGCATTGAATCTATAAATTATTTTGGGCAGTCTGGCCATTTTCATGATATTGATTCTTCCTATCCGTGAACATGGAATGTTCTTCCATTTGTTTGTGTCCTCTCTTATTTCCTTGAGCAGTGGTTTGTAGTCCTCCTTGAAGAGGTCCTTCACATCCCTGGTAAGGTATATTCCTAGGTATTTTATTCTCTTTGTAGCAATTGTGAATGGGAGTTCACTCATGATTTGGCTCTCTGTTTATCTATTATTGGTGTATAGGAATGCTTGTGATTTTTGCACATTGATTTTGTATCCTGAGACTTTGCTGAAGTTGCTTATCAGCTTAAGGAGATTTTGGGCTGAGACAATGGGGTTTTCTAAATGTACAATCATGTCATCTGCAAACAGAGACAATTTGTCTTCCTATCTTCCTATTTGAATATCTTTTATTTCTTTCTCTTGCCTGATTGCCCTGGCCAGAACTTCCAATACTATGTTGAATAGGAGTGGTGAGAGAGGGCATCCTTGTTTTGTGCCAGTTTTCAAAGGGAATGCTTCCAGCTTTTGCCCATTCAGTATGATACTGGCTGTGGGTTTGTCATAAATAGGTCTTATTATTTTGAGATATGTTCCATCAATACCTAGTTTATTGAGAGTTTTTAGCATAAAACAATGTTGAATTTTATCGAAGGCCTTTTCTGCATCTATTGAGATAATCATGTGGTTTTTGTCTTTGGTTCTGTTTATGTGAGGGATTACATTTATTGATTTGCATATGTTGAGCTAGCCTTGTATCCCAGGGATGAAGCTGACTTGAAAGTTTTAATCATAAAAGGATGCTGGATTTTGTTTCTGCATCTATTGAGATGATCATGTGATTTTTGTTTTTAATTCTGTTTATGTGGTGTATCACATTTATTGACTTGCATATGTTAAACCATCCCTGCGTCCCTGGTGTGAAACCCACTTCATCATGGTGGATTATATTTTTGGTATGTTGTTGGATTTGGTTAGCTAGTATTTCGTTAAGGATTTTTGCATCTACGTTAATCAGGGATATTGGTCTGTAGTTTTCTTTTCTTATTTTTTTGAGATGGAGTTTCACTCTTTCACCCAGACTGGAATGAAGTGGTGTGATCTTGACTCACTGAAACCTCCACCCTCCAGGTTCAAGCAATTCTTCTGCCTCAGCCTCCCAAGTAGCTGGAATTACAGGCATGTGCCACCATGCCCATCTGATTTTTGTATTTTTGTAGAGATAGGGTTTCACCATGTTGGCCAGGCTGGTCTCGAGCTCCTGACCTCAGGTGATTCACCCATTTCAGTCTCCCAAAGTGCTAAGATTACAGGCATGAGCCCCCGCACCTGGCCTGTAGTTTTCTTTTTTGGTTATGTGCTTTCCTGGTTTTGGTATTAGGGTGACACTGGCTTCATAGAATGATTTAGGGAGGATTCCCTCTTCCTCTATCTTGTGGAATAGTGTCAATAGGATTGGTACCAATTTTTTGAATGTCTGGTGGAATTCTTCTGTGAATCCGTCTGGTCCTTCACATTTTTTTGTGTGTGTGTGTGTCGGTAATTTTTAAATTACCATTTTAATCTCACTGCTTTTTAATGATCTGTTCAAGGTATCTAATTCTTCCTGCTTTAAGCTAGGAGGGTTGTATCTTTCCAGGAATTCATCCATCTCCTCTAGGTTTTCTAGTTTGTGCATATAAAGGTGTTCATAGCAGCCTTGAATGATCTTTTGTATTTCTGTGATGTCAGTTGTAGTATCTCCATCTCCTTTCTAATTGAGCTTATTTGGCTCTTCTCTCTTCTTTTCTTGGTAAATCTTGCCAATGGTCTATCAATTTTATTTATTTTTTCAAAGAACCAGTTTTTTTTTTATTTCATTATCTTTTGTATTTTTTTGTTTGTTTGTTTCAATTTCATTTAGTTCTGCTCTGATCTTAGTTATTTCCTTTCTTCTGCTATGTTTGAGTTTGGTTTGTTCTTGTTTCTCTAGTTCCTTGAGGTGTGACCTTAGATAGTCTGTTTGTGCTCTTTCAGACTTGTTAATGCAGGCGTTTAAGGCTATGAACTTTCCTCTTAACACCACCTTTGTTGTGTCCCAGAAGTTTTGATAGATGTGTCACTATTGTATTTCAGTTCGAAGAATTTTTTAATTTCCATCTTGATTTCATTTTTGACCCAATGATCATTCAGGGGCAGGTTATTTAATTTCCATGGTTTTGAAGGTTCCTTTTGAAGTTTATTTCCAGTTTTATCCACTGTGGTCTGAGGGAGTACTCGATATAATTTCAATTTTCATAAATTTATTGAGGTTCATTTTGTGGCCTATCATATGGTCTATCTTGGAGAAAGTTTCATGCGCTGATGAATAGTATGTATATTATGCGGTTGTTGGGTAGAATGTTCTGTAAATATCTGTTAAGTCTGTTTGTTCCAGGGTATAGTTTAAATCCATTGTTTGTTTGTTGACTTTCCATCTTGATGACCTATCTTGTGCTGTCAGTGGAGTATTGAAGTCCTCCACTGTTATTGTGTTGCTGTCTATCTCATTTCTTAGGTCTATTAGTAATTGTTTTATAAATTTTGGAGCCCCAGTGTTAGGTGCATATATATTTAGGATTGTGATATTTTCCTGTTGGACAAGGCTTTTTTATGATTATATAATAATTGTTTATCATTATATAATTATATCATTATATATCATTATATAATGTGACATTATATAATGTCACAATGCTGTTTCTTTAAAATTTGTTTTGTCTGATATAAGAATAGCTACTCCTGCTCGCTTTTGGTGTCCATTCGCATGGAATGTCTTTTTCCACCCCTTTACCTTAAGTTTATGTGATTCCTTTTGTGTTAGGTGGGTCTCATGAAGGCAGCAGATGGTTGGTGAATTCTTATCCATTCTGCAATTCTGTATCTTTTAAGTGGAGCATTTAAGCTATTTACATTCAACATTAGTATTGAGGTGTGAGGTACCACTCAATTCATTGTGCTATTTGTTGCCTGTATATATATTTATTATTATTATTGTACTTTTGTTTTATAGGTCCTGTGAGATTTATGCTTTAAAGAAGTTCTGTTTTGATGTGTTTCCCGGATTTGTTTCAAGATTTAGAGGTCCTTTTAGCAGTTCTTGTAGTGCTGGCTTGGTAGTGGTGAAATCTCTTAGCATTTGTTCATCTGAAAGAGACTGTATCTTTTCTTCATTTATGAAGCTTACTTTCTCTAGATGAAAAATTCTTGGCTGATAATTATTTTGTTTAAGGAGGCTGAATATAGGGTCCCAATCCCTTCTAGTTTGTATGGTTTCTGCTGAGAAATCTGCTGTTAATCTGATAGGTTTTCCTTTGCAGGCTACCTGGTACTTTTGTCTCACAGCTTCTGAGATTCTTTCCTTTGTCTTAACTTTAGATACCCTGATGACAATGTGCCTAGGCAATGATCTTTTTGTGATGAATTTCCCAGGTGGTTTTTTTTTTTTTTTTTTTTTTTTTGAGACACAGTCTCGCTCTGTCACCCAGGCTGGAATGCAGTGGCGTGATCTCGGCTCACTGCAAGCTCCACCCCCTGTGTTCAAGCCATTCTCCTGCCTCAGTCTCCCAAGTAGCTGGGGCTACAGGCATGTGCCAACACACCTGGCTAATTTTTGTACTTTTAGTAGAGACCAGGTTTCACCATGTTAGCCAGGATGGTCTTGATCTCCTGACCTTGTGATCCACCCGCCTCAGCCTCCCAAAGTGCTGGGATTACAGGAGTGAGCCACCGCACCCGGCCAGCCCCAGGTGTTCTTTGAGTTTCTTGTATTTGGATGTCTACATCTCTAGCAAAGCTGGGGGAGTTTTCCTCGATTATTTCCCCAAATATGTTTTCCAAACTTTTAGATTTCTCTTCTTCCTCGGGAATGTTGATTATTCTTAGGCGTGGTCATTTAACATAATTCCAGACTTCCTAGAGGCTTTGTTCATATTTTCTTATTGCTTTTTCTTTGTCTTTGTTGAATTAGGTTAATTTGAAAACCTTGTCTTTGAGCTCTGAAGTTCTTCTGCTTGTTTGATTCCATTGCAGAGACTATCCAGAGCATTTTGCATTTCTATAAGTGCATCCATTTTTTCCTGAATTTTTGATTGTTTTTTATTTATGCTATTTCACTGAACATTTCTCCCCTAATTTTTTGTATCATTTTTTGACTTCCTTACTCTGGGCTTTGCCTTTCTCTGGTGCCTCCCTGATTAGCTTAATAACTAACTTTCTGACTTATTTTTCAGGTAAATCAGTGATTTCTTCTTGGTTTGGATCCGTTGCTGGTGAGCTAGTGTGATTTTCTGGGGGTGTTAAAGAACCTTGTTTTGTCATATCACCAGAGTTGGTTTTCTGGTTTCTTCTCATTAGGGTAGGGTCTGTCAGAGGGAAGGTCTAGGGTTTAAGGCTGTTGTTCAGATTCTCTTGTCCCACAGAGTGTTCCCTTGATGTAGTACTCCCCCTCTTTTCCTAGGGGTGTGGCTTCCTGAGAGCTGAGCTGTAGTTCAGCTGATTGTTATCTCTCTTCTTGATCTAGCCACCCAGCAATTCTACCAGGCTCGGGCTGGTACTGGGGGTTGTCTGCACAGAGTCCTGTGATGTCAGCCATCTGGATCTCTCAGCCGTGGATACCAGCACCTGTTCTGGTGGCAATGGCAGGGAAGTGAAATGGACTCTCTGGAGGGCCTTAGCTTTGGTTTTTTAATGCACTATTTTTGTACTGATTGGCCTCCTGCTGGGAGGCACTTTCAAGAGAGCCTCAGCTATGGTAGTATGGGGAGGAACAGACAGTTGGCAGGACCCTGGAACTCCCAAGAGTATATGCCCTTTATCTTCAGCTACCAGGGTGGCTAGGGAAGGACCATTAGGTGGGGGGCAGGGCTAGGTATGTCTGAGTTCAGACTCTCCTTGGGCACGGCTTGGTGTGCCTGCTGTGGGGGGATGGGAGTGTGGTTCCCAGGTGAATGGAGTGATGTTCCTAGGATAATTATGGCTGCCTTTACTCTTTCATGCAGGTTGCCAGGGAAGTGGGGGAAAGCCAGCAGTCGCCCAGCTCCCTTGCAACCCAGAGGGCCGGTCTCACTCCCACTATGCCCCGCCTCCAATAGCACCAAGTCTGTTTCCAGCAGTGGGTGAGCAGGGCAGAGAACTTGTCCCAGGCTACCCGCCTCCCAGTTGCAAAAGCAAGTAGGGCTTTCCAGCTTCCCCCACCTGTGGAGTCGGCACACCGGT
This sequence comes from Homo sapiens, assembly GCF_000001405.40. Taxonomy (NCBI): domain Eukaryota; kingdom Metazoa; phylum Chordata; class Mammalia; order Primates; family Hominidae; genus Homo; species Homo sapiens. Next base: position 169,374,245 of record NC_000005.10, on the reverse strand, counting down.
TTCACGCCCTCCCCTGAGTTCTGGCCAGGAGACCTCTCGATTGGTTCAAATTGTTACAGAGTTCAGCTGGAGGTTTCCTTCTCCCCGTGGCCTTTTCCCAGTACCTTGGGCAGCCCACCCCAAGGACCCCGTGAGGCAAGGCAAAAACGGCTTGCGAGGGGACCCAGCAAACCCACAGGGCTTTTTCTGCTGCTTCCTCTACCCCTGTATTTTGCTTGGCTCTCTAAATTGACTCAGCTCCAGGTAAGGTCAGAATCTTCTCCTGTGATCTAGACCTTCAGGTTCCCCAGTGAGGGTGTGTGTTCAGGGGTGGACGATCCCCCACTCCCACTTCCACAGTTTGGGTGCTCACAGTATTTGGGATGTCTTCCAGGTCCTGCAGGAGCAATCCATTTCTTCAGAGGGTCTGTGGGTTCTCTCAGTTTTCCTGATTTATTCCTGCAGTTGTTCTGGAGCAAAAGTTCATGATGTGAGCCTCCATACACTGCTTGCTTTGTCCGAGTGGGAGCTGCAACCTAGTCCTGCCTCCTGTGTGCCATGATCCCCCCCACGGTACATTATTATTGACTATAGTCACCCTTCTGTACATTAGGTTAGGATGTTTTTTCTTTATCTCTGAAAAAATTCTTCTCTTTATTGTGACCCATTTTTCTCTTCCAGTTGCTTTAAAAGTAAATCTGGATTTTGATATCCAGCATGTTATCTACTTATTACTATCTCCATTCACAGATTGAGGACACCCTCAATTCATTTAATTAAATTTGAAAAACATTTTAAAAATTCAGTAGCCTTAGGGGTACGATGGTGGTTTTTGGTTACATGGACGAACTGTAGAGTGGTTAAGTCTGGGATTTTAGTGTACCCATCACCCAAGTAGTGTACATTGCACCCAATAGGTAGTTTTTCATCCCTTATCCCCCTCCCACCCTCCCCACTTCTTAGTCTCCAATGTCCATTATACCACTCTGTATGCTTTTGTGTACACATAGCTTAGTTCCCACTTATAAATGAGAACATGTGGTATTTGGTTTTCCATTCTTGAGTTACTTCACTTAGGACAATGGCCTCTGAGTCCATCCAAATTGCTGCAAAAGACATTATTTCATTCTTTTTTATGGCTGAGTAGTATTACATAATATATATATCATAAAATACTATTTTACACATGTAAAATGCAGTATATATACTGCATTTATATATATTCTACATATATACTATATATATACACACACATATATATGTATATACACATATACACACTGCATTTTCTTTATCCACTCATTGTTGATGGGCACTTAGGTTGATTCCATATCTTTGCAATTGTGAATTGTGCTGCAATAAACATACACGTGCAGGTGTCTTTGTTCTTTGTGTCTTTTTGATATGACTCCTTTTCCTTTGGGTGGAAGGGGAATGCAGGATCAAATGGTAGGTCCACTTTTAGTTCTTTGAGAAAATTCCGTAGTTTTCCATACAGGTTGTAGTAATTTACATTACCACCAGCAGTGTATAAGCATTCCCTTTCACTACGTCTGCATCAACATCTATTGTTTTTTGACTTTTTAATAATGGCCATTCTGCCCAGGCAAAGATTTCATGATGAAAACATCAAAAGCAATTGCAACAGAAGCAAAAGCTGACAAATGGAATCTAATGAAACTAAAAAGCTTCTGCACAGCAAAAGAAGCTATCATCAGAGTGAACAGACAACCTACAGAATGGGATAAAAGTTTTGCAATCTGGCTGGGCACCATGGCTCACGCCTGTAATCCCAGCACTTTGGGAGACCGAGGCGGGCGGATCATGAGGTCAGGAGATCGAGACCATCCTGGATAACATGGTGAAACCCCGTCTCTACTAAAAATACAAAAAATTAGCCTCGCGTGGTGGCGGGTGCCTGTAGTCCCAGCTACTCGGGAGGCTGAGGCAGGAAAATGGTGTGAACTTGGGCAGTGGAGCTTGCCGTGAGCAGAGATCACGCCACTGCACTCCAGCCTGGGCGGCAGAGTGAGACTCCGTCTCAAAAAATAAATAAATAAAATTTTGCAATCTATCCATCTGACAAAGGTCTAATATCCACAATCTACAAGGAACTTAAACAAATTTACAAGAAAAAAAAACATTAAAAAGTGGGCAAAAGACATGAACAGACACTTCTCAAAAGAAGACATTTATGCAGCCAAGAAACATGAAAAAAGCTCAACATTACTGATCATTAGAGGACTGCAAACCAAAACCACAAGGAGTGGCCAGTCAAAATGGCGATTATTAAAAAGTCAAGAAACCACAAATGCTGACAAGGCTGTGGAGAAATAGGAATGCTTTTACATTGTTGGTGGGAGTGTAAATTAGTTCAACCATTGTGGAAGACAGTGTGATGATTCCTCAAAGACCTAGAACCAGAAATACCATTAGACGAAGCAATCTCATTACTGGGTATATACCCAAAGGAATATAAATCATTCTATTTTGAAGATAGACACATGTATATGTTCACTGCAGCACTATTCACAATAGCAAAGACGTGGAACCAACCCTAATTCCCATCAATGATAGACTGGATAAAGAAAATATGGTACATATACACCATGGAATACTATGCAGCCATAAAAAGGAACGAGATCATGTCTTTCGCAGGGACATGGATGGAGCTGGAAGCCATTATCCTCAGCAAAGTAATGCAGGAACAGAAAACCAAATACTACATGCTCTCACTTATAAGCAGGAGCTGAACAATGAGAACACATGGACACAGAGAGGGGAACAACATACATGGGCCTGTTGGGGTGGGGCAAGGGGAGGAAGAATGTCAGGAAAAACAGCTAATGCATGCTGGACTTAATACCTAGGTGATGTGTTGATAGGTGCAGCAAACCACCATGGCACACATTTACCTATGTAACAAACCTGTACATCCTGTACATGTATCCTGGAACAGAAAATAAAATAAAACAAAAGAAACAAGCAAAAATGGCCATTCTGTCTGGGGTAAAGTGGTATCTCATTGTGATTTTAACTTGCATTTCCCTAATCATTAGTGTTATTGAGCATTTTTTCATATGTTTCTTGGCCATTTGTATATCTTCTTTTGAGAAATGTCTATTCATTTGCCCACTTTTTAATTGGATTGTTTTTTTTTTTCCCTTGCTGATTTGAGCTCCTTATAGATTCTGGATATTAGTTCTTTGTCAGATGCATAGTTTGCAAATATTTTCTCTCATTCTGTAGGTTGTCTGTCTACTCTGTTGATTATTTCTCTTGCTGTGTAGAAGCTTTTTAGTTTAATTAGGTCATGCCTATTTATTTTTATTTTTGTCGCATATGCCTTTGGGGCCTTAGTCATAAATTCTTTGCCTAGGCAAATGTCCAGAAGAGTTTTTCCTAGGTTTTCTTCCGGAATTTTTGTTTCAGGTCTTAGATTTAAGTCTTTGATCCATCTTGAATTAACTTTTGTATAAAGTGCAAGATACGGATCCAGTTTCACTTTTCTATGTGTGGCTGTCCAATTTTCCCAGCACCATTTATTGAATAGGGTGTCATTTCTAGAGTTTATGTTTTTGTGTGCTTTGTCAAAGATCAGTTGCTTGTAAGTATTTGGCTTTATTTCTGGGTTCTCTATTCTGTTCAATTGGTCTATGTGCCTGCTTTTATACCAGTACCATGCTGTGTTGGTTACTATAGCCTTATGGTATAATTTGAAGTTCGTTAATGTGATGCCTCCAGATTTGTTCTTTTTGCTTAGGATTGCTTTCACTGTTTAGGCTCTTTTTGGTTCCATGTGAATTTTAGGATTGTGTTTTCTGAGTCTGTGAATAAATGACATTGGTATTTTGATAGGGATTGCATTGAATCTGTAGATTGCTATCGGCAGTGTGGACATTTTAGCAATATTAATTCTTCCATTTCATAAGCATGGGATGTATTTCCATTTGTTTGTGCCATCTATGATTTCTTTCAGCAGTGTTTTGTAGTTTTCCTTGTAGAGATCTTTCATCTCCTTGGTTAAGTATATTCCTTGGTATTTTTGTGTGTGTAGCTTTTGAAAAAGGGATTGAGTTATTGATTTGATTCTCAGGTTAGTCCTTTTTGGTATGCAACAGTGCTATTGGTTTGTGTACATTGATTTTATAATCTGAGACTTTACTGAATTCATTATCAAGTCTAGGAGTCTTTTGTAAGAGTCTTTAAAGTTTTCTTGGTATAAGATCATATCGTTGGCTTCCTCTTTCCAATTTGGATGCCTTTTATTTCTTTCTCTTGCCTTATTGCTCTGGCTAGAACTCCCAGTACTATGTTGAATAGGAATGGTGACAGTGGGCATCCTTGTCTTCTCATTGTTACAGGAAATGCTTTCAACTTTTTTCCATTCAGTATGATGTTGGTTGTGTGTTTGTGATATTTGGCTTCTATTATTTTGAGGTATGTTCCCTCTATGACTAGTTTTTTGAAGGTTTTATCAAGTGTTTTTTTGAGATTCTGCATTTTATCAAATGCTTTTTCTGTGTCTATTGAGATGATCATATGGCTTATGTTTTTAATTCTGTGTATGTGATGAATCACATTTATTGACTTGGGTATGTTGAACCATCCCTGCCTTCATGGGATGAAACCCACTTGATCATGGTGAGTTATTTTTTTGATGTGCAGTTGGATGCAGTTTGCTACTATTTTGTTGAGGATTTTTGCATCTATATTCATCAGAGATATTGGTCTGTAGTTTTCTTTTTGTCGTTGTTGTTATATCCTTTGCTGGCTTTGGTATTAGAGTGAAACAGGCTGTAGAATGAGTTGGAAAGGATTTCCTCCTTCTCAATCTTTTAGAATAGTTTCAGGAGGCTTGGTCCCAATTGTTCTTTGAATGTCTGATAGAATTCAGCTGTGACTTCATCTAGTCCTGGGCTTTATTGTTGTTGTTGTTGCTGGCAGATTTTTTTTTATTACTCATTCAGTCTTACTGCTTGTTATACGTCTGTTCAGGATTTCTCTTTCTTCCTGATTCAAGCTAGGGGGTTGTATGTTTCTAGGAACTTATACATTTCCTCTAGGTTTTCTAGTCTGTGTGTGTAGGGGTATTTATAGCAGTGTCGAATGATCTTTTGTAGTTCTGTGTTGTCAGTGGTAATGTCTCCATTTTTATTTCTAATTGAGATTATTTGACTCTTCTCTCTTTTTTTATGGTTAATCTACCTAGTGGTCTATCCATTTTGTTTATCTTTTCAAAGAACCGACTTTTCATTTGATTGATCTTTTGTATTTTGTTTCAATTTCAGTTGGTTCTGCTCTGATCTTCGTTATTTCTTTTCTTCTGGTAGCTTTTCGGTTTGGTTTTTTTCTTATTTCTCTAGTTCCTTGAAGTGAAATGTTAGGTTGTCAATTTGTGATCTTTCTGCTTTTTGCTGTAGGCATTTAGCATTATAAACTTTTCTCCTAGTACTACTTTTGCTGCATTCCAGAGGTTTTGACAACCTTGTCACTGTTATCATTCATTTTGAAGAATTTTTAAATTTCCATCTTGATTTCATTATAAACACAAAAATCATTCCGGAAGAGATTGTTTAATTTCCATGTATTTGTATAGTTTTGAGGGTTCAGTTTGGAACTGATTTCTAGCTTTGTTCCTCTGTGGTCTGAGAAGATACTTGATATAATTTTGGTTTTTAAAAATTTGTTGAGACTTGTGGCCTATCATGTGGTCTATCTTAGAGGATGTTCCATGTGCTGATGAGAAGAATGTATATTCTGAAGTTCTTGGGTAGAATGTTCTGTATATATCTGTTAGGTCTGTTTGTTCTAGAGTGTAGTTTAAGTCCAGTGTGTCTTTGTTGACTTTTTCCCTTGATGATCTGTCCAGTGCAGTTGGTGGAGTGTTGAGTCCCCCACTGTTATTGTGTTGCTGTCTATCTCTTTTCTTAGGTATGATGGTAACTGTTTTATGAATCTTGGTGCTCCAGTTAGGTGCATATATATTTACATTGTTATAACTTCTTGTGGAATTGTCAGTTAATTAAATTATTGAAGGGCATAGATGAAACCAGAGCTCTGTGGATGAAAGAGAGCCCACCCCGCCCACATCCAGGTGGATTTTGATCAACATTATGGGGGTCTGGTCCATGAAATGGCTATAAACCTTCCACTATTTAATGAAATCCAGGTCATAGGTCTCAACCATTTCACATACTCAGTGATTGCAAAATGAGGAAATGAGAAGGTGATCTCATTTCCCCATGGCATAGGAGAAAGAGTATAGCAGAGAACTGGGATTCACATCTCTTTTCTTTAACACACTTGTAGTGTGTCTTGTAGAAAATTACTTAAATTTACCCTTGATTTGCTTATATGTAAAAAAAGGCAACACTAATCCCTTCGTCACCATTTATTGAGAAAATTAAGAATTGATAATAATTATAATAGATTCTCCATAAAATGCAAATATTGTGTTTCAGTAACTAGACTGGAACATAGATTATCTTTTATTCTTATATATGATTTGAATATCCTATACAAATAAAGAAAAGAGGCTCAGAGAAGTAAAGCACAACAAGAATCAAACTCATATCTGTCTTGCTTGAAATTCCATCATCTTTTCACAAAGCCATGGTACCTTGCTAAGATAATACATGTGAAAATGTTTTGTATTATAAAGCTCCAAATTGATATGAATTATTGTTATAATTTAGTTTACTAGTTGGAAATTCTACTGAAAAAAATTAGTTTTATTTGCTATAATTTGTCCTCAGTGAACCTGTGGCCTCCTGTGAGTTTCTTTTAAAACTATACTCACAAATTACCTGTCAATATTTTGTTTGCAGACGTGATAAGTTTATAAATTCTAGAATCATCTCTTCTTGCTTAAAAACATCAGCACATTTATCCTTCTACAGGTTTCTGGAACCTCTCCCATTGAAAAATATGGCATTTTTGTTGTTTTGGTTTTGCCTACAAAATTGTTACATGAAACAGAGAAACTAGACAATAAGTAGAAAGTTATATAAAATATAGTCAAGTACTAAAATGAATGACAAAGAAATGTTCAAGATGGTCAGGAAAGTGGTCAATGTGGGCTACAGGTATCAGCAAAGGCAAGGGCTATAACCTTAAACTCTTAAGAGATGAGTCTTTGAATGTAGACTTTTTCATAATCAAGCAAAGAGGCACTCTGTGCTTCTTGGAGATCTCAGGAATCTGTTTGCGTTATTCTGTGCCTGCCCAGTCTCCCTTCTCTCTGAATTGGTGCCTAGCAGCAAAGCTGAAACTCAAGGCTATCTGGTTACCCCTGTGAGGCTGTGGTCAGTGCCCTGAGACACACTGAGCCAAGAGAAGCCATCAGAGGAGTCTGTGGGGAATCCTATGATGACTGAAGAGCCGAGGAGTAGTCATTGCCCAGAATGTCTGCAAAATGGAGCTGCAACAAGCCCAGGCACATGTGCCTGAAGATTCAACTGTAGATTTTCAATTTATGAATATTCCAAATGTGTATTGAGCCCTTACTCTGTACCAGACACTGGGCTAAGTGCTGCAGATACAAAGTCAAGCTGAACATGTTTCCTAGGATGTTTCTCACAGAGATAGAGCTTGAGTTGACTTTTGAGCAGGCACTAGATATTGGTTGGATGAAAAGGACTGGTAAGGGGAGGTAAGGCATACCAAATCAGGGAAGCAGCTGAGGGAAAGGAAGCAAAGATACATCAAATAACTTGTCAAATTTTGGAAACTGCAAATGCTGCTGGATGGCCACATAATATGTTGACTATAAGAGAGTGATGGGGGCAGAGTGGTCAGCAGCCAGATGGTGAAGAACTTTGATTGCTAAGATAGGGAGTTTGCACTCTTATTCTGAAAATTACAGTGGTCATTGAAGGATTGTAATCAACAAAGTGAAATGATTATAACTGTCATTTAGAAAGAGGGCTCTTATAAGTGGTGTGGAAGATAAATTGGAAAAGGACCATTCCGAAACCCAGAGAGTCCAGGTAGGTTGCTGTGGCAGTAATCAAGGTTAGAAGTGATGGATACTAACTAAAGCCATAGTCAGTGGTGGAAATGGGGCAGAGGGGACAAATACAAATGATATTGGAGGAGATGGAATTAGCGACCTTGGCAAGAGGGAGGATGAGATGAGAAGAAAGCGGTTGTGGTAGAGGGGAGAGTCCAGAGTGATTCTCACATTTTTTATTTGGTTCACGGTATTGATGAAGGTTCCTTTCAGTGAGATAGGGCATGAGAAGGGAGGGTCAAGTTTTGGTGGTAAGATGATGTCTTCCACATGTTGAGATTTGGGTCTGCAGGGTTTCTAAGTGATATTTTTAGGTGGCAATTTTATATAAAAATCTAAATCTCATTTGAGAAATGGGGAGGGTAAGAGTGGGGAGACAGATATTCATCAATGTTTAAAAATGGTGGTTTGAACTTATGGATTGACTTGGGAGGAGCAGATACCAATAATCAATATTTTGAAGTATCTTTTTCTCTAAGAACTGTCTCTCACCTAACCCCTAAGTGGCATGTTTGTGCTGTGTGGCTCTGCCATATGTTCTAATAGTCACAGCAAATTGGCCCAAACTGGACCAATAAAATAATGTCGGCCAGGGAATCTAAGATTGAAAAAATCTTTACACAATAACTTGGTAGGTTTTTGACTGTGGAGATATAAAGTCGGGTACTGTGTGGCAGTCATATTTAGCTATAAAAAAGCTAAACAATTTAAGTCTAGAGGAATAGGGTTGAGGCTGGGGAAAAAACGAGAAAGAGAAACTGCATAATTCCTTACAGCTTTTGAGCCTCTGATAGTCCTTCATGAAGCCTTGGTGCCTGCAGAAACCTTAGAATCCTTCCAATATGTGTCACTCCACTCCCTCAAACATCCTTATTTTTTTCTTAATGTTGTAGAGAATTAAAAGTGCTGCATAAACCCAGAGGAAAAATTAGAATAATACCATTTTTAAACCCCTAATGAAATGATGAATTTATGCAATATTAATAGCTGCTAACATCACAAAAAATAAGCCATCTCCAAATGGAAGTACACAGTATTACCATGATATATTACTACCAGAAAATGAAACTTGAGTCTGATTAAGCATCTAAATCTCAATAGTTTACAGGAAATACAAAGTCCACAGGAACATGTTAAACTATACCAAGGGAATGAAATTGGGAATATTCAGACTATGGAAAGCACTACCAGACAAGTTATCCAATTTCATGGTGAAAAAAAAGAGATGTTGTTGTGATCCAATAAGTTAAATGAGACTTAAGGGACACATGAATAAATTTTAACATATAGGCCTTATTTTGATCTTGACTCACAGTTTTTAAAAGTTGTGAGATAATTAGGAAAATTTGTTCACGGACTGCATATTTTATATTAAAGAATTATCATCTTTTAATATGATGATGCTATTATGACTATGTATCTCTTAAAAGAGTCTCATACTTTCGATACCTATACTTAAGTATTAACAGATGAAGAATATAATTGCTGGGATTTCCTTCAAAATTATCCAATGTGGCAGAGCAAAGTGAGGAGTATAGATGAACAAAATTGGCTCTGGAATTGATAATACTTGAATCTGGGAGTCCATCATATTATTCTCTCTACTTTTTATGTGTTTTAAATTTTCCATAATAAACAGTTTTAAAATATATATATAAGAGTATTGACATACCTATGAATGCAAGATCGGATTAACATCTGAATATCAATTAATGAAATATACATATCAATAGAATAAAAAACAAAGAACATAAGGTCATCTCAATAGATGCAGAAAAAGCATTTGACAAAAATCTAACACCACTTCATGATAAAAACACCTAACAAACTAGCAATAGAAGGGGACTTTCTCAACCTGATGAGGGCCATTTACAAAAAGCTCACAGCCAACATCATACATACTTGTGGAAGACTTAGTGCTTTCCCTCTAAATATTAACAACAAGACAAAGATGTCTTCTCTTGCCTTTTTTTTTTTTTTTTTTTTTGGAGACAGGGTCTTGCTCTCTCACCCTGTGAGAGAGGAGTGCAGTGGCGTGATCTCGGCTCACTGCAAACTGTGCCTCTCAAGTTCAACCAGTTCTCATGCCTCAGCCTCCCAAGCAACCAAGATTACAGGTGTGCACCACCATGCCCGGCTAATTTTTGTATTTTTAGTAGAGATGGGTTTTCACCATGTTGGCCAGGCTGGTCTCAAACTACTGCCTCAGGTGACCTGCCCTCTTCGGCCTCCCAAAGTGCTGGGATTACAGGTGTGAGCTACCGTGCCCAGCCCTCTTGCCACTTCTATTTCAACATCGTACTGGAGGCTCTAGCCAGTACAACTAGACAAGAAAGTTAAATAAAAAACATACACAGTGTAAAGGAAGAAATAAAACTAGCTCTCTTTCAGATGATATAATCTTGTAAACAGATCTTGTAGAATCCTAAAGAACCTACTAAAATTATTAGAATAACATGACAAGTTTAGTAAGATTGTAGGGTATAAGAGCAATATACAAAAATCAATTGTATTTCCATGTACTAGCAATGAACAATCTGAAAATGAAATTAAGAAAATTTCATTTATAATAGCAGGAAAAAGAACAAGTAAGCTAAAATACTTAGGAATTAATTTAACAAAATAAGTGAACAACTGTACTTTGGAAATGACAAGACATTGTTGAAAGAAATTAAAGACCAAATAAGTATAAAGACACATCACATTCTCAGATCAGAAGGCTTAAAATTGTGGAGATGACAAAACTGCTCAAAGTGATTCATATATTCAATGCAGTCACTGTTAAAACTCCAGCTTGCATCTTTTCAGAAATGGACAAGCTGATTCTAAAATTCATATGAAAATGCAAGGGAACAAGAATTGCCAAAGAATCTTGAAAAATAACAATGTTGGAGAGCTCACACTTTCTGATTTTAAAACTTACTACAAAGCTACGTTAATCAGAAGTGTGGCACTGGCATAAGGATAGATTTATAACTCAAGGGAATAGAATTGAGAGCCCTGTAGTAAAACTCTCATATTTACAGTCAGTTAATTTTTTAAAAGAGTGCTTTGGAATTTAGATCTTAAGAAAGAATCCATATTTTTTGACTCCCAGTACAGTGCTATTTCCACTAAACAACATTCACTGAAAGAACAGGGCAGCCTCTATTGGGTTGGGGGAGAAGATAAAGGGAGGTGGTGAGCAAATGGCCCTACTTAATTTTGGTGACTTGAATATAGCCCATTCTACAACAGAGCTAAAGTCTTGCAAACATGTAAAAAGAGTCCATGAAAATCAGAGCATGCAAAAAGAAAAAAAAGGGATGGAGGAGAGGAAAGAAGACACTAACTACAACTCCTATGATGATGATCACAACAACAGCCAACTTTCATATAACATTCACTAAATGCTGGGCATATTTCTAAATGTTCTAAATTGATTGACTCATTTAATAGTCACTAGTCACCAAAACTATAATAAGTGTCATTACCATCTCATTATATAGATGAGAAAACTCAGCACCAAGAGTTTACATAACTTACCCATAATCAGAGAGTTGTAAATATGAAGACAGTGATTCTCAGTCCTGATTGCACAGCAGAATCCCCTCAGCAGCTTGCAAAACATCAGTGCTACGCCTGCCCCTCAGAGCAATTAAATCAGACTCCTGGTGGGTTTTAAAATCTCCCCAGGTGATTCCAATGTGCAGCCAAGGATAAGAACCATTGTATTGAGGTGCAGTCAATTCTTTCTCATTGAACAGGGTGAGAAGCCTGCTCACCTGATATACAACACCTCTGGATTGAAAGACAGAAGGTGGTCCCAGAATCTCGTCCCATGAGAACTTAAAAATAAAAATTATCAGGCCTCAATCCACACCTTGGATCAGTCAGAAGCCCTTGGATGGGTTGTCTCTAAGGTGACTTCTAATGTTTAAACTCTGCATTTCCCTGATTGCTACCTAATTTTCATAACTGATTCAAGTTCCTGGTGGAAGGAGGTTTTCCTAAACCATAGAAAAACACATTCTAATCTCCAGCCTTGAGAAGTTGGTATAGCAAACTGACTTCAGCAGAGCTGAGGAAGGCACCCAGAGGCATTCTTAGCTATGGGGAGGCAGTCAGTATGAGATGCTGAATGCTCTAGGTCAGAGGCATGAGAAGGAATTGTCAGGTGCAGAAAGCAGTTATGGAAAGGTTGAGAACAAATTTTACCCTCTTCACAATGTCATGTATTTCTGCCCCCTGGTTTGTGAAAATCTGTTACTCTCTCAGAAGCAGAGGAGGATGAAAAGTGAGAAACACTAAATCATTGCAGTGAAACATTTCTTTTTTTTTTGAGACGGAGTCTTGCTCTGTCGCCCACGCTGCAGTGCAGTGGTGTGATCTCAGCTCACTGCAACTTCCACCACCTGGGTTCAAGCAGTTCTCCTGCCTTGGCCTCCTGAGTAGCTGAGATTACAGGTGCATGCCACCACACCCAGCTAATTTTTGTATTTTTAGTAGAGACAGGGTTTGTCATGTTGGCTAAGCTGGTCTCAAACTCCTAACCTCAGGTGATCCGCCCACCTCGGCCTCCCGAAGTGTTGGGATTACAGGCATGAGCCACCATGCCCAGCCAAAACACTTGTTTTAAGAAACAGCTGTATTAGTTTCCTGGAGCTTCCAAAACAAAGTACCACAAACTGGGTGGCTTAAACAACTCAAACATATTGTCTCACAGTTCTGGAGGCTGGAAGTCCAAAATCAAGGTGTCAGCAAGGGTGGTTCCTTCTGAGGGCTGTGAGGGAAGATCTGTTCCAGGCCTCTTTCCCACCTTCTGGTGGCCCCAGGCATCCCTTGCTTATAGATGACACTCTCCCTATGTCTTCATATCTCTCCCTTCTGCATGTGTTTGTCTGTATCCAAATTCCTGCCCCCCTCCCCTTTTTTTCAAATCCTGACTTTGCCACTTGCCAGCTATGTGTGTGCCCTGGGCAAGTCACTTCATGTCCTCGAGTCTCAGTTTCCTCATCTGTAAACTGGGCAGAATTAAGAATACCTATTTCACAGTATCGTTGTGAGAAGAAATGAAATAATGTATAAAGTTCATGGCACAGAACCTGGCATGTAGCCAGTGCTCTAAAAATGGCAGATGTTATCATTTTTAATGGTTTTTTCTTTTAATCCTTATGAGAACCACCTAGGGCAGGTTATTATTATCCCCATTGTACTGATGAAGGAATGGGTTCAGAGAGGTTGAGTAACTTGCCCAAAGTCACATAGCTAGTGATTCAGTTATAGAACTAGAGTTCAAATCTGTATTTGTTCCTTAACACCCACTACCAAGGTAAGACTCCTACGAGCTGCTTTCTGTAAAGGGCAGAGTTGTAATCTTTTCTCCTTGGGGCTGGATCCACTTACAGGAAGCTTTCTATGGCTGGCAGATTTTTTTTTTCTTTTTGTTGTTGCTGTTGTTGTTCTGTTTTTCCTTTTTTTAAATTTTGTTTTATTTATTTATTTATTTATTTATTTATTTTGAGACGGAGTCTTGTTCTGTCACCAGGCTGGAGTGCAGTGGCGCGATCTCAACTCACTGTAACCTCCGCCTCCCAGGTTCAAGCAATTCTCCTGCCTCGGCCTCCTGAGTAGCTGGGATTTACAAGCGCCCGCCACCACGCCCAGCTAATTTTGTGTATTTTTACTAGAGACGGGGTTTCACCATGCTGGTCAGGATGGTCTCCATCCCTTGACCTCATGATCCACCCACCTCAGCCTCCCAAAGTGCTGGGATTACAGATGTGAGCCACCACGCCCAGCCTGTTTTTAATTGTATAAACATATGGGGTACAATTGTAATGTTGTTACAAGCATAGATTGTGTAGTGGTCTAGTCAGGGCATTTAGGGTATGCATCACCTGAATAACATACATTGTACCTAACACACATTGTACCCGTTAAGTAATTTCTCTTTATCCACCTTCCTCTCACCCTCTCACCCTTCTGACTCTCCATTGTCTGGCATTCCACTCTCTCCTTCCACGTGTACACATTTTTAGCACCCACTTTGAGTGAGAACATGCAGTATTTGACTTTCTGTGTCTAACTTGTCTCACTTCAGATAATGACCTCCAGTTCCGTCTATGTTGCTGCAAAAGACATGATTTCATTCTTTTTATGGCTGAATGGTATTCCAGTGTGTAAATGTACCACATTTGCTTTGTCTAATCACCTGTTGGTAGACATTATGTTGATTCCATATCTTTGTTATTGTGAACAGTGCTGTGATAAACATGCGAGTGCAAGTATATTTTTGATGTATTGATTTATTTTCCTTTGGAGTGATACTCAGTAGTGGGACTGCTGGATCAATGGTAGTTCTATTTTTGCTACTTTGAAAAATCACCATACTATGAATAGAGTTCATACTATGGGTAGATGTTGTATTAATTTACATTCCCACCAACAGTCCAACAGTGTTCCCTTTTCTCTGCATCCTCACAAACATCTGTTTGGTTAATTTTTTTTTGTCTTTTTAATAATAGTCATTCCATCTGAAGTAAGATGATATCTCATTGTGGTTTTAATTTGCATTTTTCTGATGATTAGTGATGCTGAGCATTTTTTCATATGCCTATTGGCCATATGTATGTCTTCTTTTGAAAAATGTCTATTCATATCCTTTTCCCACTTTTTAATGAAATTGTTTGGGTTTTGTTGTTGTTGTTGAGGCCCTTGTATATTGTGGATATTAGTCTCCTGTTGAATAAATAGTTTGTGAATGTTTTCTCCAATTCTGCAGGTTGCCTGTTCACTCTGTTCATTTTTTTTTTTTTTTTTTTTTTTGCTATGTAGAAGCTTTTTGGTTTAATTAAGTCTCATTTAGCTATATTTGTTTTTGTTGCCTGTGCTTTTGAGGTCTTATTCATAAATTATTTGCCTATATCAGTGTCGAGAAGAATTTTCCCTAGGGTTGCTTCTAGTATTTTTATAATTTCAGGTCTTACATTTCAATCTTGAATCCATCTTGAGCTGATTTTTTATATGGTGAGAGATAGGAGTGGTTTCATTCTTCTGCATATGGATATCCAATTTACTCAGCACCATTTATTGAAAGGGGCATCCTTTTCCCCATGTATGTTCTTGTCTGCTTTGTCAAAGATCAGTTGGATGTAAATATGTGGCTTCATTTATGGGCTCTCTATTCCTTTCCACTAATCTGTCTATTTTTATATTGGTACCTTGCTGTTTTGGTTACTACAGCCTTGCAAAATAATTTGAAGTCAGGTTATGTGATGCCTCCAGCTTTGTTCTTTTTGCTTAGAATTGCTTTCGCTATTCAGGCTCTTTTATGGTTTCATATGAATTTTAGAATTATTTCTTCTAATGCATGAAAAAATGAAGTTGGTATTTTGATAAGAATTTCACTGAATCTGTTGATTGCTTTGGGCAGTATGGTCATTTTATTGGTATTAATTATTCTAATCCATGAGCATGAAATGTTTTCCATTTGTTTGTGTCATCTACAATTTCTTTCATCAGTGTTTTGTAGCTCTCCTTGTAGAGATTTTTCACCTCCATGGCTAAATTTATTCCTAGGCATTTTATTTTCTGTATCCATTGTCAATGTAATTGCTTTCTTGATTTCTTTCTCAGCTAGATCACTATTGGTGTAAAAAATGCTACTGATTTTTGTACATTGATTTTTATATCCTGCAACTTTACTAAATTCATATATCAAATCTAGGAATTTTTTGGTGATGTCTTCAGGTTTTTTCCATTTTATTTCTATTTATTTTATTTTATTATTTTTTTAGAGATGGGGTCTTGCTCTGTTGCCCAGGTTGGAGTGCAGTGGTGAGATCATAGCTCACTGCAGCCTTGAACTCCTGGGCTCAAGGGATCCTCCCATCTCAGCCTCCCAAGTAGCTGGGACTATAGGCATAAGCCATCATGCCCAGCTAATTTAAAAAAATTTTGTTTTAGAGACAAGGTCTTGCTGTGTTGCCCAGGCTGGTATCAAACTCCTGGCCTTAGTGATCCTCTTGCTTGAGCCTCCTGAATCTGAAATTACAGTCACAGTCACTGCACCTAGCTAGGTTTTTCTAAATATAAGATCATAACATGAGAAAACAGGGAGAATTTGACTTCCTCTTTTCCAATTAAAGTGCCTTTTATTTCTTTGTCTTGCCTGACTTTTCTGGTTAGGACTTGTAGTCCTATGTTGAATAGGAGTGGTAAAAGTGGGCATCCTTGTCTTGTTTTAGTTCCTAGAGGAAATATATTCAACTTTCCCCATTCAGTATGATGTAGGCTGTGGGCTTGTGATATATGGGTTTTATTATGTTGAAGTATATTCCTTCTATGCCTAGTTTGTTGAGAGTTTTTATCATAAATGAACGCTGAATTTTATCAAATGCTTTTTCTGCATCTATTGAGATAATCATGTTTTTTGACCCTACTTCTGTTTATGTAATGTATCACTTTTATTGGTTTGCATATGTTGAAGCATACTTGCATCCCTAGTATAAAACTCACTTGATCGTGGTGCATTCTCTTTTTTGATAGGCTGTTAGATTTGATTTGCTAGTATTTTGTTGAGGATTTTTGCATTTATGTTAATCAGGGATATTGGTCTGTAGTTTTCTTTTTTTGTTACGTCCTTCTCTGGTTTTGGTAACAGGGTGGATTTACTGGCCTTGTGGAATAAGTTAGGGATAAATCCCTCCTCTTCAATTTTTTGGAACAGCTTCAGGAGGATTAGTCTTAGTTCCTTGTACATTTGATGGAGTTTGACTGTGAATCCATCTGGTCCTGGGCTTTTCATCAGCTTTGGACAAGAACAAATTTTCCCTTTTTATAAGAACACCAGTCATATTAGATTAAGACCCACCCTTATGACCTCACTTTAACTTATCTGCAATGACCCTATTTCCAAATAAGTTTCATTCACAAATACTGGAGTTAAGGACTCTAATAATATATTTTGTGGGGGACACAATTCTACCCATAATACAGCCCATGCCTTGCTCCCAACTTCTGGTTAACATCAGACCTGCACAAACTTTCCTTGGTTAATAGATTTCTTGAGCCTTCAGTTTTCTGACTCTAATTTAGGTCTGTGTGCCTTCCAGGCACATTCCTCAGTACTTCCTACCTGGAGAAGAATAAGGGACTACTGCAGCTTCCTGCAGGAGTTCTCTCCAGCAAAGAAAGGCCTCAAAGACATCTTCCTAGAGATTATTGTCAGACAGCTATTGCATGGAGAAGCAGCAGAGCTGGGAGGACCCTCAGGGGTCATATGGCCATTTTACAGAGGAATGGACTGGGTCCCAAAACAATTAAGTCATTCTTGTCCAGGTATGTGTCAGAACCAGGCTGCCAACTCAGTCTTCTCATTTGAAGTCTGGTACTTTTCTCATTCCACTTAAGACAAGCTCAGCTCTGTCCTAGACATTATAAGGGAATCAAAAAAATATATAATATTTCATTGAGTTAAAAATGCACATATTTCACATTTTTGAATCTCCAAAATAGAGATGCTATTTCCATTTGATGGCATGTCTAATCGGCAGCATTTTCTCTTTTTTAGTAGAACATAACAACAAACACACTTCTCACTTGGGAGTCTTAAGCCCAATAAAATTTGGTTTAAGGAGTATCCCCAACCTCTAGGGAGTCTCACATCTAATTTGGAAAATGAGATTGTGTCATTTAGTGTCACAAGAAAGTGTAAGACAGAACATAATTGAGATGTATGCATGAACAGCTTTGACTTATAGAAGGCAATACAAAGACTGAAAATTCACTACCACTTCTTTTCCTGAACCCTTCCCATGACTTCCTCTTGCTCTTCATATTAAGGCAATCTCCTTACTTGGGCTTCAAGTCCTGGCATGCCCTGGATCTTGCTAGTTTCCATTCTCATCTTTCAGCACACATCTTTACTCACTACAGTGGTCCTTCATGATCGTTCCCACCACACAGATTTTGCTCATGCTGTTTCCCTTTCCTGGAGTGCCTTTCTTCCAGTGGGGTTCACTTCCCTGGAGAAACCTTCCCTGAGTCTCTGCCTAGGTCAAATCTGTACCTTATAGGGCCTCAAAGCAACATGTATCTTTCCTTCTTAGCCCTTGCTATGGACACATACAGTTCTACACGCATTTGATTAATACCAGTTTCCTCCATTACACTTGAAACTCCTTGAAAATAGATTCCTGTCTTGTTTTCTCATCATTTATCCCAGAACCTAGCAGAGAGCCTGGTACATATATGATATCAGTAAGTATTTGTTGAATGAACGAATGATGAATATGTACATGTTTAGAGAAGATTTCATAATGGCTGTATGATTTGACCTTCATCTTGAAAAATGGTAGGCAGTAAAAAAGCACATATTGGGTCACACAAACATAAAGTAAAATCCCAATTCTGCCTTCAAAGGAATTATTGGGATAATTAAATTAAATAATATATAAAATATGTATACAGTGTCTAGAATGCAAATAACAATAACTCATAGTTTTTATTCTTCGTTTCTGTGCACATCTGTAATGGGCTGTTCAGGATGGGGGCATGCCTGATTCAATACTTTTGTCTATTTCTAGTGCCTTGTACCTACTAAGTGTCCATCAATGTACATTGATTAAGGTTAAACATGGTTTTTTATTTTGTTTGTTTGTTTTCCGTTCTGCTGCGCAGGCTGGAGTGCAGAGGCACGATCTTGGCTCATTGCAGCCTCTGCCTTCCAGGTTTAAGCGATTCTCATGCCTCAGCCTCCCGAGTAGCTGGGATTACAGGTGTTACCTGTAAAATTACCACGCCCAGGTAATTTTTGTATTTTTAGTGGAGATGAGGTTTTGCCATGATGACCAGACTGGTCTCAAACTCCTGATCTCAAGTGCTCCACCCGCCTCGGCCTCCCAAAGTGCTGGGATTACAGGCATGAGCCACAGTGCCTGGCCAAGGTTAAAAATGTTTTTGAGGAAAAGTACAGGAATGATTGAATTTGCTTTGTACCTAGATCCATATCTAAATAGGAACTATAAAAGTCACCTTCATGTTTTTTTTTTCTTTAAGCCCCATGCCAGCCTGGATACCTTTGTCATTTTTAAAGAAATTATTTATGAATGGTAAGAAATCATTCAGAAATGATTTAGGGAAATTCATCCAATCTCCCTCTCAGTGCAAATGTTTCTCATGCAATACCTGTGATTCAGCATCTTTTTCAGGTTTGTCATCAGTCCAGAGCTTTATGGGGGAAAGAATCTCCTAAAACAACTGATGTAGGCGAGGGGTCCATCAATACCACTGGCTCTGAGATTCCACTATAGCCCCCAGGACTGCCCACGGGCTCTTGGTTCTTTGCTATTTTCTCTGGTTGTCATTTTTGTCTGCAATCCCCATAATACAGAAAGTTTGACTCAGTGTGTTTAAGGATCAATTTCTTTTCCTTCATTATGCCTAGATTCTAGTGAGTCTTTTCAGTCCTTGAATATTGACATTTTTTTCAGCACAGAAACATTTAAATCTATTTTTACCTTTGACCATTGCTTCTAGCTCCATTTTACAGCACTATTTGTCCATATCTTGAATCTTTAATCTCTTGTCTCCAATTCTCTATGTCTTTATGACTTTGTTCTCTTTTTGTTAATTTTTAAATTTTGAGATCATTGTAGATTCACATTGTAATTGTAAGAAATAATACAGACACATCCCATGTACCCTTTGCTCAGGTTTCTCAGGGTAATATCTTGCCAAAATATCACAATCAGGATGTTTACATTTACATGATCCACCAATCTTATCAGATTTTCTGTTTTACTTGTACTGGTGTGGGTATGAGTAATCTGGGTGAGTGTGTGTGAAAGCGTATGTATTACTTAGTGTAAATACTTAGTTATGTGTAACTTTATTACATATGTTGGTCTGTGTATCCACCACCACAGTCAAGACAGTTTTATCTCCACAAATATCACCCCTGTTGCCTTTTTATAACCACATCCATCTCCCTTCTGTCCCACTTTATACTTTGTGTTTTTGTTATAGTTGTTGTTGTTTGTTTTTTTGAGACAGAGTCTCACTCTGTCTCCCAGGCTGGAGTGCAATGGCGTGATCTTGGCTCACTGCAACCTCTGTCTCCCGGGTTCAAGTGATTCTCCTGCATCAGCCTCTAAGTAACTGGGATTACAGGCACCTGCCATCATGCCCAGCTAATTTTTGTATTTTTGTAGAGACAGGGTTTCACCGTGTTGTCCAGGCTGATCTTGACCTCAGGTGATCTGCCCACCTCAGCCTACCAAAGTGCTGGAATTACAGGTGAGCCGCCAGGCCCGACCCCCAACTTCACACTTTGCTCTTTTTCTCTGCATTAAAATTTTGTATTTGTCAACTCTATTATTGACTTGATTTTCTGCAATATTAATTCTGACCTTTACTGCCTCTAGTAAAAATGGTAATTCTACTGTCATACTTTGTTTCCTCACAATCCTTTTTTAAAAATCTTATTTGTAAATCTTTTTTATACATCTTTATTTTTCCAGGTTTATTGATATATAATTGAGGAATTGTATAAATGTAGGTTGTAAAACATGATGTTTTTATATGTATACATTGTGAAGTGATTACCACAATCAAGTTAATTAACACCTATCATCTCATTCATTACCTTTGTGTGTGTGTGTGTGTGTGTGTGTGTATGTAGAACACTTGAGATCTACTCTTTTAGCAAATTTCAAGTATACAATACATTATTATTCATATCTCTTGTTTTATTGTCCTCTTTTCCCTTTGTGGCTATTTTCATATAAACATAAAATTGTGTAGAAGCCTGGAGAATCATCTAACCCAGGCAGGCAAATATGCTGACACATGTTTCTCTCCAATGGCAGACATTTCTGGTCAAATACTGCTTATGGGATGCAGTACACCCAGCAAATACAACTAATCGATTGAATATGGCCTGCAAAAGCAAGCCTGTTTGCCATTTGTGGTCTCTTCCAATCCTTCATTTTACAGATGGAGAAACTAAGGACAAACAAGAGAGCATGTACCAAACGTGTTCAGGTAAGTTAGTGCTAGAATTTCGTACTATCTGAAAATGATGAAATGGAAATCCATTGCCATTTGCATTCAGATAGTTCCGAGCGACTTGGCCTCAGGGAAGTTTTTCATCTGAGTTGGATCTATGGTACTTCTGGAAGGCCAAGAACTCTCGGGAAGGATCTGCTGACAAAGCTATTTTTCAAAGAGGAGAAGGAAGGATAGAGGATCCCACCTCTAAGGCTTTACTCTACTCGTTCTATTATTGGAGACTTCTCTTTTCTGCCTTTCTCTTGTGCTAGTCAAATCATGCTTAAAAAGCAAGTAGGATTTGGCCGGGTGCAGTGGCTCACGCCCGTAATCCCAGCACTTTCGGAGGCCAAGGTGGGCAGATCACCTGAGGTCAGGAGTTCAAGACCAGCCTGGCTAACATGGTGAAACCTCGTCTCTACAAAAATACAAAAAATAGCTGGGCATGATGGCAGGTGCCTGTAATCCCAGCTACTTGGGAGGCTAAGGCAGGAGAATCACTTGAACCTGGGAAGCAGAGGTTTCAGTGAGCTGAGTTAGAGCCACCGAACTCCAGCCTGGGCAACAGAGCGAGACCTCGTCTCAAAAAAAAAAAAAAAAAAAAAAAAGCAAGTAGGATTCAATTAGGCTGTGTGTGATTAAAAATACAAAATAGCACTGGTGAGAATGGATATTGAAGGACAATTTGCCATCTCTAACCCAAAGGATACTACCATATATGTAGACCTTACTTCAGAAGAGAGGCAGTTTTACTTAATGGGTGGAGCCATAGACGCTGGGTCCAGCTTCCTGGGTTTAAAGGCTTATTAGCTGTGCTTACCTCTAGAGCTTATTAGCTGTGTTCCTTGAGCAAGTTACTTCATCTCTTTCTGCTTCAGCTTCTTTATCTGTAAAATGAGGATTATAACATCAGTACCTGCCTTACAGCAATGTTGTAAAGATTAAATAAACCAACCTATGCAAAATACTTGAAAGGGTTCCTGGCATAAAGTAAGCAATATATAAGCATATAAATATAAATCTAATTACCATTTTCAACATGTTCCAGACACAATGCATATATTGGTCTTATGAAGTAGATATTTATTTTCTCATAAATGAAACAAAGACTCGGGAAGTTATACAACAAAAATAAATCCTGATAAGAATAGAGAAGAGAAGGTTCCTATTGCCAGCCTGGGGAAGTCCTTGAAAGCTTTAGGGAAGAGCAGGCAGATGAGTACAGATGAAAGGAAGGGGAGCATTGAAACATGAATAGATGGAGAAAAAGAAAAACATTCCATGCAGTGTCGTGGGTGCCAGGTCTCCTGGGAGAGGACATTAGATGCCCAGACTTGGACCAGCAATGACATTCCATTCACTATGCATTGAATGAGCATCCATTAAATACATACCATGACACAATTATGATGGGAAACGTAAGATAATACATGTAACCCCAGCCTCAGTATGTCTACTATATGTTCTGCCAAAATAGAATGAGTAGGTGAGGTGGAGGTTGCTGACCTTCATGCCCACCCTTTTATTGCATTATTTTCTAATAAATTCCTGAGCACTGAGCAGATGAAATATGCCAAAGAAATAATACTTTGAGGTCCATTCCTCTGTTACCAAAACTGTCATCAGAGTTTGTCTCCTCATTGGTAGCTTCAGAATAGGCTTTGCAAACACAAATGCCTATAGGGCCAAAAAGGCCCTTGAATGTTACTACACAAGTGAAACATTCTGGATATAAGTGCAGGGGCATCAGAATGTAAAAATCGGGGTGAAGACTCTGGAAACCTAGGGAGCACACCACCTGTACCAGGGATATCCATTCTTCACTTGCAGTGGGTTATTGCCAGGTCTTTCAATGCTTTAACAGAATCAGAAATGTGGTATGTAATGTAAAAGCTCCTTATCTTTAAAATGTTGCATCAAATATTGTAAACAAAACTAGGTGTGCCAAACAAAACATGTTCGAATGTCATTTTTTAAAAACTCTTGGCTACCAGCTGGAGCTCAAACAAACAATGACATGCAGTGAATGCTCTTATCCTTTCCAGGTCTCTAAGAAAACCCAAAGTCCCTGCCTCCAACCTTCCTCCCCGACAGATACCCACACTACATCCCCTCGCTCCTACTGGCTCCCCAGACAATGAGCTGGACAATATGACCCAAGAATTTCACTGCCAAGGTATTGCTGCCAAGGTTTTCGAGTTTCAAGTCCCTAGTTTAGAGTGAGTCATCTCAAATTCAATTAGTGGAGAGTTCCTCTGGGTTCAGTCACCAGTGGCAGAGGGAGAAATGACTCAGACGGTGGAGCATGCAGTGCCTAATGGGTCCAGCATGTGGGGGCTTTTGAGATTGTTGGGCACGGTGCTCATGGTGCCCGAGGGGAGTACAAAGCGGGGCTGGAGGTTGCAACATGCTCTCAGCTCAACTCATTGTTGGCTCTTTTGGACTGAAAGATATTTGAGATATTTGTATTTGACCTCAAACATATGGTGGATCTAGCACCTCAAGGATATATATTATTATAAGCCTGTTGGCTCCTATTCCAGCCTCGTTTCCTTCTGCCAGCCTGAACTGCACATTTTGCATTCTGGCATTACCAAACTATTGTAATTCCCCAGGCTCTTTCTTGCCTCTATACCTTAGTGGTGCCATTGTTTCCCTGGAATACCTATATGTGCTTCTGACAAACTCCTTTTTGTGCTTTAAAGCTCCAAACAGACATCACTACTTTTGGGAAAATAACTCTAACACCCCCCCATTTGTTAAACTTGTATTCTTCCTTTGTCCATCTATAATTTGAACTTACTTTTCACATTGTATAAAAACCATTTGCTTATCTGCTTGTCTGCCTAGTTAAGGAGAAGCCTTTAAGGTCAGAAAGCTTGTAATATTCTTCTTTACAGATGAAAGTACCTTATGCATGGGCAGGCAGTCCATCATAGTTTACAGAGCAATCTTGGATTGAAATACCACACAGCTCTGAAATGACTCAGCGTGGACTATCTCAATCCTATGGGCCAGACCAACAGTATCATTAACTCAGCCTCTGCCATGTAAGCCCTTCTGAGTTGTCTGTGGTCATAAGCACAATAGTTAGAGCAGGAAACACAGGAATGCACAGATAATCCAAAAGTCAATAGTTTAACCTAGCCCAATCATTCACTCAAATCCAGTAAACATCTTTTGAATAACTGCTCTGTCAGGCACTGTTCTGGGCACTTGGGATATAGCAATCAATAAGATTGCTCTTATAAAGCTTATATGTGGTAGGGAAGAGAAATTAAACCAGTAAATATAAAGAAGAGGATACCAAGTAATAAGTACCCTAAGGAGCATCACACAGGATAATGTGATACAGATGGATAAGGTGGGGTGGGATTTTAGATGGTGTGGCAGGGCTAGTCTTTCTAGGAGCACTGCATTTGTGCTGAGACCTGAATTATGAAGATCTAGCAATAATAAGATGTAAGGACAGAGAGAGCATTTCCATAGACCAGTGGTCTTCAACCTTTTTGGCACCAGGGACTGGGTTTTCCACAGATGGAGGCGAGGGTAGGGATGGTTTTGGGTTGATTCCAGCACATTACATGTGTTGCACACTTTATTTCTATTATTATTACATTGTAATATATAATGAAATAATTATGCAACTCACCATAATGCAGAATCACTGGGATCCCTGGGCTTGTTTTCCTGCAACTAGACTGTCCTATCTAGGGGTGATGGGAGAGAGTGACAGATCAACAGGCATTAGATTCTCATAAAGAGCACCCAACCCAGATCCCTCGCATGTGCAGTTTACAATAGAGTTTGCAGTCCTATGAGAATCTAATCCTGCTGCTGATCTGACAGGAGGTGAGCTCAGGCGGTATTGTGAGCCATGGGGAGTGACCGTAAACACAGATGAAGCTTCACCCACTCACCTACTGCTCACCTCCTGATGTGTGGCCAAGTTCCTAACAGGGCCCCGACCAGTACCATTCTACAGCCTGGGGGTAGGGGACCCCTGCCATAGAGGAAACAATGACTGAAAATACTTGGCACTGGAAATGAACCTTGTATGTTCAAGGAAGAAAGAAGGCCAAAGTGGCTGGAGCAAAGTGAGAGAGGGTAAGAGATAAAATGGAAGGTGTAATCAGGTGCCAAACCAGGAAGTGCTTTATAAGGCCATAGTGAAGAATCCAGATTTTTTTTGATGTGATAAAAAACCAATAGAGGGTTTTGTGCACCTTTCTTCTATTCTGTCACTTTCTTCCAGTGGGGATGTATGCTCTATGAGAGAAGGAGGAGAAACAGTAGAATGGAGTAGCTGAGGCTGAGATTGAGCACAAAATGTCCTTGTGCTTATGGGCCTAACTTCCAACTGAAAGGCATTTACTATTAGTGCTGGGGTCAAAGTCTTGGCAGTGCTATTAGGACACTTGCAGACTCCTTGAGGTGCATCATTATTGGAAAGATTAGACTACCTCAAAGTGCAGTGTCCTTTCTGATGGTTATAGGAATCTTTATGGACCTACATCCTTTTGCCCTATTAAATCGCCTAGAACATTGCTTCTCAAACCTTAACATGTACAAAAATCACCTGATGGTTGTGTTAAAATATGAATCCTGATTTGGTAGAGTTACTGCATTTCCCATCATCTTTTAGGTGATGATGAGACTGCTGGTCTGCGGTCTACCTTTTGAGAAGTCAGAGGACTAAAGTCAAAGTCCTTAGACTGCCTCCAGTTCTACTGTTCAGATCCAGTCCCATTGATTTGAGGGCTGGAGTGTTCTCATATAAAAAGAGGTAGAAGATGAAAAGTAACTGAGATTTGAAATCATATCTAGGCCACTGAACCCTGAACTAGGCAGTGAAGCCAGACGGACCACGCCAAATCAAAGCCCTGGAAGTTTCATGTAGTCATTCCAGACATGCCCCTGAGGCCACCAGAGCCATTTGTTCCAAAATCACTTGGAAGACAGAAAGCAATTTGAAATCATGCCTGAGCCCCAGGCACCCAGGGCTGCCCAGTGGGGTCAGCTGCCCCTGATTGAATGGCACTCCATTTCTGTCCCCCAGAAACACTGGGATCCCCAGCCTGTTCCTTCACGAAGGTTCTCTTTTTGTATTGCTTCAGAGTATTGCACAGGATATTAGCCACTTCCTTCTCTATAATTCATCCTTCCACTTTGCCATCTGGAATATTTCTCTTTTACAAGTGCCTAAGTTGTTACAGTTTGAGGCAGTTGAATCCTAACTTTGCCATTTGGGGTAATTTATTGTTTTTAATGCTTTCTTCCAAAAATTCAGATTCTGTGGTTTGAAACAGAATCCAGCCAAGATTTTTGCTTCCTAGTTGGACATCTGGTTGTCTGTCCTTTCCAGGTCTTCTCTGGGTTTATTTTTCAGCTTCCCGCAAGTGACTATCAGCTCACTCCTCTCACTACATCCATTATTTTCCCCATTCCCAAACACAAAGCCCTTGTGTTTTGTTATTATTGTTGTGACAAACACTGTCATGGCACTGTCATTGACTGTCCTCAATGTCACGGTCACATCCCTTATGTGGGAACTAAGAAAGTTCGTGGGGACCAGTAGGCTGTAGTTTCAGTTGTAACAAAAAGGTACTGTTTACCCTAAAACACCTTCCTACTGATACTCCAAATCCTAATAGATATTTTTTGAGTTACTTATCACATTCTTGATGTCTGGAAGACAGACAATAGGTGGAAATCAGTAAAAGATGAACAATGAGGTTGGAGGAAGGGGACCAAACATTTATTCAGTATTTACTATGTGTCAAAACTGAAACTGAATAGAATAGGTGATATCACCCCTACTCTACAGATGAAGAAACCAATACCCTGAATAGGTTTCCCAAGGAATCCTGAGTTACAGAGCAATGGAGTCAAGATTGAACAAGTTCTAACTCAAAGTCCTTATGTTTGTCATTATTTGATGCCGTGAGGTTAGTACTGGAGGGTTAGATGAGGAACAGGACACCAGGCAGAGAGATGAGAATTGGATTCTGGGAGTATTCGAGTGTGGGATAACTGAGCCTAATCAAGCAGGTAGCCAGAGTGGGCACAGAATTTCAGGACCAGGCACCAGCTACTAGACAGACGCTCCATCATGACCTAACCTTGGCATTATTGCAAGATTTTACAAGCTTCTTATTTATGGGAAGAGCCACACTCTGAATTTGGCTATCTTGAAGGTTACAAGTCAAAGTGAATGGCAGTAACCTGCTTTATGGAAACCCTGAGTAGGTGTAGAGCAAGACAAGTTTATCCCTGGAATCCCTTCCATGATCTTATTTGAAGAAGTATTCTTAGGTAACAATACCCCAATGGTTCCCAACCCATGGGAGCTTCTGAATAGTTAGTACACCTGGGACCCATCCAAGACCAACTGAGTTGGGTTTCTAGGTGTGGGGCCCTGGCATCTGTGCTCTCTGAAGTTCTCCAGACCTGATGAGCAGCCAGGGTTGAAACCACAGCCTTGGGTTAAATGAGCTTTCTGTAATATATGTTATTTCTCTGAGAGGTAGGACAGAGTTACAATGCTGCAGAATTCTAAGGGGCAGAGGGAGAAGGGGGAAAAGCTTCTGGTCCTAAAAGTTGAAAAACTGAGTTTTTCTCTTTTGGAAGAAGATAAAGGCAAGTTTTAAACACCTCACAATTTTGCCAAAGAATGGGCCACCTAGAGGTTCTCTGTCCCATGTTTGGTGAGTCTAACTTCTCATGTTTCACCTCTGTGTAGTCAAAGTAAGGTTTTACCATGGTAATATCTGACGCCCACTTTAAAAGCTTAGTTTTATAACTCATTGCACTACAGAGTCTCCCATTTGTCTAAAGTCCTAGCAGCCAGAGAAAATGGCATTTTGTCAGTTTTAGACCAGGGAATCCAAGAGACGGCATGGTTATTTGTTCTGTCCAAGGTTGCTTACTGAGTTATCAGGGAGCCAGACCTAGGTCTCTGTCTTCTCAGAGCTACTATGTTTAACTGGAGCACCACTTAAGATAGTCTTGGCATGTGATGAGAAATACAATCATGTCTATAAAATTAACAACAGGGGATTCAGAGGAGGGATAGTTTCTGTGTGCCCGGCTCAGTCTGGCCTCAAAATTGCTACCAGAGGACCCATGGGGGTGCTATGGTTATAGTTTTAACTCTTTTGCAAGTCGTTCTTTTTTTTGAAGTTGCTGCAAGACCCCAGAAAGATGAACTAAGTCCTACTGAGTCAGAAATGAACTGTAAAAAATGATGGGAACTTCAGAGAAAAATGAATTCCAGCTAGCATTTACCCTCTCCTGATTTATCCTGGAACTGTTTCTTGGGATCTATTTCAACTCATAAGAGAAGAAATGGACCAGAACTACTGTATCTAAAGAAGCTCTTTTCCTAAGAGAAGATATGGCCAAGAAAGGAAACATCGACATCCCTTAGAGTTGGACAAGGCTTGAGAGATCATCAAGGTCAGCAGATCATCAGGATTGAGTAGGAAATGAAAATCTCTCCCTTCTCTCACATGAGTGCATCTAAGTAGTGAAATCTAATCCAAATGCAGAACCCTAGCTGCAAGGAAGCCTGAGAAATAGTTTTTGTTCCTAACTTCTCCAAGCAGAAGGCTGGCAAAAAGCAAGTTGAGATCACAAATTCAAGTATCTGCCACAACCACTTCTCAAACTGCATACCAGAGAATAGCAAGAGAATGTGGCTAGATTGTTTTTGAGAGGTTTTGTTTCAAATTTATTTGAGCCATGCTGGGCAAAACAAAGTTAAATATGCGTCTTCTCTGTAATACATCTCAGGTTTCTTAATACCCACATGAACATCCCAGTTCTTCATATTTAAGGAACATAAATCAGCAAACATTTTAAGCCCATTTTACAGATGAGGAAACTGGCGTCCAGGGTAATTAAATAACTTGCCTAATGTTGAACAACCAGTTACTGGCAAAGCTTAAACCACTTAAAACACAATCTATGCCTCTTGACTAGTGAAGAGTGTCCTTTCTGCTAAGAGGGGATGCAAAGAAGTCCAGGGAGGCAGACAAGCAAGAAAGAAGAAACCCGATAGGAAGGCGAGAAGGGCTAGAAACCTAAAGGAAGGCTGTGGGTCTGTGTCTCCCCCAGTTATTGAAAGTAGAAAACACAAAATCACTCTGCCTCTGTCCCTACCCAGAGCCAGAATGAACTCGGTGAAGAGGTCAGAGCCCAGGACCCACATCTCGATTGCTGTCCACCGGTGCCTGGGATATGTTGGTGATGTGGCCTCAAGTAGTAACAAAGAAAACTGGTTCTGTAGGACATGTTTTTATAAATAGAACCAGAGTCCAGTGGTTTCCAAACAGTCAGGAGACACGCTGTCTTCCAGCATCAGCTATTTATTTGTATCTCTGCTTCATGGAATTCATTCTCCTGCATTCCAGGCTTTGCCACATTCAACTCCTGCTCTCCTACCCTGGATGTGTTGTACAGATTTCTTGGCCTCTTGACTCAAATCCCTGGATTGAGGACAGGGGGGACTTTCACCTCTGGTCTCTGCCAAAGTTGGGACCCTGGGGAGGATGTCTGTGTTTGTCAAGAAGTTGGGAGGACTTTGAATTTTGGCAGTGATTCCTCCCTAGATGATGCACTTAGACAAGAGGAGACAGAAAAATACCATTCTCAGCAGCCACGTCTCTTTCTCTTAATGAATCTGCACACTTGATTCCTTTTTTTTTTTTTTTTTTTTGAGATGGAGTCTTGCTCTGTGGTCCAGGCTGGAGTGCAGTGGTGCAACCTCAGCTCACTACAACCTCTACCTCCTGGGTTCAAGTGATTCTCCTGCCTCAGCCTCCTGAGTAGCTGGGACTACAGGTGCCCGCCACCATTCCTGGCTAATTTTGTGTATTCTTAGTAGAGACAGGGTTTCACCGTGTTAGCCAGGCTGGTCTCGATCTCCTGACCTCGTGATCTGCCCACCTCGGCCTCCCAATAATTCTTTTTAACCACTTTCGTGTGTGTGTCAGTTCTCTCTGGTTTGGGTTAATTTTGTCCCTCACCCAAAATGCAGACACTAAATAGTCATTCTGAAATAAAACTTTAGGCTAAACAGACCAAGACTTTATTAAAAGCCTGCTGGGCAGTCTGGTTGATATTATGATACAGATTTCCTCCCTCACTCCTGCCTTTCTTTTTTCCATGTTCATTTTTTTGCTTCAGGTAATAGACTCATTTCCAGCTTCAGTCAGCAAGGCTACAAGGACTTTGGGTTCCCCAGTAACAGCATTTCCTTCTCTGATAGGCTAGTGATTTTATGTGACTCATGTTGGAAATGGAGAACTCCATACTTTGTGAAGGATCCCATCCTATGGTCAAGACACTTTAGGTTGCAAGTAACAGAAAAGGCAGCTCAACTGGCTTAAATGCTGCCCCCCTCAAAGTAATGTATTGATTACCTAAAGAGCAAATAAGGGAGAAACCCACTTCTTATATTGCTGGATCCAGGAGCTAAAACAATGTCATCAGGATCCAATTTCTCTCTCTCTTCAGCCCCTAGTCATGCTTTCTCTATGTAATTTCATCTTCAGACAGATTTTATCCTTATCACGTGGTCCCCAGATTCCCCTGGCTGACATTCCACAGCTCCAGGTCCAGCAGAAGGTGAGACTGTGCTCTCCCACCACTCAACCAAGTCCCGTGATGTGTCTCGCTAGACCAAGCTTAATCACTTCCATTCTCCTGAACCAATAGCTGTGGCCAGTACCTGCTCAATTGTTTGACTGGCAAAGCCTGGGCCACGAGTCCACTTCTGGAGCCAGGGGTGAGGAACTGTCACCAGCAGTAGATGCTGATTAGGAAAAGAATACCCTCAGTCACACTCTGCTTATTCATCTTCATTCATTCATTTTGCAGAGATGAACTGAGGACTTATTTGTGCTAGAAACTAGAGACAGAATCCCAGATAACTTCTGCTCTTCCTTCACAATGTCACTCAGGAGTCATCAGTTCTATGATGAATTTGTTCATTTCCGCCCCCTCGGCAGAGTCAGTTATTCCCTCCTTGATGCTCTTGCTCTTCGCAGGATTATGTTGCTATCTCCCCATCTTTCTCCCTAACTTACTGTGAGCTCCTGGAGGACAGGTATTGTATCTTATTTATCTTGGCCTCCCCAGATACCAACAGCAGGCACAGACAAAGCATTCACAAACCTTTGTTGAATAAATATGCGAATGATGAGTTAATTATTTAATTAGTTAATTAATGCATATGCTCCTAATCCTGCAGGGATTTTTACAAACTATCAAGGAAAATAAATCCGTAAATAGCTGGAACACAGTGTGATCCACGGAGTGACAGCCACATGAGCAAAGGCTGGTGAGTGCAATGGAAGGTAGCATGTGTTCAACCTGAAGACAGAATTCTTAAAGTTGTTAAAGATATCCTTTGCTATTTCAAATCTAAATCATGCTCCCTATGACTTCTATTCACCTATTCTTAGTTCTTCATTCTTCAACACCCTCAAATAAATCTACCTAGTACTGTAGCATCTGGGATGATTCCTGACAACATATAAGCCATTCAGTAAATATTTCTGAAAAGAATGAATTGCTTCTTCTCTGCCATGCAACAATAGTGTGTAAAGATAGATATCTTATCCTCCTTTTTGGTATTCACTGCTGATGGCTCTGCCATCGTGAGAACTGAAATACTTTATTGTTGATAATCACCTGAATTTGAATGTCTGCATCCCCCAAAGGCCAATTGAAAATTGATTGTTTGGAACCTGAATCACATTTGCTTTTAGGTAAAATGTAATAAACGAGGCATGCCTTCCATGCTAGCCTGCAGTAGTTGAACTAGTGGATTCTCATGCTGACCCAGGATTCAGGAGTCAGAAACCTGACAAGAGTCACATTCTTCATTTGAAATGTGAGTTGAGTCTTCATCGTATAGTAGTTAGTACTCTGCATTGTGAAATGTGAGTTGGGCCCCCGGAAAAATTGGGTCATATTGGTCTTTGACCCCTGGCATCGTGCTGGTATCTCTCTTCCTCCCTCCCCTCTCCTGTTCATCTGTGGGCTGCTCCTGCAGTGTGGCTTCTACAGCTACAGTGGCCATGAAAATGTACCACTCAGATCTCCTTCTGCACCATGGAGACTATAACTGGCAGACACCACCAGCTGCTCTGCTCCAAATCCATGACAGTGTATGCTCTGGGCTTTACTTCCTTGGGCTGCTGTCTGCCAATGGTTGAGCACAAGAGGGATAGTAAGGTAGACCCATTCCTGTGAGATACTGGATAATTTGCTCTAAAATCTTCCATCACTGGTGAAACTTCCCTAGCACTGTGCTGCAGTGTGAGACTCTGTCTCTCAAACCCTGCTTCCTTTCCTCTCTCCTTCTCAGGATCAGACCTATCTTGCAGTCTGGCAGCACTCACTGCCTCCTCTGATTCCCCCCTGTTCCCCTCACAGACACTTCCTCAATAAATCTCCTGTATGTCTAATCCAAGTTTGGCTGCTGTTTCTTGGAGGACCAAGAGTAACACATCTGTGATCTGGAGATTGCACATAGGAAACATGCAGCAGGGAGACTTCCCCAACCCCAATGACTGGAAAGTCTAATGCTTCCTTATTTGAAGAGGAGAAAAAGAATGATTGGCCAGGGAATGAAGGAAGTATTGACTGGAGCAGGAAGAATTGGATCTACCTAACAGAGCTGAAAAAAAAATCCAAGATTCTTATACATGCCATCAGCACACACTGTCTCTCAAAACCCCAAAGCCAAATAGATGATCTGCTGTTCCCCAGTTCCTGGCTAATATTTGAGACTATTTCTTGTTTTGTTTTACTTCATTTCCATGTTAAATTTACTCTGAAGATTCACTTTGATCTGATTTTACATGGAAATAAATGCAAGTGGAAAGAAAAGATTTCCAGCACAATTTCCCTGAATTTCTGCCCCTCTGCCTCCCAGCACTATCCATGCATCCAGGCCAGACTGAGACAGGTACATGTGAGGTGAGTAACTAGGGGCCTCTTTATACTATTATTTCTTGCACGTCTGTTCAATGTTTAGCAGGAATGGAAATATGTAATAAAAGTATATGCTTTTTATGTTCAAAATAAAG
Organism: Homo sapiens; assembly: GCF_000001405.40. Classification (NCBI taxonomy): domain Eukaryota; kingdom Metazoa; phylum Chordata; class Mammalia; order Primates; family Hominidae; genus Homo; species Homo sapiens. Next base: position 169,341,119 of record NC_000005.10, on the reverse strand, counting down.
ATTTATTTTCCATGTACATATTACATGTGATTTTCTGAACTAGACAATTTCTTGAGAGGCATATGAAACTATTTAAATTCAGACATTCTAATAAATTGTTCCCACTAAAGAGCATAGACAGCATCATGAATTTTTTAGTTTCAGATTGTCAGCAGGCTAAACTGTTACAGGGAACTCTCAGAGGGCCAGTCTCAAAATTAGTGGTGAGGCCTTAGACACACCATGTAAATTGCACGCACCTAACACAAAAATATCAACAGAGTTTGGCTGGTAGCCACAGGGAGTGTTTAATTGCAGCCAAACCAATTTATGTTTCAACAGTTTTGTCAGCAGTCAGGTAGAGACCTGAATTAACTGGCTCCCTATGTGAATTTTATTCCAGGGACATTTTAGTTGCCCCCATAGATTGGTACTCTGAAGAGCTGCCCAGCAGCTCACTTATTAATCTGATCTGTGTCATCCTTAGCCTGGGTCATAGAATGGGCTGAGCCTGCAATATCATATCATGTCCATGAGATGCCCTCCTCCAGAGAGCTCCAGTGCCATCTGGCTGGGGGGAGACTGGGGACAGAGGAGCCTCATGGAGATAGATGAGGGAGTGTCGTGCTGATTTATGCACCTGGAAAAGCAGATGAAGGAGAATTGGACCTCACCTGCGAAGAAGGAGGGGGAGGCAGAGAGGTGTGGACCAATGAGCTCTCATTTTCCCTGGCTGACCTCTGACTTGCATACTGAGCCCTCAGAGGAAGCAAGACCCCTGCAGATGAAAGAAAGAGGCTGGGCTCAAGAACTGGTAGGATGCAGATTTGTGCAGAGAAGGGAAAGCTACAGGAAAACAGCTTTGTATTAACAATTTCTTGGGAGTAGAAGTGTATGTGTGGTACGGTTATGTTTCATTTGTCTAAATATTGTTTCCACAAGAGACCTTACCCTGTGTCCTGACTCTGTTAATGCATAATGAACCGCACTTAAGTGACTGAAAGCAAAATTATTAGTATTTCCCACAGTTCTTGAGTTGACTGGGCTTGTCTGGGTGCCTGTCACTTGGTCTTCTCAATATAATGATTGTCAGATGGTGGCTGGGGCTGTGGTCATCTGAAGGCTTGAGTAGCTGCCAGTGTAGAGTTCAGCTAAAGCAGTTACCTGGAACATCTGTAACCATCAACCACCTCCTACTTTTTGATGTCTCCAACCAACCCCCTCAACTTCATACCACAAACAAGAGCACCTAACATAGTGCTGTGCCAAGTATGTGAGAGGCAGTATGGTATAGTGGTTAAGAACATGGACATTTAGAGGCAGGCATACCTGGGTTTGAGTCTGGGCTTTTCCACTTACCAACTGTGGACCTTGTTTAACCTATGTGAGCCTCAGTTTACTCATTTGTAAAAGGGTGGTTACATAGATATAAAATCTCCATGTATGGCTGTGAAATTTAAATGTTGCCCAGAGAAGAGTAAGCATCCAATAATTATTTACTAATGGAAATAAAGATGAGAAGAGGCTGCTCAGTGCTTCCTCAGCACCCTTTGCTTATCCTGATCCAGCCACCTGGGTGAGCTCAGGGTGTGCTCCTCTACGAGGCAGCGAATGTTCAGGTCTTCAAAGCAAGGAGGCCATAGAGTACAGAACCTACAGTCAGGAAGATAAAGTCAAGTTTCTAGGAGTGGGTATTGCCAAGGTGACCTTCAGAGGACATAGAGAAGGAAGGAATTTGTCCTGGGGAATAAAAATGAAGAAGCAAGGTATAATCCAGGCAAAGCATATTGACAGAGGCTATGTAGTAGAAAAGGTGAGGGAAGAACTCTACCTCTGGCTCAAGTCTCTTCTCTTGTCTGAGCCTCAGTTATCTCACAACAATGGATGGGTGCAATTTGAAGACTGCCAAGTTCCCTCCAGTCTTGGCCAAGCTCTGCCATGTGAGAAATCCTTACATTGGTCCACTTCTTTCCATCAACTTGTTCCCCACTCTGGCTTAGGCTTCCATTCATAATTGCTCCCTTGATTGCTATAGATGCCATTTTACAAGTCCTCTTGCTCTTAATCTTTGTTTGTTAGCTCTCTGCAAAGCAGTCAGAATGATCTGTTTTGTAATACAAATGTGATCATGCCACTCACAGCCTGAAAGCCTTCTGTGCTTTTTATTCTCTACTTGCCCATCCAATGCCACTCCCTGTCCTTCTCTGCCCTGCTTTACACCCTGGTTGTTGGGAGAGGGCTCGCTGATTTTAATGGCTCCTTCTTTCTGGTTTCTGTTTGGATTCAGCCAATAAAAAAGATCCAGCAGGGACTAGAGGGCAACAGCAGAAAGAATGTGAAGTACCTGCTCCCTCCAGAGTGCTGGAGTCCTGACATTTGCTGTGAGCCTCCCTGACCGCAGCTCCTGCAGGGTGGGCCCCCTGTTTCCTCTTCTTGCTTCTTCACACCAAGAGGTGAGCATGGCTTCTCGATGTTGCTTTGCTTGGGTGCTTCAACATTCTTCCTGGGTTCCTTTAACTTCACCCACACCCATGAAAATAATGCCTTCTTGAAATTATCTCCAACACATCACTTAAGTATTGTTCGAGGAAACCAGCAGTTTCCCTCTGAGGCTTTAACTGCTACAGGCTCCAGTGGCTTCCTGTTGTTCTCAGGATGAGGACCAAGCTCTTCTTCACATAGCCTCCTGCTATGGTTTGAATATTTGTCACATCCAAAACTCATGTTGCAATTTCATTCTCAATGTGGTGCTATTAAGTGGTGGAGCCTTTAAGAGGTGATTGGATGATGAGGGTTCTTCCCTCATGAATGAATAAACTATAGATGAATTAATGGACTAATGGATTAATCATGGGTGTGGGACTGGTGGCTTCATAAGAACAGGAAGAGAGACCTGAGTTAGCATGCTTAGCCCCCTCACCATGTGATACCCTGTTCCACCTTGGGACTCTGCAGAGTCTGCACTTGCAAGGAGGCCCTCACCAGTTGTGGCCCCCAGTCTTGTATTAAATCGTGGCGGCTCACACCTGTAATCCCAGCACTTTGGGAGGCCGAGACGGGCAGATAATCAGGTCAGGAGATAGAGACCATCCTGGCTAACACAGTGAAACCCCGTCTCCACTAAAAATACAAAAAAATTAGCCAGGCATAGTGGCAGGCATCTGTAGTCCCAGCTACTTGGGAGGCTGAGGCAGGAGAATGGCATGAACCCAGGAGACGGAGCTTGCAGTGAGCCGAGATCACGCCACTGCACTCCAAGCTGGGGGACAGAGCGAGACTCCGTCTCAAAAAAAAAAAAAAATTTATCAGCCTCCATAACTGTAAAGAATAAATTTCTTTTCTTTATTAATTACCCAGTTTCAGATATTCTGTTATAAGCAACAGAAAATGGACTAAGACACCCCCAAGCCCCTGCTAGATCTAGAACCTGCCACCCTTTCTGCATCGAGTAGCCTGTCCTTCCCTGGGTTCTTATAATGCATGATACTCATTCTCACCTCCCAGTCTTCCTAGAAATCTCTTCTTTTTTTTTTTTTTTTTTTTTTTTTTTCGAGATGGAATCTCGCTCTGTTGCGCAGGCTGGAGTGCAGCGGTACCATCTCGGCTAACTACAACCTCCACCTCCAGTTCAAGCGATTCTCCTGCCTCAGCCTCTCGAGTAGCTGGGACTACAGGCACGGGCCACCATGCCCAGCTAATTTTTGTATTTTTAGTAGAGACAGGGTTTCACCATGTTGGCCAGGAGGGGTCTTGATCTCTTGACCTTGTGATATGCCTGCCTCGGCCTCCCAAAGTACTGGGATTACAGGCGTGAGCCACTGTGCCCAGTCTCTGGATTCTCATAATGCATGATGCTCATTCACACCTCTTCCTAGAAATCTCTTCTTCATTTACCCTTTTCCCTTGTCGAGTTAACTTCATTTACCCTTGGTGTCTCAGCTCAACTGCTGATTAGGAACATCTTCATGGATCACTAGATTAGGCATTTTACTGGTTCCTTAAATTTCCTTTATATCCCATATAGCAATTTTTGTAATAATTTGATCAGTCTGTCTCTTCTACTAGACAAAGAGACAGGAAAGCAGGCACCATGTCAATTTTGACTCACCTTTATGTCCTTAATATCTAGCATGGTGCCCTAGTACATTATAGACCCTCATAAATACTTTACAAGTAAAAATATAATCCAAAATCTCAAATGAATATAATTGCAAAATATATATCTTCAATAAATATACAAAGATATATAAGTGTATCTTCAATAAATATATATGAATTTATCTTCAATAAGTAGAATTCAAGATCCCATATTTTATGGCTGGAGGTCAGAAAATGGGTTTGTGCTCTATTTTTTTTTTTTAATAGAGACTATGATTAGGGCTCAAGTCATCAAATTTCATACAACTTAACTTGCACTCCCCTCCCTCATCAATTTCTTTTGGATATTTTTAGAAATCCTGCATCCAAACAAATCTCTGCAAGGAAGATGTATACCCCTACCCCCACCACCATGTGTGTGGTATGCAACAGAGCAGAAAAACAATCAGAAATCACTTGATGAAGGGGAATACAGCAGAACCTGAGTCCCTGGGCAAAGCATCTTGGGGAAGCCAGCCCAACAGCTGCTTGCATTAAAAATGATTGCTTTATATTTATGGCGGCCAGGCAACAGTAAGTGGTTTATAGCCTATAATCTAACACAAATGACTTAGGAAAATATTCTTAATAGACAGTTCAGCTGAGTGTCCCAGTGCATTAGGAAGCCCAGCAGGGAATGTGCAGAATTAGCCTTCGTTGATCTGACAAATCCTCCCTGGCCAGCTGGATGTTATACTAGCTGTCTTTGCAATCCTACATTCTCCCATTTAGGGAGACCCTGTAACAGAGTTACCAAACTCTGAGGGCACAGACCCTGCCAGATAGTCCCCAGTGTCCCCACAAGCTTCTTAGAAAACAGATTTTCAGCCCTGGGCTACATCAAGCCAGGAAAAATGAAGTGTGACCTTGTAAAATATCAGTTCCTGGTGCTTTTTTCCCCCTAATTTTGGGGATGTTATCATGGCAGAAGAAAAAATACCGTTTTTTCCACACTCCATCCTGGAAAATAGTATCCATCTGTGAAAATGCTGAGCAGGCATGATTGCTGTGGCCAAGCGTGGTATCAGACTGACAGGCTGTGGAGGGAGTTTGGGTTCTGTAAGGGGTCAGTTGGAAGAAAGGAAGTGGGTTCTGGGGGAATTCATGTTCTCTGTGGCATGGCCACATGAGAGAGAGGAACTGAATAATCAAAACAGCTGGAGGCCAAGTGGGAAGGAGGCAAGGTGGAATGTGGTGCCCTTGCTGGCTTAATGGAGCCCCTTCTTCTTGCCCTCTCCCCAATGCCCTGGGCTTTTGTGCTGCTTTGTGATGCCAACTGGAGCCTGGAACACTGTCTTATACTGTTGGTTCCTGTGTTCTACACGTTTGTCACTCACTGGACCACACGCTCCTCAAGGTCAGGTCCAGATCTTACACCTCTTTGTCCCTCCTGGACTTAATTAGCACAATCCTTTCTAGAAGAAAGCATCCACTCTCTTACTAGAAGGGAGTAGTTCTGTCTACTAGAAAGAACACTACCTTGTCCCACTGACCATGGGTGATACCTTGCATGGCTCCTTTCCCCAGTTCCATCACCTGTGTTAAATGGGTCTGCCTCCCCTGTTCTTCTTTTCTGTAATAGTTAAGAACTTAAAACCCAGAATCAGGGAGTCAGGGGCTGGAGTTCCAGCTCTCATAGCAGTGTGATCTTTGGGAGTTATTTTACACCTAAGAGCCTCAGTGTTCTTGTGTATAAAATGTGATAACAATGACAGCTACTTGACAGGGTCGTTGTAAAGATGGAGCGTGATGTGTATCGTGTGTTATTGCTGCTTGCATGGTGCCTGACACATAGTTGGCACTCAATCAATGTTAGCTTCTCCTCCTCCTCCTCTCTTCTTTCTTTCTTTCTTTTCTCTTTCTATCTTTCTTTTCTTTCTTTTTCTTTCTCTTTCTTTTCTTTCTTTCTTTCTTTCTTTCTTTCTTTCTTTCTTTCTTTCTTTCTTTCTTTCTCTTTCTTTCTTTCTTCTTTCTTTTTTTCTACCATTAGGAGAATAATGTCATCTTGGTCTACAAATACAGAGTTGCCAAAAATGTAGATGCTTACTACTAGAAAGGATTGTCCTAATTAAATCCAGGAGAAACAAAGAGGTCTAAGACCTGGATCCAACCTTGAGGAAAGTGCTGTCTAGTAAGTGATAAATGTATACAGTATAGGTACCAACAATATAAGACAGGATGCTCTAAATTCTCAGCCAAAGAAGGTATAAAATACTTTGAGCATAGAAGAAGGAATGAGTTCCATGAGTTTAAGAAATCTTATCACAGAAGCAGGGTCTTCAAGTTCTCAGAGACATGAAGAGAAGGTATAAGTATTCTGGAAAATAGTGTCAATAAACATCTTCACATAATAAATAGTGTAGCAAGCTCAAAGGACAACAAATAGACCATCTGACTGAGATGTCCTGTGTATGTCCTAGAGAGTAGCAATACAGATGGCTAGAGAAAGCCTTTGCTCCAGAACCATAGCCCCATGGGTATTTTTATAGACTAACTGGAGGCTATTCAAAAGATACACATGATACCTATGCCTGGAGCTTCAACTTACCTGAAAATTAAATTTCAAATACATCATATTGTCATTAAGTCAAATCCAGACATAATATGGAGTAGACTACAAAATTCACCTAATAATTTAAGATAAAACATGATAATTACAAATATTTTTATGACTATAAAATACTTAGAGCTGTGCCCCTGGACCTCATAGGAAACCTATTAGAGCACTTTGTGACATGTGTCTGAGACTCAGAACTAAAGCAGAGAAGTGCTTCTAGTGATGGAAACTGCATGGGGCAAACAGGGACATATGGGTCAGAGGAAAAGAGAACAGTAAAAAGATGTCAAATCTTTTTGTCTGCAGAGATAATGAGGTTTTGGAGAGAAGAAAGAAGGCCTTTGCCTGTGGCTCTCTGGTGCTCTTTAAATAACAACCAAGAAATACCTTATTCTTTGGAGTGCCTCTAATAAAAATTGTTCCTCTGCATCTGCGATGATCTCTCAGAATGAAACCTTACACCTTGTAGTAGAAACTTAGTGCAATGGTTTTCATGACTTGTAATTTTCCTGTGCCAAATGAAAAGCTTCCTGTTCAGTGGTCCTGAATTGAGACACCATTTCTAGTCTGCAGGAGGCTTGTAGGATGTCTTCCCCTGGCTGCTAGTGAGCTGTGGCTCATGTTGTGATTTTTTTTTAAGCCTCCAGCATTTTTCGCTTTCACTCTGATTGCATCGGGCGAAGTGGCTTCAGCCAGTCTAGGGTGACCAGTGGTGTACCCTGGATCCCGCTAGCAGTCAGGAGTACCAGAGAGATACAAGTCAGTGAGGTAAACCAATCCAGCTGCAAGTGCAGTGTCTGTGTGGGCTCCAGGGGAGCATGGAAATGTCACCTACTCCTGTGGCATCTGCACCACACCGTAGCAATGTGGGAAAAGCATGAGCAATAAATTACTTGCCAATGAACTCCAGACGTCTCCAGCCAAGTAAGCATTTCCTGGGACTCTAAGGATGGCGTCCAAGATAAAAACAGAGAAAACACATAAAATACGCAGAGCAGACAAAGGACTACATCAAAAAATATAAAACTTCCTCATAAATCAATAAAGGAAAGGCCAAGTCATGATAGAAAACTAGATAATTTACAGAAGAAACCTGGAAAGCCAATAATAATGGAAAAAAGCTTAACCTCATAGTAGCCTTATAACTGAAAATTAAAACTACAATGAAATAACATTTTAAATCTGTCATATGGAAAATAATTAAAAGGTTGAACAAGATCAAGTTTTGGCTTGGATGTTGAAGCGACAACAAACATTATATTCTCTGTTAAAATGCTTATAAGTTGGCACAACCATTTTGGACAGTAATTTGTTAATAAAGTTAATAATCTCCATATTCTATGATCCAGTAATTCCATAACTAAATATATAGCCTAAATACCCTTCTACAAATGTGTACAAAGAATATTCATTCAGCATTATAAGTTATAGCTAAGAATTGGAAGCAATTTAAATTCTAGGCCGGGCATGGTGGCTCAAGCCTGTAATCCCAGCACTTTGGAAGGCCGAGGTGGGCAGATTGCTTGAGCTCAGGAGTTCAAGACCAGCCTGGTCAACATGGTGAAACCCTGAGTCTACGAAAAATACAAAAATTAACTGAGTGTGGTGGTGCGCACCTGTAATCCCAGCTACTTGGGAGGCTGAGGCACAGGAATCAATTGAAACCAGGAGGCAGAGGTTGCAGTGAGCCAAGATCATGCCACTGCACTCCAGCCTGGGCTACAGAGAGAGACTCTGTCTCAAAAAAAAAAAAAAAAAATCATTAACAGAGAAATGGAAAAAGTTGAGTTACAGGGGAATACTACACAGTGACTAAAATGAATGAGCTGGATATATATTTATTAGCATATTTAAATCTTGAAAATATAGGAAAAAAACAAGTTGCAGAGAATAACCATAATATGTTGCCATTAGTATAAATTTAAATGACATATCAATACTATATACCATTTTTTAGACACATACATAAATAGTAAAAGTCTAAATACATAGATGGGAAGGATACAGCCCATCTTCAGAATACTTTTGGAAAGAGAATTGGGAAGTGGTACTGGGAAGGCCACAAAAGAGGCTTTAACCAAATGTCCTGTGGCTCAGAGAGGTCAGAAGCTTTCAATGGGAAATCTAATCCCCAACTGGTGCTTAGGGGAGTATGAGTCTAAATTTATACCACCTGCATAACATAGACATCTCCAAATGAGAAATATATGTTTAGAAAAAAACAGTCCTGGACTGATGGATTCCCAGAAGCACTTGGCAGAAACACTCTCACAACTTGGGGTACATGGGACTAACTAGCACACCCACACAAACATAAATCCCTACTGATGATCAGCTCACAAACAAAACATACAACACACGTGAGAAAGCATCCATCCTGAGGGAGAGTCAGTAGACACCATAAATGGCAGAATTCACCTCCCAAGAACCTGATATTATGGAACATTCCTAAGAAAACTATATAACAATCAAGGAGTTCCCATTCCCATTGTAGGGGCCCTCACAGCATCAGCCCAGTGCCATCTCAGAATTGCTACAGACTGATGACTGCTGTGTGTCTCTCTTTTCACCCCTTCTGAATGAATGAGTTTGTCGAGATTATCCTGCTGGTGTCCTGCCACTGTGTTGAGGAGAGGGGCAGATATATGGAGGGGTAGATATCTTGTCTCTATGACTCATAGGCCCCCAACTCAGAGGAGCGATGTCTAGATCTGATCCCATTCAAGCAGAGGAGGGCTTGACTGGGAAGAAGCAGGCAAAAGAATATTTGGTAATTGGAAGAGCAGAGACATTTACTGCTCACCAAGTATCTACGTGCTTCCCCATGTTTCTGGCCTTGTGCAATTAGCCAGGATCATGTGACAACTTCTAGGCAATGGAATGTAAGTGACACAAGTCCCTTCTGGACTGAAGCATAGAAGAGAAGGCATGGGATCTCCCACTTTCCCTTTCATTCCTCGGTGACAGTGGCAGCTGCGTCTTGAGACAGTTTAGCCACTAGATGGAAACAGCTGGATCACTGAATAACTTGCTTGAAAGGCAGCCTTAGACTTTGCATGAGAGAAAAATAAACTTTCATGTGTTAAGCCAGAACTCATGTTGTGTGTGACTCTTATACACAAACACACACACACAAATGCTCATTGAAAATAAATTCACATACAGGCTAGGTGTGGTGGCTCACGCCTGTAATCCTAGCACTGTGGGAGGCCAAGGCGGGTGCATCACCTGAGGCCAGGAGTTCAAGACCAGCCTGGCCAAAATGATGAAGCCCCATCTCTACTAAATATAGAAAAGTTAGCCAGGTGTGGTGCTGCATGCTGTAATCCCAGCTACTCAGGAGGTTGAGGCAGGAGAATCACTTGAACCTGTGAGGCGGAGGTTGCCAAGATCGCACCACTACACTCCAGAGCAAACTCTGTCTCGAAACAAAAAAAAAGAAAATAAGCTCACATACAAAAATTAAAACTACACAGGGAGGCAATCTACTATGAGGGGGACAGCCGACACACAAACTGAGAATTAGTGGCCCAGAAGCCCAAATAATAGAACTATTTGATAGAGGTTATATTAAAAAGTGCATTTTGAATAAAGTGCCATTTACAGAAACACAGGATACCATTTGGGAAATATGAAAAAAAGCTATTTGAAAAATAAATTAGTAGATCTTGTAAATTGAAAAACATTGCATTTCAAATTGAAAAGTCAGTGAAAGATACACACATCTATGTTTACCCCTTTATGGCAAAGATAAAACTGAAATGCAGTAGGAATTGAAGTGTATTTTCAAAAATTAATTTTTCATCAGTTGGATACCCATATGAGAAAACTGAATTTTAATTTATACTTTGTATTATAAAAGAAAGTCCAAATGTATTATAGATCTACATATAAAAATTAAGTTTTCTAAAGGAAAACACAGAAGAATATCTGTAGGCGAAGATTTCTTAGATAGAATAATCATAAAATACTAACAATAAAAGAAAGTTGGGCTACATTAAAATTAAGAATTTCTATTTGTCAAAAGACAACACTTTGAGAGTGAAAAGACAAGTTATACGGTGAGAGAAGATATTTATAGTACATATATCTCACAATTGATTAGTATTCATAATACCTAAGGAACTCATACACATTGATAATAAAGATATAAAACTCAATAAAAAAATGGGCAAAAGATTCAAGTAGGCACTTCAGAAAAGAAGCTTTTCAAAGGCCCATTAGCATTTGAAAAGATGTTTAACATCATTAGTCATTAGAGAAATGAAATAGGGAGACTGTCCTATTACCTGAGTGGGCCCATTTACAAGGGTCCTTAAAAATGGTAGCGGGAACCAGAAGAGAGAACAAGATGAAAGTGAGAAGAATTCAGACCAAAACTGCTGGAGGAAGTCAGCCAAAAAGTCAGTGAACGAAAAAAACTCAGGTGGTCTCTAGAAGCTGGAAAAGGCAAAGAAACACATTGTCCCCTAGAGCCTCCAGAAAGGAGGGTGGCCCCGATAACACCTTTATCTTAACCTAGTGAGATTCTTATTGGACTTCTAATCTACAGAACTGTAAGATAGTAAATTTGTGGTGTTTTAAGCCACTAAATTTGTGGCAACTTGTCACACCAGCAATGGAAAAATCCTTCTATGACCCAGCAATTCCACTCCTAAATATATACCCAACAGAAAGGCAAAGATATATGCACCAAAAGATGTGTACAAGAATGTTCATATAGCCTTCTTCATAATTAGCTTCAATGGGAAAATACCCAAATGTCCATAAATGTGCAATAGATAATCTGTAGCATCTTAATATAATGGAATACTAAACCACAACGAGAAATGAATGCTACACACAATATGATGGCTCTCCCAAACATAATGTTGAATAAAAGAAACCAAAGAGTTCAGATTGAACATTCCATTCCATATTAAGTTCAAAGACTAGTCAAACTAACATATGGTGTTAGAGTCAAAATTGTTGTTGCCTTGGCAGGGGGTCTGAGAGGGAGTGCAAAGGGGGTCTGCAGAGCGCTAGCAACATTCAGTTTCTTGATCTGGGTGCTGATTTCACAGTGTGGTTTGTGAAAATTATTTGAGTTGACATTTATGATTTATGCACATTTGTGTATGTATGCTATATTTCAGTAAAAAGTATTACTTTAAAAAGGCAATGGCATGGTTAAAAAACAGGTCAGACACAACCAAAGTGAAAATTGAAAATTGAGAAATAGATCTGAAGAAATTCTTCAGAATGCAACTAGAAGATACAAAAAAATGGAAAATATAAAAAGGATTTTAAAAATGTGAAGAATAAATTTCATCTATAATAAATGCTCCATAAAGAGAGAATAGAGAGAATGAGAGATAAAATATTTGAGGAGATAATGCTGAAAATGTTCCCCACTTAATAAAATATATGACTCCTCGGATTTGGAAAGCAGGATAACAAACATGAAAATAGACACATACTCTGAGATCTTGTAGTTAAACCAAGAAATACCGTTATACAATGACAGAGGATAAAAGGCAGTGGAGTAACAATTTTTAACTGCTGATGAAGAAACACAGCAGTCAAACTAGATAATTTTTTTTAACTCAGGTATGTTGAGGTATAGTTTCCATAATGTACAATTCTCTTTTCTAGCATATGGTTCCATGAGGTTGGACAAATGGATACTGTTGTGCAATCTCTTTTATAGTCAAGATTTAGAATAGTTCTATCACATACACGAAATTTCCTCATGCCACATTGTAGTCAACTCCTCCTCCCATACAAGTCCACGGCAACCCCCGATCTGTTTTCTCTCCCTATAATTTTCATTTTCTGGAACATCATATAAATGACATCATACCGAATATTGCCTTTTTGCATAGTCTTATTTCACTTAAAGTAATGCATTTGAGATTCATCTATGCTGTGGTGTATATCTGTAGTTCATTTCCAATTGTTGAGTAGTATTCCATTGGATGGATGGATGTAATATAGTTTATTTACCTTTTCACCAGGAGAAAGGCGTTTGGATTGTTTCCACTGTTTGGTATTTATTAATAAAGTGGCTATAAACATCTAGATAGAGAATTTTGTGTGAACATGTGTTTTCATTTCTTTGGGTAAATAACTTAGGAGCGATAGTGCTGGGTCATATGGCAAGTGTATATTTAACTTTACAAAAAACCTGGATAACATTTTTCTAAAGTGGCTGTACCAATTTTGCATTCTCACCAGCAATGTATGAGAGTTCTGGTTGCTCCACACCCTTACCAGCACTATTATTGATTTTTTCCCCAAATGGTGTGTAGTCATACTTAAATACAGGGGTTTTGTTTGTTTGTTTGTTTTTGAGACTGAGTTTCGCTCTTGTTGCCCAGGCTGGAGTGCAATGGCGTGATTTAGGCTGACTGCCACCCCCGCCTCACGGATTCAAGTGATTCTTCTGCCTCAGCCTCCCAAGTAGCTGGGATTACAGGCGCCCACCAATATGCTTGGCTAATTTTTTTGTAGTTTTAGTAGAGGCGGTGTTTCACCATGCTGGCCAGACTGGTCTCGAACTCCTGACCACAGGTGATCTGCTCACCTCAGCCTCCCAAAGTGCTGATCATAGGCATGAGCCACCACAGTTTTAATTGGCACCTTTCATGTGCTCATTTGCCACTGGTATACTTCTTTTGTTAAGTGTTAACAAGACCCATTTTTTGTGGGGTTGTTTTCTCTTTTTTTAAACATTTATTTTAGGTTTGGGGTACATGTGCAGGTTTGTTATATAGGTAAATTCACGTGATGAGGGTTTCATGCACAGCTTATTTTATCACTCAGGTACTAAGCCTAGTACCCAATAGTTATTTTTTTCTCCTCTTCTCCCTCCTCCCACCCTTCCCCCTGTGGTAGGTCCCAGTGTCGGTTGTTCCCCTCTATGCGCTCATGTGTTCTCATCTTTTATAAATGAGAACATGCAGTATTTGGTTTTCTGTTGCTGTGTTAGTTTGCTAAGGATAATTGCCTCTAGCTCCATCCATGTTCCTGCAAAGGACACGACCTTATTGTTTTTACGGCTTCATAGCATTCTAGTGGTGTATGTACTACATTTTCATTATCCAGTCTGTCACTGATGAGCATGTAGGTTGATCTCATGTCTTTGCTATTGTGAATAGTGTTGCAATGAACATATGTGTGCATGTGTCTTTATGATAGAATTCATATTCCTTTGGGTATATCCCCAGTAATGAGATTGCAGGGTCAATGGTAGTTCTGTTTTTAGCTCTTTGAGGAATCACCACACTGCTTTCCACAATGGTTGAACTAATTTACACTCCCACCAACAGTGCATAAGTGTTCACTTTTCTCCACAACCTTGCCAGCTTCTGTTATTTTTTGGCTTTTTAATAATGGCCATTCTGACTGGTGTGAGATGGTATCTCATCGTGATTTTGATTTGCATTTCTCTAATGATAAGTGATATTGAGATTTTTTTCACATGCTTTTTGGCCACGTGTATATCTTCTTTTGACAAGTGTCTGTTCATGTCTTTTGTCCACTTTTTAATGGTTTTTTTTTCTTGTGAATTTGTGTAAGTTCCTTATAGATTCTGGATATCAGACCTTTGGTGGATTCATTGTTTGCAAATATTTTCTCCCATTCTGTAGGGTTGTTTTCTCCTTTGATTGCTTTAACTGAATTTTGAAGGACAGAAGTTTTACATTTAGACAAAGCCTAATTTATTAATTTCTTTCTTTTATATATATGATGCTTTTGATATCATATCTAAGACATCTTTGCCTAATGTAAGATCATAAAGATTTTCTTCTATGCTTTCTTCTAGCAATTTTACAGTTTTAGGATTTACATTTTAGTCTATGCTTACTTTGACTTCATTGTTTATGATGCAGTGTATGGGTGGAGCTTTTCTCAGTCTGTATTTTTTTTCATATGGATGTCTGCTATTTTACCACAGTTTGTTGAGAAGATTGTTTTTCTCTACTGAATTACCTTTACACCTCTGTGGAAATCAGTTGATCATGTATGTGTGGGTCTATGTCTAAACTCTCTATTCCATTGATCTATGTGTCTATTTTTAAACCAATACCATGCTGTCTTAATTACTGTACCTTTATATGAAGTATTTAAATTAGGTAGTGTACATTTTCTAACCTTGTTCTTTTTCAAATTGTTTTGACTATTTTCATTCCTTTGCCTTTACTTACAAATTACAGCTTTTGTTAATTTCTACTAGAATATCAACTGAGATTATATTAAATCTGTATGTCAATTTGGGGAAGGACTAATATCTTTTAAAATGTTATGTCTATCAATACATGCTCTTGATATATTAATATTTCTCTATTTAAGTCTTTTAAAATTATTTTTAAGTTTTTTTTTAGTTTTAGCATATAGATCTCACACAAATTTTATTAAATGTCTATGTATTTATTTCATGACTTTGACAATATTGTAAATTATACTCCTTTTAAGATTTCTAGTATATAGAAAAAGAATTGATTTTTGAGTTCTTTTATCCTGTAACAACATACTAGTGTTAGTAACTTTTTAATAGATTCTTTGACATTTACTAGATAGCAATTTTACTATCTGGAATAGAGATAGTTTTACCTCTTCTTTTCTAATTTGAAACCATTTTTCCTTATTACACTAGTTAGGACCTCTAATACAATGCTGGGTAAGAGTCATGTGAGTGAATATCCTCACTTTGTTCTTGATAAAACATTGAATCTTTTAGCAATAGTACATCTACAAAACTCTCCAACTAACCTCACATTTATTGGGAAGAGATGAATACAAATACAAACATTGTGAACCACTATCTGTTGAGTGTGCTATGTAAATGGCACCATGCTAAGTTCTTTGTATATATTTTTTTACAACAATTCTATGAAGTAGATACTATCACTATCCTTTTTTTTGCAGATAATGAAAGTGAAACTCAGAATGATTAGGTAACTTGCCTATGTCATTTAGTCAGCAAATGACAAAGCTGGGTCTCTAATCTAAGTCTGATTAGTTCCAAGGCCACACTCTGAAGGATGCCCCTGACTGCTTTCCTGAGCCCTAGGCTCTGCTCACTAAGGACTCTGCTCCCACACTCGTGGATCTAAGATCTTTCCATTTCTCACGCCAGTCACCATGACATATTTTCTGACCTATACTCCATTCCATGGACAACCATTCTCACACACCTATGTTCAAAGATCAGTGGGTAGAAATGTCATCATAGACTCCTTCCTGCATGCATGATATGGTCGCAATGACCTAACTTCAGAATCATGAAGCCTGAACCCAGAGTTAAAGATGTGAAGAGACTTTTCCAAGGCACATTTGGAATGAAAGCAGAGGTTTCTAAGGGTCCTTTGAAATATAACATGCCTGTCATTCTTTTTAAAGTTTTATCTCAATAAATGATTTCATCTGAGCATATGAATAACTTGTCTTGGCATGGGTTTAATGGAGAAGCTTGGGTTTTGGAATTAGACATACCCACCTCTATTACCTACCATGTGAATTCAGGCAACTTGCTTATTAGATCATCCATTCAAGGACATTGGTTTGAAAACCTACTACATGTCAAGGTTTTGGGGCAGAAAGACTGGAAGGATGGAATTGCCATAATCTGAGATGGGGAAGGTTACAAGCAGAGAAGGTTTTAGAGGGGAGCCCAAGAATTCAGTTTTAAATATAAGTCTGGAATTTCCATTAGATATCCAAGTGGAAATGTCCAATAGGACATCTGTGTTTAAAGTCTTGAAACCAGAAAAACCAGCATCAGACACCAAAGCAGCATATTCAGCATGAAAGAAGGAAAACCCAACAGTATGGTAGAAGACAGTGTATTGAGAGTAATCCACTCTGTCAGATGGGTCAAGATGAGAACTTAGAATTGACCATTGATTCAGCAACACATGGAGCTCATTGCTGACCTTGATGAAAGCCTTTTTCAGTGCAGCAGTGAATGAGTTGCTTTTGCAGAAAGAAGTTTTTTAGAAAACTTCTTTTCAAAATGGAGCAAAGATGGTGATAAATGGTGGACTCAGGAAGAGTTTGATGGGATGAAAAAATGCATGTTTTTCTGCTGAAGGGAAAGGCCCAGTAGATAAATTTAATTACTTTGAAAAGACAGAAGAGAATTGCTAGAATGATAAGGGAAGAGAGGAGATGAAATCTGGTATGCAGGTCGGGGGTGCGGGGCTCAGCTAGATGGGAACAAGCCTACTTCAAACACAGGTGAGAAGTCAGAGTCTATGGATGGAAATCTAGCAAGCGGCTGGGTGTGCTGGAAGGAGCCTATAGATGTTCCCTTGTGATGGCTTCAGTTTTCTCAGTGACATAGGAATCAAGTTGGGACAATGGAGAGAAGAGAGGGGAGAGGTGTTTTTAGGGCATTTGAGGTGAGAGAAGATGTGAAAGTCACATATATCTTTTGACCCTCACTTGTATTATGAATAACAACTCATAACTTGCACAGATTTTGTAAAATCAAAAACCAGTGTTCAAAAATTCATCATTATCGTTATCCTTAAATCTAGTGTGTATATCTGCTTCTCTCTCAGGCTCTCAGTTCTCTGAGAGAATGAATCATGTGATACTATATTCTTTGGAGGCTACCTGGAAAAATATGAATTCCATTTGATTTTTTAATGTTGTAAAGCATAAGAAATTAGAACAAAAAATTACAAAAAGAGGAAAAGACAAACCACCCATAATTCATAATTCTCTCACCTCTCCTGGAGTTCTGCTTTATGTTAATTTTTATAGTAGTTTCCTCATAATTAGATATCACATCTCCATCCAATATTACATATTGTTTCCTTCATTTAATATTAAGCATTAAGCATTTTCCATAAAGTTAATCTCCAAAACCATCATTTCAATTGTTGCATAATTTTTCATTTGTCCATTTATGTGAATAAATGTACTATATGCTACACAACAATTTATTATTGGACATTTAAATTACTTCAAATGTTATTAAAATATATTATTATGAATGTTTTGAGCATATTTAAGCATAATTGATGAATTCATAATTCAGCTGTCTACCATTTAATGACCAATTATTGGCTGCCAGTTATGGTGCACTGTGCAAATGACTTTTCATACATCTCATTTGATCTTAATAGCACACAGAGTAATGTCTATGTTGAAGTAGTTTGTCACATATAAAAATGTAAACATAATATGGAAACACTCTTGAACTGATTGATCATTTTTGCTAAATATTAATATGTAGCCACATTTGTTTTAGAATTCTTTAAAAAGTAAAATATTTTACATAGAGTTGAAACTCCTCATCCTATTGCCTTCCCACCTTCCCCGTAGGCGACTACTATCCAGAACTTAGTGTTTACATCTCTATTTTCTAATTATTTTGCTCATATGAATGTGCCAATAAAGAACACAAGGAATTAATGTGCTTCTTTTAAGATTTATATAAATGGCATAATATACTGTACATATTTTTGAACTTCGTTGTTCACTTGTGTCTTAAAATTATATTTATGTTGATACATGATGATTTTGTTAATTTAAACAGCTGCATAGTTTTCCGCTGTATGTATAATCACAATTTATTTATGTGTTAATTTGATGAACATTTAGGCTTTCCCTATAATTTGCGTTTGCAAGCAATGCTATAATGAACATCTTTTTACATGTCTCCTTTGTGCACATGTGTGCACTTACATCTAGATGTGGAATTGCTCAGTTCTTTAGGACACATAGCTAGACGTGAAATTTATTAATCTAGAATGGTGTTTGAATCTGCGTAGTTTAAAGCCTCCCCTAAGTGATTCTAGTGTATAGTCAGGGTTGGGAACTGATGCCTAGATTTTATCTTTCTAGGCACAGTCGAATTATTGCCTACCTTTTTGCTTTGCACATATAGAACTAGGTGCATACAATCCTGGTTGCTGGATACTGCGTCAGTGTTCTGGGGGCTGACAGATCCTGAGAGCAGCTATATGAACAGAATCTCTCAGAAGAGAGATTTCAAAGCACACTAGTCCCGAGATGACACCTCTCCAATTCACCTTCCACCTCTCCAATTTACCGTAGAAGGCAAGAATCAAAATACAAGCCAAACAAGTTCATCTAGGACAGAGACCGTAAATGATTTTTAACTTATCTTTCAATGATAACCAATTGCCAGAAGCTGCTTTAGCAGAATAATGAGAATCACTGGGAACTAGCTATGGGCTCTATGGCAAAGATTGCTATGATTGATTAATGATGTCTGCTATGGATTGTATATATGTAAGGGTCATATGTGTGTGTAATTGCCCATCTGCCACCACAGTTGCCCACTGTCATCAAGGAAAAGCAGTTGTCTGGAGACTAGGCTCCGTTGTGATTAAAGAGGGAATCTTAAGGTTGTCAGTGGCTAGCTTATAGAGAAAAGTTTTGCAAAGCAATTTTTCTTTTTTTTTTTTAAATTTTCTTCTTTTCCATGAAACATAGGAACAAAGTAAGTTTTTGAAGTCTCATTTATTTTTCTTCTTCTAAAAGCTTGACCCAAATTAATTCCTGGGGCCAATATATCTTTGCTTATAGGCAGGGTGAGCTCTTGATCCTTCTCAGCCATGAGCTTTGCAGTCAGACCTGTGCTGGAGCCCAGATCTGCTCTTCACTGGATATGTGGTCCTGGCAAAGCTATTGAGACACACCCTGCTTCAATTCCTCATTGTAAAGTGGAGATCATACCTATGTCATGTGATAGTCATGAGGACTAGGTGTAAGTGTCCAGCATTGTCCTGAGTCCAACTTTCAACTAACGGTCATGGTTGCTATAGTATTATCATCATTATTATTGTTTGTTTTATATTATTATTTAAAAGCAAAATAATGACCATGGTGGTAGAGTTTGCAGATAGGTCTGATTTAGATCCAGATTTGGGTAGGGTTAGGTATTTGTCTCCTGTTGAAATAAATGAGTGGCAATTTGGGACCATAGAATGAGACACATCAGGACATTTGGGGGCTGAACATTTGTGAAGGTCAGATACTAAATTTAGGCAACTAGAATTACTGTTACCAATGGAATAGGATGCAAACATAGGTTGAGTTCTGAGGGCCAGTGAGGGAGTAATTTCAGGGGAAATAAAAGGGAAGAAATCACAAAACAGACTCAATTACTGAGAGTAATTATTATCAGCTATGAAAATGCATTTACAAGTCACACTGCTATATGTCAGCACCCTGATACCTCCTAGGCCATGAGAAATAAACAGTAACATTTTTGAGACTTCTTCTTCAACCCAGTCAACAAACATTCCATTGCAAAGTAAGAAAAGAGGGCAGGGCATGAATTTAAAAGCAAATTGTTCCACCATTGTCTGGAGTCTGGTGTCTGCTTCTTTCTGAAAAGATTATTGACTCTTTTCTGTTTCTTTTATTAAATGTCATATTCATTTAAGTGTTATGCAAGTTGCCAGTGTGTATGGAGCATAGTAATAGATGTTTTTCATAAATGCGTTTTATCTTTATTTATCAGTGACACAAAATGGCAAGTGATAATCAAAGCAATGACTTAGGAATCCTGACCAAGACAATCTTTCCATGGAAAAGGATCATTTTTAAGAAAATAATAATAGTGGCTACAATTTTTAAAATGAGAAAACTGAGGTTTAGGTGAGTTTTGTTTGCTTTTGTAAGGTTGATTGAAATATTTACAGATGGGAAAATGTGTCCTTTTTAAGAGTATACTGTGATGAGTTTTGAAAAGTGTATACAGTTGTGTAATTAAAATCATAACTAAGCTATAGAACATTTCCATCACGCAAATGTCCTTATGTCTTTTTATAGCCTATTATCTCTCCTCTCCACCACTCTCTAGCAAGCAAAAATCTAGTTTTGGGTCTGCTTTTTGCCTTTTCAGAATGCAATATAAATGTAAGAGAATTTGTAACTTTTGTGCCTTCTTTCACTAACAGAATGTTTTTCAGATTCATCTATGTTGTTGCCTGTATCAATGCTTTATGTTTACTGCTAAGTTATGTTCCATTAAATTCATGTACCACAAATTGGCTGTCCACTCACCAACTGATGACCATTTGAGTTGTTTCTTTTTTTTTTGAGAAGGAATCTCTCCCTGTCGCCTAGGCTGGAGTGCAATGGCATGATCTTGGCTCATGCAATTTCTGCCTCCCATTTTCAAAAGATTCTCCTGCCTCAGCCTCCTGAGTAGCTGGGTTTACAGGCACCTGCCACCATGCCCAGCTAATTTGTGTATTTTTAGTAGAGACGGGGATTCTCCATGTTAGCCAGGCTGGTCCTGGTCTTGAACTCCTGACCTCGTGATCCGCCTGCCTCGGCCTCCCAAAGTGCTGGGATTACAGGTGTGAGCCACCGCGCCCAGCCTGAGTTTTTCTATCATTTAATTATTATAAATAAAACTTCCATAAGCAGCTCTATTCAGGTCTTCTGTGGACATACGGTTTTGATTTTTCATGGTTAAAATATTAGGAGTGGGGTTTCTGGGTCATATAGTAGCTGAATGCATAACTTTACTAGAAACTGCCAAAGATGTTATCACTTTGCATTCCCATCAGTAATGTGTAGGAAGTTTCCAGTTGCTCTACATCTTCAACAGCACTTTTAAAATTTTAGCCATTCTAAAGGGTATGTGGTGGTATCTCATTGTAGTTTTAATTTGCATTTCCCTGATGATTAATGATGTTTAATTTCTTTTTATGTGTTTATTTGCCATCTATATTTCTTCTTTGATGAAGTGTCTATTCAAGCTTTTACCCATTCTTTTTATTGAGTTGCTTGTCTTACTGATTTTTGAGAGTTCTTTATATGTTATGGACACAAACCCCTTGTCAGATAAATGTTTTGCAAATATTTTCTCTTGGACTGTAATTTGTCTTCTTATTTTTGTAATATCTTTCAAAGAACAGATGTTTTAAATTTTGATTAACTCCAGTTTATTATTTTCTTCTGCTTTGATTTGTGCTTTCTGTATCTTATTTTTAAAATCTTTGCCTAACTCAAGCTTGAAAAGATTTTCTGTGTCTTCTTCTAGAAGTTTTTATACATTTAGCACATATATATATACCATTTCAAGTGAATGTTTGCATATGGTGCAGAAAAAAAGGGCCAAGGTTAGTTCTTCAGCCTATAGATAGCTAATTGTTCCAGCATCCACTGCCGAAAAGATTTGTATTCCTTAAACTACATTGGCATTTTGGTTGGAATGGAACATATATATATGTGTTTATTTCTGAACTCTTGATTCTATTCTTTTACTTTTTAAAATTTTTTATCATTTTTAAAAATGAAATTTATCATATATATTTTAGGTGTATAACGTGATGTTATGGGATGCATACAGATAGTAAAATGGTTACTCTAGTGAAGCAAATTAATAATTCATCATCTCACATAGTTACCCTTTTTTGTTGTTATTTTTGGGGCAATACAGTTAAAATCTACTCATTTGGCAGGAATCCCACATATAGCACAATTTTATTTTATTACCTATAGTTTTCATGTTGGATATAAATCTCTAGACTTGTTCAACTTACATATCTACTACTTTGCATTCTCTGACCTACTTCTTCCTGCTTCCTCCCTCCAACCCTGCCCCTAGTAACAACTGTCTTATCTCTGTATATTTGACTCTTTTCTTTTATTTTTCAGATTCCACATATGAGTGAGATCATGCAGGATTTTTCTTTCTGTGTCTGGCTTATTTCACTTAGCGTTATATCTTTCAGATTCATCCTTGTTGTGGCAAATGGCAAGATCTCCTTATCTAAGGCTGAGTAATATTCCATGGTGTCTATATATACCACATTTTTTTAATCCATTCATTGATGAACACTTGGGTTGTTTCCACATTTTGACTGTTTGAATAATGCGCAATGAACATGGGAGTGCAGGTATCTTTATGAGATGGTGATTTCATTTGCTTTGGGGATATGCCCAGAAGAGGAATTACTAGGTTATGTGGTGGTTATATTTTTAATTTCTGTAGAAGTCTCTTTACTGTTTTCCATAATAGCTGTACCACTCAACAGTCCCACCAAAAGTGTACAAGGGTTCCCTTTTCTCCACATTTTCTTGCCAGTATTTGTTATCATTTGACTTTTTGATAATAGCCATCCTAATGGGTGTCAGGTGGTACCTTACAGGGTTTTCATTTGCATTTTCTTGAAGATTAATAATATTGATCACTTTTTTTATATCCATGTTAACCATTTTTATGTCTTCTCTGGAAAAATGTCTGTTCAGGTCCTTTGCCTATTTTTAATTGGATTATTTGTTTTTCTACTATTGAGTTGTATATGTTCTTTATAAATTTTAAATATTAACCCATTACCAGATACATAGTTTGTAAATACTTTTCCCAATCTGTAGGCTGCTGTTATATTGGCTTTATTCTCTCAATCTCTGTGTCTCTCTTTTACCCAATACCACACTCTCTTGATTACTATAGCTTTATGATAAGTCTTAAAACCAGGTAATGTGAATCCTCTAACTCTGTTCTTCTTATTCACAATTACCTATTTTAGTTCTTTTGGGTCTTTTGTTCTTCTATATAAATTTTAGAATACTCTGTCAATCTCCAAAAAGAAATATTATGTTGGGATATTGATTGGAATGGCATTGAACATATAGAGCAATTTGAGAAAACTGACATCTTAACAACATAGAGTCTTCCAATCCATGAGCACAGTTACATCAATCATTTTATAAGCTCATTTTAGTTTCATCAAAATTTTGTCATATTCAGCATCAAATCTTGCACATATTTAGTTTTCCCCTAAATATTTCATGTCCTTTAATGCTATTGTAAATGATACTGTTTTGTAATTTCGATTTCCAGTTATTCACTCCCAATATCTAAGACGGCAATTTATTTTCATACATTGACCGTATCTTCTTATATACGACAACTTTACTAAACTCAATTAGTAGAATCTTTTCAAAAAGTTTTATTTGGATAATTTTAATGAGCACAAGAGCCGTTTTGTTACATGGAGATATTGTATAGTGGTGAAGTCTGGGCTTATAGTATAACCATTACTTGAACAATGTACCCATTAATATCTCATCCCTCTTCCTGCTTGCACCCTGGACCCTTCCGAGTCTCCAGTGCCTACTATTTCATACTCTATGTCCACATGTACTCATTATTTAGCTTCCACCTGTAAGTGAGAACATGCAGTATTTAACTTTCTGTTTCTGAGTTGTTTCTTTAAGATAATGGTCTCCAGTTCCATCCTTGTCACTGCAGAAAATACATGCTTTCATTCTTTTTGTATAGCTGTCACCTAGCAGATTCTTTGGGATTTCCTATGCAGATAACTGTGTTGTTTGTAAATAGAGATTTATGTCTTCCTTTCAAATCTGTATGTCTTTTTACTTTTTCTCATATTATTACACTGGGTAGAACCTGAAGTATGTGTTGAAAATGAGTGGTGAAATTAGACATTCTTGCCTTTATTTCTGATTTTAGGAGGGAAGCCATCATTCTTGCATTATTATGTACATTAGCTGCAGGGTGTTCTATAGATATTCTTTATTCAGTTTCAGGATGCTTCCCTTTTCCTTTAGCTTTCCGAGAATTTTTATCATGAATACATGTGAAATGTTGTCAAATGCTTTTTTCGCACCTATTGAGATGATAGTATGCTTTTTATTTTTTTTTAGTCTTTAAATGAACTAAGTGATATTGATTAGTTTTCAAATGTTGAATCAACTTTTCACACCTGGGATAAATGACATTTGATGATGATATATCATCTCTTTTATTTATTACTGCATTCCACCTTCTAACATTTTTGGTAAAGTTTTCTGAGTTAATTTTATGAGGGACATGGGTATATAATTCTTACTTTTATGATGTCTTTGTCTGGTTTTGATATCAGGGTAATTCTGACCTCTTTTAATAAGTTGAAAGGTGCTCTCTCCTTTTCTGTTTTCTGGAAGAGTTTGTGTAAAATTAATTCTATTTGCCAGTGAAACCATCTAGGCTTGGATTCTCTTTGTGGGAAGGTTTTTAAACTAAAAATTCAATTTATTTAATAGATACAGGGCTAGTTATTTATTTCTTCTTGAGTGAGTTTTTGTATTTTGTGTCCTCTGAGGAATTTCTCCGTTCCATCTAATGTTTGCCATAAAACCTTCCATCATATTCTCTTATTAGTCTTCTAATGTTAGTTGGCTATGTAGTAATAGTCCCTATTTTGTTCCTGATATTGATAATTGTCTCTTTTTTTCCACAACTACTCTGGCTAGAATTTAATTTTTTTTCATTTATCTTTTCAAAGAGCCAATTTGGATTTCATTGCTTTTCAAAACCATTGCATTTCTGTTTCAATTTTAGTGATTTCTGCTCTTTATTCTTTCCTTACTTTGTTTACTTTGGATTTAACATTCTCTTCTTTATCTGGTTTCTGAATGTGGAAGCTTAGGTTATTGATTTTAAACCTTCCTTCTTTTCTAATATAAACATTTAATGCCTTAATGTTCCCTCTAAATACTATCTTAGCTTCAGTCCACGAATGTTAAAATATTATATTTTAATTTTCATTCCATTCAAAATATTTTCTAATCTCTCTTGTGATTTCTCCTTTGACCATGATTTATTTAGAAGAATATGATTTAATTTTCAAAATTTTTGGTGATTTTCCACATATCTTTGTGTTTTTGATTTCTAGTTCAATTCTGTTTTGGTCAGGGAACATTTTTTTTTTTTTTTTTTTTTTTTTTTGAGACGGAGTCTCGCTCTGTCGCCCAGGCTGGAGTGCAGTGGCGGGATCTCGGCTCACTGCAAGCTCCGCCTCCCGGGTTCACGCCATTCTCCTGCCTCAGCCTCCCAAGTAGCTGGGACTACAGGCGCCCGCCACTACGCCCGGCTAATTTTTTGTATTTTTAGTAGAGACGGGGTTTCACCGTTTTAGCCGGGAGTCAGGGAACATTTTTATATAATTTCACTCTTTTTAAATTTATTGAAACTTGTCCTGTGCTTCAGACTATTATTTATCTGGATCTTCCAAGTAGACTTGAAAATAATGTCTATTCTTCTGTTGCTGGGTAGAAAGTTCTCCAAATGTCAGTTAGGCTTATTTGATTGCTAGTGTTTTGCAAGTCTCTCATATAGATTCTTACCGATTTCATGTCTACTTGTTCCAATAATTACTGCAATAGGAGTGTTAACATCTCCAACTATAATTCTGAATATGTCTATTTGTCCTTTTTGTTCTACTAATTTCTCTTTTTATGTGTTTTTATGTGTTTTGAAGCTCTGTTGTTGGATGCATACTCATTTAGGATTTGTGTGTCCTCTTGATGAATCGACTCCTTTATCATTATGAAATATCCTTCTTTATCCATAGGAATGGTGCTTATTTTTAAATCTACTTGTCTAATATTTGCCACTCTAGTTTTCTTTGACTAGTGTTTACATGCTGTATTCTTTTCCATCCTTTTACTTCTAACCTATATGTGTCTTTATTTTTAAAGTGGATTTTCTATAGATACCATGCAGTTGAATTTTGCTTTTTTATCCAATCTGACAAATCTCTGGCTTTAGATTAGATTGTATAGATAATTTACGTTTAATGTAATTATTGCTATATATGGGTTTTAATCTACCATCTCACTATTTGTTTTCTATTTGTCCTATCTGTTTGTCCTTACTATTTTCCTTATTTTCTTACCTTGTTTTAGGTATATTGAGAATTTTTAATGTTTTCATCTTATTTCCCCTATTGGCTTTAACTATATGTCCTTGTTTTATTTTATTTTATTTTTTTTGGGGGGTGGTTTCCATAGGGTTTACCACATATGTCTTTAACTAACCATAGTCTACTTTCAAATAATATCATACCATTTTACCTACAGCATAAGAACCTTACAACAGTATACAGTATACTTCCATTACTGTTCTCCCATTCTTTGTGCTGTTCTTTTCATATACTTTAACACCTATTATAACCCCCTTGGTACATTATTACTTTACTTTAAACAGTTATCTTTTTAAACACCTTTATTGTGAGGTACAATTTACATGTAACACAAGTCACTCATTTTAAGATGAGTTTGATGAGTTTTGGGAAATTTTTATAGTTGTGTGACTATCACCACAATCTAGCCTTAGAACACTTGTGTTGCCCCAAAGAGTGCACTCATGCCTGTTAGCAGTTTCCACTATCTGTCCCACCATCCCCTTGGCCTCAGGCAACCACTGATCTGCTCTCTGTCTCCATAGTTTTGCCTTTTCTTTACATTTCAAATAAATGGAATTCTATGGCCTGTAGTCTTGTCTTTGTGTCTGGCTTCTTTCATGTAACATCGTGCTTTTGAGTTTCAGCCATGTCATTCCACGTATCAAGAGTTTATCCCTTTTAATTGATGAGTAGTTTTCCTTTGCATGAATATATCATTTTTAGTTTTTCATCCAGTCATCAGTTGATAGACACATAGAAGTTTTCCAATTTTTGGCTATTATAAATAATGCTACTATAAACATTCATATATAACTAATGCTACTCTAAACATTCATGTATAAATCTTTGTGTGGACATATGTATATATATTTTTGTAGACATACATAAATATATACTTTTTGGTAAGGACTTAGAGTGAAATGCTGAGTTATATAAGTGTATGTTTAACGTGCCATATTGTAATTGAAACTGTTTTTCAAAGTAGTAGTACCATTTTCATTCTACTATCAATAAATGATGTTCCTGTTTTACCCAAACTTCAGTCTTTTTGATGCTGGTCCTTCTAGAGGTTATGGAGTGGCATCTGATTGTGATTTCAACTTGCATTTCCCTAATGACTAATAATTTTGAGCATCTTTCTATCTATTCATTATTTGTAACTCTTCGTATCTCTTCTTTGCTAAAGTGTCTCTTCAAACCTTTTGTCAATTTTTAATTTGTCTGTTGGTCTTTTATAATTAAGTTGCAAGAGGGGTTTTGGAGTTTTTTTTTTTTTAAACTAAATCCTGAATTCAAGACTTTTCGCTGGATTTCACCTGCTGTAAATTCTATCCAGTGTAATTTATTTTCCTGTATTGTATTTTACATCTCTAGAAGTTCCATTTGACAATTTTTTATTGTGATAATAGAAACACATAGCATGAAATCTACTGTCTTCACAAACATTTAAGTGTACAGTACAGTATTGTTAACTATATGCCTATTGGTGTATGGCAGATCTCTAGAACTTTTTCATCTTGTGCTACTGAAACTCTACATCCATTGAACAACAATTCCCCTCACTGAGTTCTCTCTACCCTATGTCACTGGCAACCACTATTCTACTTTTAGCCTTTATGAGTTTGATGACTTTAGATTCTTAATATAAATGGACTCATGCAGGATTTGTCCTTCTGTGACTAGCTTATTTTACTTAGTATTATGTCCTCAAAGTTCATCCATGTGTTAGCTTTTACAGGATTCATTTGGTTCTCTTTTGTATCTTCCACTTTTTCTTACCTTCTAAATTTATGAAGAATATTTATAATCGCTGCTTTAACATCCTTGTCTGTTAATAATGTCATCTTTACAATATCCAAGTCTGTTTCTATTTTTTTCATTTTTATAAGTTATATTTTCAGGCTGCCTTGTATTCCTGATAATTTTGATTGGATGTCAGTCATTGTGAAATTTAAATTGTTGGATGATCTTGCTATATTTCTTTAAATAGGAGTATAGAGTTTTGTTCCATCTCACAGTTAAGTTACATGAAATCAATTGCATCCTGTCAAGGCTTGTTTTTAAACCTTTTTTTAGGATGGGTCCAAGGTGCCTTTAACTCCACTACAAGGCAATACTCTTCTGAGGCTTTTACCCAATGCCCTAAATATTACAAGGGTTTCTCACTATGGCTGGTGAAAACACGAACTATTATCAGTCATGTGTGAATTCTGGGAATTATTCAGGCTACTGATCTTAAGTGTCTTTTCTTCCCAGGCTTATAGGGTTTCCCTCACAAATATTCAGCAAACACTCAAGGGAACCTCGCTGGAGATCTCTGGAACCCTCCTACTGCTCAGCTCCCACCTTTCAGGTATGCCGTCTTACAGTTCTAGACACATTGGACCCTATGATCTCTGTCTGCTCAACTAAGACAGAATGCTGAATCCTCCCTGCACTGCATCCTGGAAATTATTTCTAGACAATAAGCTATTATCATCATATAACTCACCTAATTTGTCATGTTAGAGAGCTCAGTAATGCACTTCCAATTTTCCAGCGTTTGAAAAAAAAAAAACATTTTTTTTCTGTATAGTTTGTCCGTTTTTCTTCTCGTGTAAGGTGGAAGAATAAATCCAGTTCCATTTTGCCATCACAGCTAGAAGCAGAAATCTGCATTGGAAGCTTTGGATCAGAGGAATGACATGATCTGACATATATATTAACATGACAGGACTGCTGGGTTAAAAGTTGACTACAGAAGGTAGGAAATGATGGCGGCAGGAGTTAGGAGTTTATTACTATAATCCAGTCCAGGAATGACAGTCACTTGTGGTAATGGCAGATATGAAAATAAATGGTTGGATTATGGACTTGAAGAAAAAATAAACAGGATTTGCTGATTTTTTTGGACGTTGAGTAAGAGAGGAATGGAAAAATGAGGGGTAATTCCAAGAATTTTGGCCCAGTTAACTAGAAGGATGGGGAGGTCATTGAAAAGAACAGTTTCAGTAAAGTGTTAAGGAGAAATTCTGGAAGGAGTGGGTTCAAGAAAGAATGAGAAGAGAAGTATCGGACCCAGTGAGGATGGACAAGTCTCATGAAGAGTTTGGCAAATCACATCTCATTTCTCAAGAGACTCACAGAGACTCATATTTCTCAAGAGACTCAAGAGACTCACAGTCTAACTGGGGAAGGAGGAAGATGTGTAAGGAGATGATTACATTAATGGAAGGAATGTAATGATAGAGGTTTATATAGCCACAGGTCAAATGAAGAAGTCTCTAATATGGTAGAGGAGTTAATAGGGAGGAAAGTATAAAATGCTTCACACATGTGTTGATGTATGGGCCGCAGGGGGAAGGACCAGGACACTGTGATCAGAGGGAGGAGGTGGGCAAGGGCATCCATAAAAGAGAGAAGAACATGGGGGAAGTTCACAGGTGAACCATCAACCCATCAATACTTTCAGGAAACGTTGAGTCTCCATAGCTCAGCCTAAGGCGGGAATAGGAATTAGTGAAGAATGAAGCAGGAGATAAAGACAGGGAAGAGAACACTTGACAAAGATCCTTCCTTACCATGTGTGTTTCTCAGACTTTAAGTAATGGAAAGCCCTCAGAGGCTCTGGAAAATATGACTGGACAGGAGTTGGGCAGGGAAGCCAGTTAAGGGGCCCAGGTGACAGGTATGGAGCGGAGGGGTGGATCTTACCACATATGAAGTCAAAGACTTGGAACCAACCCAAATGTCCATCAATGATAGACTGGATTAAGAAAATGTGGCACATATACACCATGGAATACTCTGCAGCCATAAAAAAGGATGAGTTCATGTCCTTTGTAGGGACATGGATGAAGCTGGAAACCATCATTCTGAGCAAACTATCGGAAGAACAGAAAACCAAACACTGCATGTTCTCACTCATAGGTGGGAAATGAACAATGAGAAAACTTGGACACAGGGCAGGGAACATCACACCCTGGGGTCTGTCATGGGGTGGGGGATGGGGAAGGGATAGCATTAGGAGAAATACCTAATGTAAATGACGAGTTAACAGGTGCAGCAAACCAACACGGCACATGTATACATATGTAACAAACCTGCACGTTGTGCACATGTACCCTAGAACTTAAAGTAAAATAATAATAATAAAAAAACAATAGGTCTTGGTGAGCTGATGAATGTGGGATAGGTTAAGAGGAAAAAAGGGAAGAGCTAAAGATGACATTTTAAGTTTTTGGTCTAGCCATCTTGGTAGATGATGGTGTCATTAGCTAAACTTTGGAAATGGAAATGTATACAATAAAATATTTTATAGAAATGTCCATGCCTTCAATGAGATGGCAGCTCCAAGGGCTAGAGGGGCTTTAACCTCCTACCCCAGTGGTCTTCATCAACTCCAACCCCTCGCCCTGAGCCACACTAAAAAGCTTAAAAGTTGTGGGAAAATATCATGCTGCCTATACAAGATAGCTTTCATAGCAATCCTCTAAGTAGATTGCCTTTGTTCAGCCCCCTGTATTCAAATACTACTAAAACTGCAATAGACTCTATGTCAAGTCAGATTCATCCCAAAGTTTAGGCTTCTCTTCTTTTTTTTTTTTTTTTTTTTTTTTTTGAGATGGAGTCTTGCTCTGTCACCCAGGCTGTAGTGCAGTAGCACAATCTCGGCTCACTGCAACTTCTGCCTCCCGAGTTCAAGCAATTCTCCTGCCTCAGCCTCCCAAGTAGCTGGGACTACAGGCACCCGCCACCACGCCTGGCTATTTTGTATTTTTAGTAGAGACGGGGTTTCCCCAAGTTGGCCAGGCTGATCTTGAACTCCTGACCTCAGGTGATCTGCTTGCCTAGGCCTCCCAAAGCGCTGGGATTACAGGCGTCAGCCGCTGCACCTGGCCAGACTTCTCTCCTTATACACAAATGAAAGGAGGAATGTCACTCACTGGAGTACTTCACATATACTGGGGTCAATGCAGTAGTGAAGGAGAAATAATTCCAACCTTCCCAGAACAGATCTCCTTCTCTATCTAGGATCTAACCACAGTGCCTTTCCTATGTTTCTCCAGCTATCGAAGTCATACCTTAAGGCCTTTGCATGTGCCATTGTCTCTCTTAGAATAATGACCTGCCCGCTTCCATATCTTACACGCCATAGCTAGATTCTTTTTATACTTTAAGTCTCCTTCCCTGACTACTTTTTTTGAAACTTTGCCAGTTTCTATTTATCTTTATTACATCACCCTATTCATTCCCTTCCTAACTTTTATAATTTGTAAGTATGTATTAATTTTCTTGTGTAATTGGTTGTTTTACATCTGTTTCCCATAAAACATTCTATAAGAATAGCAACCATGTTTCCTTTTTCATCACCATAACACTTACAGGATTATCGGCACCTAGAAAGTATTCCATAAATATATGTTGAAGGAATGTTAAGGTAAGTAAAGAGCAGATAATGAGGGTTCCTATTTAAAAGCATGTCAATGATTAACCAATAGGAGGAGGTATTATTTTGGGATGGAAGAATTTCCTGAAGTTTCTGAAATCATACCTCATAGGTAGCAGCTTTCTCTAAGATTGGTCCTGTGTGATTTGAGGAAACATAATTGCCAAGATTGCATCGGTGGTTCAAACCTTCAAATCTCAGTGGGAAGTTTAGTTTTTTTCTCATGGTACAGACTGTTTGGCCACCATCTTCTATGTGGTGATTTAGGGATTCCAGTGCCTTTCTTTCTGCGTCTCTGCCATTCTCTCAGGACACCCTGGGATCCTTCCCTGGATCCCCTCTATGTGTCCAGCTAATAGACAAAGAGAGAGCTGTGTACTGATTACATAAGAAGTTTCTAAGACCAAGTCTGGAAGTGGTATGCAGCACTTTTCCACATGCTCCTTTGGTCAGAATGAGGCACATGGCACCAACCTAACTGCAATGGAGGCTGGGAAAAGCAGTCTTCCCATGTGTCCAGAAGAAGAAACTAGATCTGTGAGCATCACGCTAGCCTCAGCAACAATAGGAGATTTCCTTTGGTTGTTGTGAGTATTCAAGACTTAATGTATGCAAAACACTCAGAATAGTGCCCAGCACTTTCACTCACATCCACAATTCCAGGTAAGTTGCAAGAGGAGTCCTCTGAGTTTTTCACTAATCGCAGCTTGCTAAACAAGGCTGGTGTTTGGAAGCCTCTGTCAAGCCCAACAGCTGGCTGGAGAGTATTGTGAGCCTCAGTGCCCAAGGAGGCCAGCCAAGGATACAGATGCCACAGCTAAGTCTGTGCAGCACATCCTCATGCTTTGTTTAACTTGATTCCCTGGGTGGGACAATTTTTATGAGCAGGTGTTCTGGTTAATTAGGTGATTAATGTTCCTCAAATTGGAGAGCCATCTCCCCAATGACAGTTCTTGCTTTGCTCAAATATGAGACAAATCTTCCCTGTACAATTTGGAGAGGTCCGTGATCACGTTAGTCTGTCTGCCAGGCCTCTCGGGTCAGCACTCTGGCCCTGAGGACCAAGAGCCTGACCCCACACCTGGCTGACTTGCCTCTTGCTGCAACAGTTTAGAGAACCAAGAGCTCCCAGATCATCTGGCTTCCTCTCAGACCAGGCAAAATTGAACTGGGGACATATTTCTGGTTCCTTTCTGGGGATTCCAGTCCGTATCACCTCTCAAAGTCAGAGCCATTGCCTCTACACAGAGTCCTCCAGTTTCTAAAGCAAGGCAACCAAGCCACAGCCAAGGGCAAATTAGGCATCAAAACTCTTTTTCTCCAACTGTCTCTCAGGCAAATAGAAATGTGCTCCAAATTCACTTATACTCCACCTTCTCAAAACCCTTTCCCACCTCAAACACAATTCTATTCCTACCACCCTCCCTCTGTTTCTCTCAATGCCAGAACCCTTCTCCCTCTCGTTGACATCAGCAAACCCATACATACTTCAAATGCCAGACTGAATTATTCAGCTGTCCTTCCCAGCTTAAAGTGATTTCTCCCTCTTCAGAATTTGTGTAGCACTTACTATGTGACCCATATCACGTAGCATTTAGTTATATACCATATCTTTTCTCTTCATTCATGTATCTTAATTTTGTCTTCCCAACTGGATTTTTGTCAGCTGTGGTTGTGTCATCTCCTGGGCATATATAAAGTTCTTAGTCAATGTTTATTTGATTGGTAAATTAAGCTGAATGCCACTTACACTTCTGGAAGATGGGTCAAATTTAGTCTCTTTCACCATGGTTAGTCTTGACTGGGCCACATGGATGCTCACTCCTGTTCCTCACATGTTCCAGTTTTAGCACCCCAGAAGGACTAGATCTCTTTCTCCAGTTTCAGCTGGAAAAATCCCAGGAAAGGACTCTGCTTGGCCCATTTCAGTGATGTGCCCGCCCCTTAAAAAATCAGTGTATTGAGAAAAGCAAGCTCATATACAAACAAGAAAATGTGGAATCATAATCACACGGTTGGAGCAGAAGGCCAATTAATAGCTGTCCACTACAGTTGAATATAGATTTTGAAAGGTTTTATCGCTCTGTCTTCTTCCTCATGATAAGTGTATTACTCCATGTCCATACTGCTGTAAAGAACTGCCCGAGACTGGGTAATTTATAAAGGCAAGAGGTTTAATTGACTCACAGTTCAGCATGGCTGGGGAGGCCTCAGGAAATTTACAATCATGATGGAAGGCGAAGGGGAAGCAAGACACCTTTTTCAGAAAGTGGCAGGAAGGAGAAGTGCTGAGCAAAGGGGTAAACAGCCCCTTATAAAACCATCAGGTATCATGAGAACACATTCACTATCATGAGAACAGCATGGGAGGAACCACTCCTAGGATTCAATTACCTCCACCTGGTCTCTCCCTTGACACATGAGGATTATGGGGATTACAATTCAAGATGAGATTTGGGTGGGGACACAAAGCCTAACTACATCAATAGGTTACTTATTGTAATATTCATTTATCAAATTTATTTTACATATTCATTCATTAAACATTTATGTATTCAGAGTAGTTCTCATCCCTTGGGGAGGCTCAATAGATTAACCAGCAATAAACCTTTATTGTTCATTCTTTTTCAGGGGAGAAAAAGGGAAGTATTTGCATTGAAAACAATGTCCTTCAGGCCGGGGCCTGTGGCTCACACCTGTAATCCCAGCACTTTGGGAGGCTGAGGCGGGCTGATCACCTGAGGTCAGGAGTTCGAGACCACCCTGACCAACATGGCAAAACCCCATCTCTACTAAAAATACAAAAGCAAATTAGCCGGGCATGGTGGTGCATGCCTGTAATCCCAGCTATTCAGGAGGCTGAGGCAGGAGAATCACTTGAACCCTGGAAGCAGATGTTGCCGTGAGCCGAGATTGCGCTATTAGACTCCAGTCTGGGTGACAGAGCAAGACTCTGTCTCAAAAAAAAAAAAAGAAAAAGAATAAAAGAAAACAATGTCCTTCTAGGTCCAACAGATGGTATCTTTTCCTTATCCTTTTTAGGCTACTTTCTTAACCCTTTTAGGCCATTTCTCCAGAAATGACCTAAAATTCACATACATGAGCTATTCTCTCTCCCAGGAAAATAGAATAGGGATCATAGTCTTAATCTCAAATTGGGGGTTTCATTTTCTCTCTCCCTGCTTCCTGTTCACCTACTCCTCAAAGATCTGCCTCAGCAGCTCAGTGAGGTAGTGTGTCAGTTTCAGGGTCCCTGGTAGGAAATGGATAATTCAAAGGAGTACCTGAAGAAAGTTTGGTAAAGGGACTATATGGAAAGGTGAGGCAGGGTTAAGAAATCAAAGAGGGGGCCGGGAGCTGTGGCTCACACCTGTAATTGCAACACTTTGGGAGGCTCAGGTGGGTGGATCACGAGGTCAGGAGTTCAAGACCAGCCTGGCCAAGATGGCAAAACCTCATCTCTACTAAAAATACAAAAATTAGCCAGGCGTGGTGGCTGGTGCCTGTAATCCCAGCAACTTGGGAGGCAGAGGCAGAGAATTGCTTGAACCTGGGAGGCAGAGGCTGCATTGAGCCGAGATTGCACCACTGCACTCTAGCCTGGGCGACAAAGCGAGACTCCATCTCAAAAAAAAAAAAACAAAAAAGAAAAGAAAAGAAATCAACCAGGGATGGGGACTGCCCAAAGTTTAGCAGCAGTGGAAAGCTATTTCCACTCCTGTCCTCTAAAGGCATAGTGAGACGGCAGTGGTTTCCAAGGAGACCCATAGCTGTAGAAGACAGCTGCTGAACACGAACTATGACCTTCAATAGGGAAAGGCAGCCACTGACAAACTGCAGTCCTGTGGAGGAAGCCTTGGCCTCTCTCCTCTAGCTCTCTGAGCTAGTTCCCCATATGGCTGGATCCAAGGGAGTTCAGGTGATGCAGTCTATAAAGGTTAGTTTCCTGGGGAACAGTACTGCCTCTGACAGTTGGCAGAGAGTGGATCTGAAGAGTCCACTGGAGAATAATGAGCAGAAATTGTTAGTCCTGATGGGGTGAAGCAAATATATCAGAATTGGGGGTGGCGAATGTGTATCATTTGCAAGAGCATTCTAGAAGAATGTAACCACACCCTCCCCCAAAAGATTGACTAACACTGATTAAACTGAATAAAAATACAATAGGAGAATGTCAAATAAGCTGGCTGATTGAGAAGATCATTCATTTGTTTATTCATTCATTCATGTATTCATTTATTCATCATCAAGATATCAAGATTTGCACCTCTAGATATCAAGATTACAAAACTTGATTAGACATCTCTATATGCCTGAAACTTTTTATAATACAAGTTTGAAAAAATTGGATTACACAGGGTCACTATCTTCAAGAACCTAATAGTCTGGACCAACAAGTCCAGAGGATTCCGCTTCTAAACTGGAGGATTCGGCTGCTACATGGACTCTGGGGTAGACAGACAGGAGAGCAGGAAAGGATGTTCTGGGACGGGTATTGAGTGGATGTGGAGGAGTGGTGGCAGATGAGGTGGAAGAAGCAGAAAACAACTCCAGAGTTCAAAATTGCATTGTCAGGTCTGTATTTAAGATCCTTGGATCATCAGGGCAAAGGACGGATTGGTGAAGCAAAAAACTAAGAAATAAAGTTAGAGAAATTATGTGGGGGCCAATGAGCAATACCTATGCATGAAACTAGGATCTGAACAATAGCAGGAGAACCAGAGATGAAGAGGGGATACATTGAAGAGATGGTCATGGGGAAGAATGAACAGAACTGAAGAATTAAATGGCTGTGGTGTGTGAGAGAGGGAAAATTCTTTGAGCTGTTTTGACTTCTCAATACTCCCACCCACTTTTCAGCTAATAGCTTCTGGGTTTTCCTTTGAGAGAAGGACTCCTACCTGCCCAACTGAGTGCAGTCTCCATAAAACTGTCACCCATAGTTCTTGTCTTCTCTGGCCAAAAGGGTGATCACGTGACTCAAGTCAGGACCATCAATTGCTCCCTCCTGGGAATTTGGAAATCTTGAGCTTGGCACCTAGATCCTGCCTTGGGTCTTGTCTTTGTTGAAGCCTCCATCTTCATTTTTTTCTGTAGATTCTGTGTGCTATCCATGGCTTTCTTTAAAAGTCATTTTTTGGGGAAATTCAATAAGGTAAAGTTTTTTGTTTGTTCTGAGGAACAGAACTGCCTCCGACAGTGGGCAGAGAGTAGATCTGGAGAATTCATTGGAGAACGATGAGCACAAATGGTTAGTCTGGCTGGTTGGAAACAGAAAACCTCCGCTGACTGTGGTGGCCACATGAAGGGTAGTATCTCACACAGGGAAATATACACAGGTTGACGAGAAAGTTTGAGATGGGGTTTCTTGCAGGAATGGGTGAGTAGTTTGCTTTTGAGAAACACAGGTTGAGGAGAAAGTTTGAGATGGGGTTTCCTGCAGGAATGGGCGAGTAGTTTGCTTTTGAAAAGCCTATGGAAAAGTAAAGGGGAAAATTCAAAAGTGTCCAGGGACTTTTACGCAACTCTAAAAATGACACCACAGAGTGTAAAGCCACCTCTGGCCCTTGGACATAGAAAGTTCTAAACAATAGCCTGACCTCCTAGTGATTTACCCAGTCTTCTCCAAGGAGGGTAATTGCTCCATGGGGTGGCTACCGCCTTCTGCAGATGCCCCAGAATCAGCTGAGGAAGTGGACAGAGCCACATGTTCAGCATTGGAAGCCCGGAGTCCTGGCTCTGGTTATTTCACTAATTAGCTAGGTGACCCTACATAAATGCCCGCCTTTCTCTGAAACTCAGCTTCCTTGTTCGTAAAATACAAGAGTTGAACTATATTTGGGTTCTCAAAGTATGTTCCAAGAGAATTTGCAGTTTACATGAAAAGTGGTCCTCTATACTGAGAAACTGGGTTAAATAAGCCTTAAACAGGTTTCCTTACTGCAGGACTTCTCAGGAACTTAAAAACACTCATCTGTGATGCAATTCTCCAAGAGGGGTGAAGGTGAGTAGCATTTCTCAATCTGTCTTTGCCCAAGGAGACTTTTTTCTCCTCCATGATGAAACATGTGGAATCAGTAGTCATCAGAAGGCACTTGTAGAAATGTTGGATTAGGTGATTTCTAAGGCTGTACCAGCCCAAACACTCCATGATTCTGTGTATCCTGGTGTTCTGGGCCCCTCCTGTATTTCCCACTTGCCTCCTCCTTGGGGATGATTGACTCTGAAGGAAATCCTCACCATCTGTTCTAAGGGGCTTCTCCCAGGAAAAGTCACACTTGAATGCCTATAAAGTCCCTTAAAGATACAGTCTGGCTCATGAAACCCCCCTGAGCAGCTTAAATGGAAAACGCAGTCCCCCACTGCGCTCAGAGCACAGATCCAGGACCAGCCCGAAGGGATTGCAAAACATGCTCTAGCATGCATTTGGGAAAACAAAGAAAACCGTACTGTTTTCTGCTCCAGACAGTCTGAGACGCTTTGTGCCCTTGGGCCCTTGCCCGGTTCTCTCATCTGCCTCAGTCCTGGTACTAAATTGGTTCAAGGTTTGGAGGAAAGCTTCAGAGCAAAGGGATAAAAGGATGTTTAGAGTTCTTAAATACCGAAGTCACCCTGAAGACCGGAGCATAGACCCTCGCCAGCCACCAGGGGGCGATAACAACAGCATCTGTACAGAAAGCCGTTCCCAAGAATAACAGCAGTAAATTGCACCTAATGTGTTTATGAATGATGAAGGGACTCGAGTGTGTGTGTTTGAGTGAGTGTGCGTATGTGTGTGTTTGTGTGTACGCGCGCGCAAGTGGGTGCCCAAAGCTAAGACTTTGAAAATCTGCTAAGTATAATACAATAAAATCTACAACTCTACTATATATTCACAGGATGTGGTCAAGTAGTTGAAAGTTTCCTTGAAGGAAAATGAGGTAGAAGAAATCAGAATAGTATTCTTATGAAAGAAAAGAGAAGCGCTCTCAGGAGTATAGTTGTCACTATGTGAGTGTGTGTGCGAGCATGCATGTACACGTGTGTGTGATTGCCGGTGTATAAATGGGTGTGTGTGAGCCTGAGTATGTGAGAGTGTGTGCGTGGCTGTGAATACGTAGGCACCAGTGTGTGTGTATATATATGCAGGGCTCATT
The DNA here is from genome assembly GCF_000001405.40 of Homo sapiens. Classification (NCBI taxonomy): domain Eukaryota; kingdom Metazoa; phylum Chordata; class Mammalia; order Primates; family Hominidae; genus Homo; species Homo sapiens. Next base: position 169,302,209 of record NC_000005.10, on the reverse strand, counting down.
CAGGCCTTCTCAGTGTGAGGGGACCTCAAGGAAATCTGGGCAATACTTCCTCCAGTTCCTGCCCTTTCCTTTCAAACAAACAAACAAAATCATTCCTACAAGTATTTATGGAGCCTCTAACGCACACGCCCCTCCCCACTGGCATCTGGAAAAGCTCAGACCTAGCCAATTTAAAGCGGGCGCTGGAAGAAAGAAGGCGCTGGGGACAGAAGGGATGCCTCGTCTGCGAATGACTTTTGCAAAAACACGTTCTCTTCTGTGATGCTCCAAACAACCCAGGGAGGTGAGGCCAGGTAGGACTGTGGCCCCGGATTTGAGAAAACGAAGGCTCAGAGATGACACGATTGGCCCAGAGTCACCCAGTCAGGAAGCAGAAACCCGAGGATGGAACAAGGCATTGTCAATCCAGGGGTCCAAGTCGCTGCCATCACTACTTTTACCAGTCCACCAAGCGCTGGGTCTGGGCAAAGCAGGGCAAGTTTCCGGGTAAGGTTTGCCAGCAGTGACCTCAACAACATGGACCACGGTGTGTGTGTGTGTGTAGCTGTGGAGTACATTGGTGTCAACCAAGGCTCTTCAGGCAAAATTGTGGATCTCTGCCATGAGTACTAGGTGCGGTAGGGAAGCGGCTTCGTGGGCGACACTGCCATGGTTTGGCGTCCCTAGCAGCTGTGCGACCTCCAGCAAGTCGCTTCACTTCTCTGAGCTGTTTTCAGACGACCCCTTGGAAGATCGTGGACTTAAGTAAAGAATATGAGTAGAGTGCTCAGCTCAGTGCAAAAATTAAAAAAAAAAAAGTGTCAGGAGCCTTATCCGTCCTTGGATCTTAACAGTGAATGAGTTTCAGTGTTTCTTTCCAGGGGCCCTGCTGGCCGAGCCCCTTTCCTTCCCTGGTTCCTTCTCTCTCCCTCCTCTACTGCCTCCTCCCTCCAGGCTCTCGGTCGCTCCAGCAAAGTTCCCAACTTAGTCGACATGACGCGCGGCGCAGCCAATGGGAGGCGGAGTTGGCGTTTCTTGGTCGGGGGGGGGCCGGAGGGGTGGGCCCCGCGTCTCCGGTGTCTGCCGTGCTCACTGAATGGAGAGAGCGAGCGCCGGCCAGCTCACCCGGCCGCCCCGTGCCCCAGCCGCAGCCGCCGCGCTCCCCAGCCCAGCCCCAAGCCGGACCTCCCCGGGCGCCACGCCCCATTGCGCTCGCCCCAGGTCCCCAACCCGGCCCGCGGGCCAGCGGGGCCAGGGGGCGCTCCGCACCTGGGCACTCCCAGCGATGCGCAGCGGGGCAGCGCCGGCCCCGCCGATGGAGCTGCTGTTGCTGCCGCCGCCGCCGCCCGGAGCGCCCCGCTCCGCCCGCGCCCCGTGCGCCTGAGCACCGAGCTCGCCCCTCCTCCGCGCTAACTCCGCCGCCCGCTCCCCAGGCCGCCCGCGCTCCCCGCGCGCCTCCTCGGGCTCCACGCGTCTTGCCCCGCAGAGGCAGCCTCCTCCAGGAGCGGGGCCCTGCACACCATGGCCCCCGGGTGGGCAGGGGTCGGCGCCGCCGTGCGCGCCCGCCTGGCGCTGGCCTTGGCGCTGGCGAGCGTCCTGAGTGGGCCTCCAGCCGTCGCCTGCCCCACCAAGTGTACCTGCTCCGCTGCCAGCGTGGACTGCCACGGGCTGGGCCTCCGCGCGGTTCCTCGGGGCATCCCCCGCAACGCTGAGCGCCTGTGAGTACCCCTGCCCCACCCCACGCGGGCCACCCACCTGGGTCCCACCGAGGGGGCCCCAGGCGCCAGATCCGTCCTTTCCCCTCGGCCTCCCTGGATGCAGTCTCTATTCTCATCCCTTCCTGGATACGATCCCTCACTCTCCGAGCTGGGGGTCTGTAGGCTTGGTCAGATCTGGAAAGAGAGGTCTCGAAACCCCCAGCGATGGGCAAAGAGCAGTGCCTCTCCAGGGGTGAGGGTTCCAGACGCAGGGCCCGCTGACAGCTTCCAAGGAGTAGCTGAGGAGAGGCGAGGGGAGGCAAGAGCACTGCAGCCTCAAGGTCTTAGGGTGAGGGTCAGGGGTCTGCGCTCGTTAAAAAGGGGGGCGGGCGAAGGAGAAAGCTATAGGATGATGGGCCGTCAAGGCGCGGAGGCGGGAGAGAGGGCCCGAGACTGTTGACCTGCTTGGAGATCAGAATGGGCCAGCCGCTCTCTGGCTGCCCTTGCAAGGAAAGTTGAGAGTGTGGGTGAAGGTTTAACTTCTGAGGAACTGGACAGATTCAGAGTGGGTGCTCGCAAAACCCGCTCTGCCTGGAGCGCAGTCTGGGAGATGCCAAGTTGCAGCCCCGGGTGAATTTTTTATGGCTCGGTTATAAATGCCTCCCCGAACGAAGGGGCCGGAGAATGGAAATGCTGACAGCCCTTCAAATGAGACCGAGCGTTATAATCTTACAAACCGCACTCAGCCTCAGATCCTGGGCTTGGCAGCGAATGGAGAGGCGCTTGGAGAATGGGGTGGATTGACCCTAGTTTTAGCCCCAATTGTGCAACCAAATATTTACTTTTCATATGTCAACGTTTTGGAAACATTTATCATTTTGATCCTCGGACCAGATTCAAAACTTGGACTCCGGGGTGGGCTCCTCTTAGTCCGCAGTTGGGGTGGGGTAAGGGAGTGGGGGAGAAACGCTGGAGTGGGTGGGAAGCCTTACTGGGAACCCAGCCGAGAAGTGGGTGAGGGTTTGCTCTAGTGTGGTAGATTCCCTCCGTGTCTTGCTCTCCCTCTTCTCCCCTTCCTCATGTGCCTTAGGGGTAGGCGCCTGGATCTTCCACTCTGCTTTCTTGACTTCAGGCTGGAAGAGAGTAGTGATGACAAGCATTGTCCTAGAGTGTGTTATTCCTGCTAGTCACCTCCTATCACCCCACCTCCTCTTCTCTTCCACTTCTTTGTGCATCTCTGGGTGGAGACTCAGCAGAACTGTCTTCCTTATTCCTGGTGCTCTCTTTTTCCTTTGGCTCAGTACTTTTTTGTTTTTCCACAAGTGCAGTGATTGTTTTGTTGGGTTGAACCACAGAATCCTAAAGGGTGAGAGCCGAATCTTTATTAACACATGTCGAAAACCAGGCTTGGAAGTGTAAAATGACTTGCCCAAGAAAACACAGCAAGTTGACGGCAATAAAGGGGCTAGAATCCAGGTTTTCACACCTTAATTCAGACATTAAGTTAGTCCATAGGAGTGAAAAACTTGTTTTAGTGGTATTTTTAGATACCTATAACTTGTAAACTAAGTTCCCCTCCTCGTCACACCAGTGCTAGCCACATGAGTTAGTGAAATAATAATTATAGCTAATGTTTGATAAATGCTTTTCATGCCTTGATTTGTGTATATGTATTATCTCATTGAATCACTCCAACAGTCCTGTTAGTTACATAGGCAATGCTTATTACTCCCTTTCACAGTTAAGCCATCTTGTCATTTACTCAAGGTCGTGCAGCTAGTGAAGTGTTTGGATCCAAGCCTGACTGGTTCCTAAGCCCACAACCGTTATCACTCTCCTGGTCATCCTTGGAACAAGGGTCAGTTTGGGCCACGATCTATAAACAGACAGTCTTGGGAGGGTTCTGGCTGGGCTTGGATCTTAGAATAGGCTGCTGTTGCTTCTGCTTCTGGTATACCCTGCAAATGTTCAGCTCACTTTGATGTTAGGTCTGCTGCTTGGGGTCTCGCAACTACATCTTCCGCATCTTCAAAATCGTGCTCCATGTTTGGGAAACCAAGAAGAGTAAGTCCCTCTCCTCCTGGTGTGTAGGAAGTTTTCCAGAGCTGCAGGAACCGCACCCATGCCAGCATGCCACCGAGTCATCTTCCTTAGGGGATCTGTGCAGCTCAGGGCAACCCATCAGCTCTAGAACTGGAGAAACAGGACAGAGACTGGAGTCCTGGTCATTCCCAGAGGCCCCCTGCTGCAGTCGTTAATAGGCAGTGGCAGAGCAGGAGCTTCTTTGATGTCTCTGGTCTCTTCTGCCTCAGTTGTGGTCACTGGTGCCACTTTGGCCAGGGTGCATGGGGGTGCCGCGATGGTATCTCATTCTAGTCTCCTTCCTCCCTGGGAATGGGGGACAGTCTGTAGGAGCAAGCTGGGTCAGGTTCACTGCAGGGTTTCAGGGCAACCCACCAACAGTCCTTCACCACCAAAGTCCTGCACCACACTCTCTCTCAGCCAACTCAAATGTAACATTTCAATTCTGAAAACTCTTGGGGGATATTTGGCATTTTTACTCTCTGCCAAGGATTTCTTCAGAGGAATCACTCATTTATTCCTGCCTTCATTCATTCAACAAACATTACTTGAAGCCGGGCGCAGTGGCTCATGCCTGTTATCCCAGCACTTTGGGAGGCTGAGGTGAGAGGATCGCTTGAGCCTAGGAGTTTGAGAACAAACATGACTTGAACCTCTACTGCATTCCAGAAACTGTATATAGAACCATTGCAAATACAGAAGAAAACCAGCACTTCAATGTAAAGAATGTAAGCAAAAGATAGAAGGAAACTTGCTTTGGTGAGCCTTTTGAACTTCCCAGGGTTCATGTTGCCATGGGGCACGTTTTGTCAGCACTGTCATCAGATGCTCAGGACCTTCCTAAAATCCAGTTTTCTGATCTCAAAGGTTTAAATTGTGTTTTAAAACAAAGAAACTGCATTTTCTCCGTTCTCCATTCTTGGTACTCTGCCTCCCAAAAAGGCTTTGATGAAGGGATTTGTGTGTGTGTGTGTCTGTGTATATTGCTTCTCTGGATGTTTTTGACTTCTGAAACCTTGTGTTATGACATTAAGGAAAACCTGAGTGGGGATAATGTGCTCACCATTTGGACTTTGCTTCAGGCCTGGAATGGGGCCTCAATTGTTCATAATTAAGCCAGAATCAGAATTGGGGGGTCTGTGTTCCAAGATCTTCCCTATAATGTCAGAACATCACGCAGAAAAAGAAACTCTGTCTTTTATAAACTACTGACAATTTTTCCCCCTCCATGAGGAGGTGACACCCACAAGAAAGCTAAATAAATGCAGAGAAGAATTCAGTGTAATTTATTATCCGTGCAGCAAAGATAGAGGACGAGAGGAGAGGAAGTGGATGGCGGTGCCTGAAACCAAACATTTACCATGGAGCACAGAGTAAACAGATGTTGCACTTACCCTTCTGACTACAAAAGGAGCCCACAGATGTAATTCTTCTCCAACCACAATCTCAGCCTGGAAAAAGAGGAGGCAGATGAAAATGAACTCTCACACGGGGCCACTTCTCCCCATCTTGCCGTCCTTGTCTAGAGGCAGGCAGAGGCCCACTTCTCACTGCAGTGAGGGGTGGCCTGAACGGTGGAGTGGGGGCAAGAGTGGACATCTTTGGTTTTTCACTTGGCTCTGGAACATGCTGGAGACTGCTGTATTTAAATAAACATTTCCTGTTTGCGAAGGAGAACGGGCGAAAGGCTGAAACGTGAGAATGTGGTAACTTAATTTTCTCCATCACTCCAAATGACGGCTAGCTTTGCCGGTGGTTGGGCCCAATAAAAACTGACACCATGTCATAGGCTTTCCCTCACTTGACCACAGAGGTCCTGAGGTCAAGTGAGAGACTTTCCAAGATGCTCAACAGCCAAGTCCTCTGTCCAGCCCTCAGGGCCAGCTTAGAGGACAGGAACAAGCTAGTGAATCATGGGGTCTCTCTGGGTCAACCACGGTGATGTGGCCTTTTAGGGAAACACAGTGCCCTCCTGGACAGACTAAGGAGCAGCTGAGTGGACCCGCCTCCAGTGGACCGGTATAGCCTCCATGGTGCTGTGCAACTCTGAACGGATTACATTACCTCTCTGGGCCTCATTTTCATGAAAGTAGAATTCTTGTATAGTCTTAGTGGTTTTCTTAGTGGTTATAGTCCACTGGGGGAACTGTAAGTATCCGCCTCCCTAGTGTCTAGAACAGTGCCTGGCACACAGTAGGTGTTCAGCAGATGTGTATTTAATAAAGGAATAATGAACCTCAAAACTACAAGTCTGTCTTTAGTTCTTAAAAGTGAAAGATGGGCCATTATAGATCTGCATTCTGGCATATGACTAAGGGATCCTCACTAGTAACCTATGACATGAGTTATTAAGGGTATCTAAAATTTGGATTTTATGAACTAATATTTATTGCCTTACTAGAGTTACCAAGGACTCCTGTTGAGTGATCTACTCTGGAGTCTGGTTGCCAGGCATTGCTTAGCAACCTTGCAAAACTCCTACTGTGCACATGCCCATGAAAAGAACTGGAAATCCTGAGCACTTAAACCACAGGGCTTTCTAATCAGGAACTCATCAGCGTCATCCTGAGTGCTCTGTGGGTTTTGATTGCTGCTCTTCTTGTATTAATTGATAAGTTCTGCTTTTGTTGATCATCTGGATTTTCTATTATTTCTGCATTTTTGCCGTTTTGATTGTTATGTTGTTTTCTCTCCAGTATTGTTTGTTGTCACAGAGTTCTGTCTCACCTGGAAAGTGAGAATGAACAGTGGGTTGCAGCTGTAGAACCTCTTGCCTTGGCAATGTGGGCTATGGCAAGAAGGTTCCCGACCCCTAAGCATCGTGGTTAGGGCAGGCGCTCCGGAGACAGACGACTGTGGGTTTGAATTGCAGCTCTGTTACATCTTGCTGTTGCACTGTGGGCATGTTACACTATTGCTGTGGACTGCAGTGTGTTAAATTCTTTAGTACCTTATTTCCACACCTGTGATACCAGGATGATGAGCGCACGGTCTTCATGGGGATGCTGTGAATGTAGCCTGAGGCAGTCCCTGTAATGTGCTCAGCACGGTGCCTACCATGTTGTTCACTCATTGCTGTGATTGTTTATCCCTCTATGATTTCTTAACTGTAAAATATGTATGATGACTCTACCCCATTGGGGGGATTAAACAAAATAATATACAGGAAAGTGCTTAACACAGTACAGTCATGTGTTACCTAAAATGACATTCTGGTCAACAGTGGACAACATAGAGGACGGTGGTCTCATAAGGTTAAAATGGAGCTGAAGAATTCCTATCGCCTAGTGACATCGTAGCTTTTGTAATGTCATAGTGCCATCACTTTATTTTTAATAAATTTAGTACAGCCTAAGGGTATAGTGTTGACAAAGTCTACAGTAGTGTACAGTAATGTCCTAGGCCTTCACATTCACTCAGCACTCACTCACTGACTCACCCAGAGCAACTTCCAGTCCTGTAAGCTTTATTCCTGGTAAATGCCCTGTGCAGATGTACCATTTTTTATCTTTCATACCATACTTTGATGGTACCTTTTCTATGTATAGGTATGTTGAGAAACACACATACTTATGATTGTGTCACAGTGGCTTACGGTATTCTGTAGAGGAACATGCTATGCAGGTTTGGAGCTTAGGAGCAATAGGCTATCACATCTAGCCTAGACGTATAGTAGGCTAGACCATCTGGGCTCGTGTGAGTGCACTCTATGAGGTTTGCACAATGACGAAATCGCCTAATGGTGAGTTTCTTAGAACGTATCCCCATCATTAAGTGATGCATGACCCCACCATAGGAGCCCTCCCTGAACTATTCATGTTAGTGGCCATGGCTATTACCTTTATATCTTCATCTCAGGCCCTATCCAGCTGGAAGGTTTGAGACGCCCATCCTAAACTTGCTCCAACCCAGAGCCCTGTGGAAGCGACTTCCTTGCCTGCCTGTGGGCTATGCCCAATACCCTCTTGGCTAGGCCCCTCCTTTTCTCTCTCTGCTCTTGGTCCTGCCCCCACAGCAGAGCCCAGGTTGGCTTCTGTTCCATAAAAAGGGAATTGTGGTGAAAGTGGTTTATATCTTTTCCATGGGTGTGTTGCTTTGTGGTATATTTAAATAAGGAATGCATTTTATTTATTTATTTTTGGGGGGTGGGTTTTCATGGGGAATTTTTGGCCCTGACTTTTTTTTTTTTTTTCAATGCTCATTCCTTCTATTTTTCCTTAAATACCTCCTTTTACTGACTTCCCATGTCTGCCTCTATTACTGTGTTTACTTGAAACAGCTGTATTTCCTAGCAGGCTCCACCCTCATTATGTAAGGTGGTCTTAACCCTTTTTAGGACTGCTGAAAAGAAAGGAAAAACAAGGGGTGGAGGCATTCCCAGAGAGCTCATCTGGACCACTGCTGATCACAAGCTAGATGGCTGTAGAGGGTGCCCTGGCACTGTGCTGAGCTCCCCGTGCTCTCCGTTCTTCATTGTTCTCCATCCTTGAATTCAAATCAGCCTTGCCAAGGTTGGATGCTCATGTTGGGAATCCTCTACCTCTCTGCTCTGCAGGCCTGGACGGTGATCTGTAACTACTGTGACTGCTGGCCTGTCAAGAGGCTAACCTTTCTTCCCCACTCACTGTGGTCTTCATAGTTGTGTTGTCAGTACCATGTTTGATACAGTGAAACCCTGGAAAAAAATTGGCCAAAGCGTGCATGATTAGAGCCTTCTGTACTGCGTGGACAGAGAAGATAGGAAAATGTGGCACTAGAGCCAGACTCTGGGGCCCAAAGCCCGGTTCTGTCACCTACTAGCTGGATGGGCCTCAGTTTTCCCATTTGCAAAATGGGAATAATAATAATACTCCCTTCAAAGGATGCTGTATTAATCCACATAGGCTGCCTGGAACCAAGGGCACCCTCCATCAATATTCCTATTGTTATTATGGTCAAAAGTCTTACTGAGTGTAGACCTCCTATCAGAGCATGATCAGGATGAAGCTTCATTAAGAAAAATACAGATCGTCAGCGTTGGAAGAGGTCCATTTGTCCAAGTTCCAACCACACGAAGGTTGGTCTTCCATCAGCATGATTTAGGGGAAGGTGGTCAGTTAGCCTCCTTTGCTTGATGATATCTAGTGATGAGGAGCTCAGTTCTTCCTAAAGCAATTTATTCCATTAAAAAAACCACAATCCTAATAAGAAAATGTTCTTTGTGTGGGGATTGGACTTATCTCTCATTGATTGTTGTAACCCAGAGCATGTATAATCTTTTTTCCAAATGACAGGTTTTCAAAAGTCTTATTGCTGTGGTGTTTCTCACCACCCATTTACCGGAGTCTCCTTAATTGCCTCAACTATTCTGTATGTGGTACAGTTTGGGCATAGGCCTCGTACTCCATCCATAGTTCTCTTCCTCTAAATAGGTTCCAATCTTCTTGGACTGTATTAGTTAGAAGGAGACCTTCCATGCCTTCACTGTTTTATTTGACTTCTATCAGCCAGCGCATTCAAAAGAACCTTTTCACTTTGGACAGCCACAGCCCTGGGTAGGCTCATTTTGACCAAGCTGCCTGACATCCCCATATCTCCCCAGTCTTCCCTGCTGTTAGCTTGTTGTCCCCTCTTCTAGACTTGTGCAGTTGACTTTTTGGAGTCTAAGTGCAACACTTTGCATTTATCCTAATTAACTTTTGGCAAATCATTTCATTTCATCAGCTTTTCAGGAGCATTTTCTATTTCGATTTCCTCATCTAGCAATTAACTACTCCTTTCCCCATCTCCCACTATTTATTTCCTCTGCAATTTTAATGAGCTTGCCCTATGGATCTTTATCCAAGTTGTCAATATAATCAGCAGAGTTCTCTGTGCATTTTTTTCAAAATCTTTCTACAATCTGGCATGTGGATTACATAAATATATTGCCCCGTTCTTTCCGGCTGGGATGGAAAAAAATGTTGAGGTCTTCTTGGCTTGTAGCATCTTCTTTCCCTGGGGTTCTGTTGGTTCATATTTTCTCTGGAATAATTTCCTATTAATGCTTAATTCTTCAGCTTGCTAAATTTTCTCTATACTCTTGGTTTCTCATGGAACTTTCCATAATGACTTTAGCTTCATTTTTGTCCTATTAGGCTAGTACCACAAGTCTCACCAACACAGGATATGACGCATGTATGTGTGTGTATGTTGAATGTGTATGTATATGTGTGTTATTCTCTCCTGGTAAAAAGTTCAGCCTGAGGGATTGAGCCTTTCTGCCAGTAGCAGAGCTCAGGTAGCTTCAGGTTTTTAAACACAGTGATTTCCCTTAGCATCTTGGGTACACATTGGCATCGGGCACATTTTCTGGAGTAGTTCTGGGAACAGACATGATGAAGAATGAAGCATAGGGGACCAGGGCCTACAGGGTCCCCAAGCCTCTGTAAACGACAACAACAACCATCACCACAACAATAGCTGGCATTTATTGAGCCTTTCTTTGTGCCTGGCACTGCTCTTACACTTTACATGCGTGGAGTCATTTCCTATTTGAAGAGTTATGTGAAGTAGGCAGGACTGTCTGCATTTTATAGATGTGGCAACTACGTCAGAGAGGTGAAATAACATCCCCAGTAAGGAACAGGAGAGGCAGGGTTCATCCAGCCAGGCTGGTCTCAGAGGCTGCACTCCAACTCCCAGTCATGTCATCCCTTCCAGAATCTTTCAAGTCAGCCTCCTTTTCTGTCTTCTAAACTCTATTCTCAAGTAACAACTAGAAGAAGACAAACATGATGAGTTCAACTTAAATCAAAGAGCCCCTGTTCGAGGCAAAGCATCAAGAAGAATGTCAATGATGTGATCTGGACACCTGGTGAAACAGAGCCATCATGTCCAATTTGGGGAAATAGGTGGCCTTTGTATTGGAGCGTGAAGACTAATGGGATCCCTGTGCGTAGAAATGGGAACGTGGTACAGTCACAGAAATTCATGATTAGATGCTCCTGAGCCCAACTTAAAATGATGGGAGCTGCACTTTGGGAAGTTTTATCTCATGGGGATGTTTAGAACAGAATCCAAATCTTAGGAAAATATCTCCATGGTATGTGTCCACTAACTGTTTTTTAAATTTCTGGTTTGAGGGGATACACCCTCCAAGAGTAGTTCTGATGAACCTTGCTGAATAATATTTTCCGCCTCAAGCATCTACTCAAATGTCGGCAGGAGTCATCTTCCTTTGCAGTTAGATGCACCACTTGCTTTCTCTTAGCCGGGATCTCTGGGCTCCTCCCACCCTGGCATCAGGTCTTGTTCCAACAGGATGTACATAAGATGTATCCTGGCTGGAGTCGAGTGTGACTGCACTTATCACGGCCATATCACTGCTTGTGTGGGCTCAGACTCCTCTTCTCTTGTCCTAACTGCCAATCTGGTTCCTGACCCCTGATTCATTCCGCACTTTGGCAGCAGTGTATCCTGTGGCTCCTGAAAGTCTGCCAGCACACTTAACCACCCACCTTGTCTACCTCTTGGGTTTTTCTACCTCTCTAGCTCCTGTCTGTTACCAGTCATATCCATTCTTTGCCCTAGCACGTGCCCTAGTGTATTCCCTAGTGTACACCCTAGCGTATGCCCTAGCATGTGCCCTAGCGTGTGCCCTAGTGGGTGCCATAGCATGTGCCCCAGTGTATGCCCTAGCGTGTGCCCTAGTGGTTGCCATAGCATGTGCCCCAGTGTATGCCCTAGTGTGTGCCTTAGCGTGTGCCCTAGCATATGCCCTAGTGCGTGCCCTAGTGCGTGCCCCAGCATGTGCCCTAGCGTATGCCCTAGTGCGTGCCCTAGCATTTGCCCTAGCATATGCCCCGCACGTGCCCTAGTATATGCCCTAGTGTATGTCCTAGCATGTGCCCTAGTGCGCACCCTAGTGTGTGCCCTAGCGTATGCCCTAGTATGCGCCCTAGTATATGCCCTAGCGCATGCACTAGTGCGTGCCCTAGTATGTACCCCAGTGTATGTCCTAGCGTGTGCCCTAGCATGTGCCCTAGTGCGCAACCTAGTGTGTGCCCCAGTGTATGCCCTAGTGTGTGCCCTAGTATATGCCCTAGCGTGTGCCCTAGCACATGTACTAGTGCGTGCCCTAGCATATGCCCCAGTGTATGCCCTAGCGTGTGCCTTAGCATGTGCCCTGGTGCGCGCCCTAGCGTGTGCCCTAGCATATGCCCTAATATGTGTCCCAGCATGTGCCCTAGCATGTGCCCTAGTGCGCACCCTAGCGTGTGCCCTAGCATATGTCCTAGTGCACACCCTAGCATATGCCCTAGCATGTGCCCTAGCATATTTCCTAGTGTGTGCCCTGGCGTATGCCCTAGTGCATCCCCGAGTGTGTGCCCTGGCGTATGCCCTAGTGTACGTTCTAGCATATGTCCTAGTGTGTGCCCTGGCGTATGCCCTAATGTACGTTCTAGCATATTCCCTAGTGTGTGCCCTAGTGTATGCCCTAGTGTGTGCCCTAGCATATTCCCTAGTGTGTGCCTTAGCGTATGCCCTGGTGTATGTTCTAGCATATGCCCTAGTATGTGCCCTAGCATATGCCCTAGTGTGTGCCCTAGTGAATGCCCTAACTCAGGTATGTCTGCATGCTGTGGAGTCCATGATCCTCTTCTAATCGGAGTTTTATGACTTGACCATAGAATTGTGCATGTTTGCATCTCTCCCTGAGCTTTAGCTACTCCTGGCTCCTGCCTTAATCCTTCTAGCTTGGCTTCTTGCCCTCTACTGCCCTCTATGTATTCTCCATAGCCTTAGTATTGAATTTGGACTGTCACCATCAGAACCCCAGGTCCTGAAATTGGATTTCATGGCCTGGACCTTCACTGGAGACTGCAGACTTGCAAGAACTCAGAGTTCTGCCCTGGAAACAACCTCAGACTTCGTCTTTATGGCCATCTGAAATCTTTTATCATGTCCAGGGTAGCATGTAAAAGTGCCCCAGGGCTGGACTCTATAAATGATGAATTACTTAGACATACTCCTGAACTCCCTGTATCCCAAATAGGACAGATCATTTTGTAATTAAAAAGCGCAGCAGTGATGATCTCATTGGAGAGCTGTCCTGTTCAATAATGTGTTGCAGAAATTTCTGGACTATCTAGTACTTTGCTGACATTCTTTCTCTCCTCTTCTTCTCTCTCCAGCTCTAGAATGTAGGTAGAAAGTGTTCTGAGTATGGGGATTCTAAGTGGAATTAGTGAGAAGCCAAGGGGGAGTACAATTTGGATGTAAGCCGAAATGAGTAGAAAGACCTAGGCTGAATCCTGGCTTCTGTCACTTTCTAACTGCCCGACCTGTCTGAGTACCTTTGCGGTCTCCATAGTCTCATCTATAACCTTTGGAATGGGAGAAATAACACTCATCTCAGGGGGCTGATGCAAGGTTTAAATGAGATCAGATGTCTCCAAATGCCTTCTAAATTTAGTGCTATGCGAATACCTTAATGAGTCCACCCACAATATCTGAATTGAACCACTAAATCCTGTATCTGGAAGACGATCAGGGTATATTTTAGAAGCTTTCATTTACAGATGAAGAAACTCAGGGAGCTCCAAAGCCTTGCTCAGAGTCACCCATGTCTTCAAACTCTTGTTCCAGTTTCCTTTTCATTTAACAAGATGCATCTTTTACAAATTAAAATATAACCTCATACCAGCCATGTCAGCAGCTTAACCAGGTGGAGTTTAGAGGACTGGGTAATTAATAAGTGACAGTGTCCAAGACAGTAGGACCAAATAAGGGAATCCATGAAGGATGGAGTCATTTAAAGGGGCCATTTATTGAGTGTCTACCACAATGAATAAAGCAAGTGAAATGTTCTGGTAACTAGAACAGTTCAAACTAACTTCAAAGTTAGTCTGGACTGTCTCTCCCTCTAAATGACTGACAAGGCAAAGGCTACCATGCTAGGTTCAGAGCAGGGAGATTTATGGGTTGGGAGAAATGCTAGAACCATGAAGGATGTAGCACCAAACCCTCAGGAATCATTGATGAAAGCAAGCCCCCTCATCCCTTTTAGTGGGTACAAATATGTAGAAAGCCTCCCACATCATAAAAAAATAGTACAAGTGGAATTAAAAAAAAACTCAAGGGGGAAATATTAATCTGAGAACAATTGTATCTGAGAAAGCATTCAAGTATGCCTCTGCAGCTAGCTGGCAAACAGCACAAGTTCTGCATTTTATTAGAGTTCTAACTCTGTGTAGAACACTGACCTTATTTGAGAAGCATTTCATAAACACTGACACACAGCACAGCAGCATTTGAGGCCATGAGGAGATACAGGGCCTTCTTTAGGGGGCCAGCTTCCCTTCCCCTCCTCGGCTGCAAGGGACCCCTAGGACATTGTTTCCCTGAGTGGTAATATCTTTATTTTTCTCTCTTAGGTTTAACTCAGCAGGAGGAATTTTCCTAGGGGAAAATGAGGGAGGGGGATTTGGAATAAAATTTGTACTTTGGGCAAGTTTGCCTAAGCATGGGGTAGGCGATGGGGAAGACCCTGCTCTGGGAGAAAGGGTCTAAGAACCTTCACTTGGCCAGTGGAGTTTCTTTTTGGAGATCTCACCTGGTGCCTGGAGACCTATGCTGTGGCTGTGTCAGAGGCAGGTTCTCAGGCAGCATTCACCAGGTCCTTTGGAATGCAAGACTTGTGGCTTGCAACCGCCCTGAGAAACGCGTCCACCACATCCCCTCCTGCTAGAAGCTGGCACCTCCCTTTCCATCTGCTGCCAGCGTACAAGTTCTGAATTTGTGCCACAGAACTTGGTTCTGTTCCTCCCCCTCTTGTTGGCTTCCCTAGCCAAGAGATTTTCAGGCTTTTGAGGTATCACTGGAGATCATCTGGTCTACTCCCTCCCCACTGATCTCAACCCATCTCCAAAGGGAAATGCATTAGAAAGGTCACCAGAGAGGACCTCAGCTTCCTGGTGTGGTCTGCCCTTATGAAAAGGTGCCTTCATTTCTGCCTCATCCTGTGCAAAGATCATGCAGAGCCATGGGAAGCCTCTGCCAATCTGGGAAGCTAGGGAGACAGAAGAGGGACCACATCTAGTACAAAAAAAAATAGGGAATCATGTGGAAGCAGAGGGGAGAGGCACCAGATGGGTGACTCGGGATGGCAGATCATATCCTGAGGGCTCTCAGCACCAAGCCTGCAGCTTATTTCGAGTCTAGAGAGGGAAGATCCCAGCTGAAGAAAACGGCAAGGGAAGGAACACTGGGAACCAGGACTGGAGCAGGAATCCAAAAATGGGAAGGCCAGTTGCTTCATGGGAGCTTTTAATGACTCTAGTTCCCTACCAACACCCCTCCCCTTCTAATTGCTTCATAGCACAAGATGGTAACCAATCTGCTCTGTTTACTCTGTTTAGGCATACATTTTAGTACTTTCTGAAACATTTCCCATAAGCTTCCCCCTGCCGTGTGCCCTCCTTGTACATTCTAGAAATTTTGCAAAGACCTAAGTCTCCTCTGGGTTCTTTCCTGACTGGAGCTGCATGCTGATTCAAGCCATATTCAGTCAGGAAGCTCTCTTCCCGTCTTTAAAACAAGAAACATCTTCTTCCAAGAAGACTGCACTACAGTTTTCTTTGTCTGTGTTGCTAACGAACAAAGAGGCCCCATTGCAAAACAGCATTTCACGAGCAGAGCAGGGCTGATAGCACCTCTTGCCAAATGTGACTGTGTGTAGTTGTGTGGGGGGAAAATAGCTTTGTCGAGAGGAGGGCCGAGGGAGGCGGCTCTGGGGAATTTTTAGCAACTGCAGCATGGTGTAGTGGAAAGAATGCTTGCCTGGGAATTTGGCGACCTGGCCGTACCTCTGACACACCATGTGACCTTGGACAAGTCATTTGACCTCCCTGGGCCTCAGTTTCCTGATCTTTAAAGGGGATGAGGGAAGTAGACTGGATGATCTCCAAGGATCCTTTCAGCCCTATGCATCCTCACTTCTGGGGGCTGGGATTTGGGGTTTAGACCTGAGCCAATATCCAATTCAAGAGACTTTCTAGAGGCAAGAGAGAGGCCAGGACAGCTGCTTCGGGAAGTGGCTGGTCCTTGATTAAGGCTCAAATAATTAGCTCAGCTCCACAGTAAGCCTTCTGAAATTAAGAAAAAAAAAGATGTTTAGTTTAAAAAAATAGCAGTCGGTGTTTCTTAAAACTGATTGGCTTGGGGCTTTGTAGGTTTTATTCAGAGACATAATTTTGCTTCCTCTATAGTACAGCAGTTTAGATTATTGATGCTTTGATGCTGGAGTTAGTGTGACCTGGTTTTGAATGCCATTAGTAGCTAAGTAATCTTAGGCATGGTCTTTAATAGTAACCTGCTTCCCTGGCTTACTAGGAAGATCAAATGAGGTAATACATGTCAAGCTTAGAGGACAGTGTCTGGCATTAAATAATCACTCCAAAAGCCATTATTATGGCTATATTTTGCTGCTTAACAATCCACCCCAAAACTTAGTGTTCTAAAGTGACAACCATTTTATCATGCTCAATGATTCTCTACGTCGTAGTGCAGTAGAGATGGCTTATTTCTGCTCCATACAGTCTGAGGCATCATCTGCAGAGTCTGGAATGACCAGGAGAGACTTGAATACCTGGGTGCTAGAATCCCCAGCAGGCTGTTCACTCACATGTCTGGCACCTAGGCTGGGATGACTTGAAGTCTGGGCTCAGCTGGGACTGTTGAGCAGGGTGTCTACACATGTGACCTCTATGTGGCTTGAGCTTCCTCACAACATGGTGGCCTCTGAGTAGTCTAACTTCTCACATGGTTGCTCCACACTCTGAGAAGAGGTGTGCAGCAACTCAGAACAACTCAGAAGTAGCATGGCTTTTTATGAATGGACTTAAAAGCAACATAGTACCCCTTCTGCTCTGCTCTGTGGCTCTGAACAGTACAAGCTTGCCCACATGCAAGGGTAGGGGTCATCTCTCCATGTAAGAAGTCTCAGAAGTTGCAGCTGTGTTTTAAAACCTCCACAGCTATATAGTTATGATCATCATTTTTCTGTACCATATAATCTAATCTCTTAAGTAGACAAAAAGTTCCTTGAGGACAGGAGCTGGCATTTCTCTATAGAAGCTTAGTACAATGCTTGTGAAAATAAGACAAAATCAACATATTTTCAAAAATCAAATTGAATTGGATAGGCAGCAGATTTGGTGGAAAGACCAGGAGCTTAGCGCCAAGGAGATCTGGATTCAAAAATCTGTATTCAGGCCCAGGTGCAGTGGCTCACACCTGTAATCCCAGCACTTTGGGAGGCTGAGGTGGGAGGATCAGTTGAGCCTATGAGTTTGACACCTACCTGAGCTACATAGTGAGACCCCATCTGTACAAAATATAAAGATAACAAAATTAGCTTGGCATGGTGGTACACAACTGTGGTGCTAGCTACTCAGGAGGCTGAGGTGGGAAGGATAACTTGAGCCCAGGAGGTCAATCTGCAGTGAGCCATGATTGCACCACTGCACTCTATCCTGGGTGACAGAGTGTGACCCTGTCTCCAAGAAAAAAAAAATCTGTGTTCAAAATGTGCCCTTTGAAAAATTACTTGTCTTTCTCATAAAAAAAAGACATAAAGACAATAATACTTATCTCAAGGATTGTTGTAAGAACTAAGGATAGTAAATGCAAAATGCCTAACACACATTCAATGCTCTAACTAAATTACAGATATTGTGAGGTAGTGTAGCATTGTGGCAAGCACCTGGATACTCCACTCAGACAAACCTGGTTTCAAATTCCATCACTTCTCATTGTGTGAATGTAGATAAGTCCCTTCATCTCTTTGGGTCTCAGGATCCTCATCTGTAAAATGGGTACTATAGTAACTGTCTTGTAGGGTTATTGTGAAGATGAGGAATGCTTCTGTCTCAGACCCTGACACATAGTAGGGACTTAAAATGGTACCTATATTAGCCACAGTTAACAATTTGTGTTCTTTTGTTTGTATATTGATTTGTCCATGAATTTATGCACTGAACAATGACTCATGCAATGCTAATAACTCACAATGGCTTCATTTTTCAAGTTTCTGCATGGTAGTGTCTGCTGATGCCTAGATCTGGGAAGATACCCTCATGGGATAGAGAACTAGCCCTTTGGAAAGGAGCTCAGGGTCCCAGGTAAGCTGCCCGGGACAGTACACTATTTTGACACATCCACAGCTGAGTTTTAATTGTCCCTGTTGGCTTTTGACCCTAGAGATCCCCTGGCTTCCTCCAGTTATAATCGTTTTGCTCAGAGGTTCACATTTTCTTTCCTCACCGGATAGATCCTGTCCCTTGCTGCTGTGCAGCCGTGGGCAAACATGTTAGCTCTTACCTTGTGTCTGTTTTTTGTCAGTGCCTTTTTTTTACAGCATTGTTTTATTGGCTGAAATTCAGCAAACTATACCAGCCTTGTCTTTGTGGTGTCAAGCCAGGTCACGGGGGTTCACTTTCCCGGGTAGTTCCTGGGACCTGAAGCTCTCTTAGGAACCATTGACTACGAGCTTCTCCTTTTCTTCCCTAAGACCTCCCAGGAGCCCCAACCTTACCTTTTCTGTTTTTTAAGAGTCTAAATAATCGGATAAAAGACATTTACCTTGTCTTTAGAAAAATGCACAGACCTCACAACATTTCGCAAATGATTTTGAGGCCATTCAGTGGCCACTTCTCCGGTGGCATATTTCTTCTGAATGATCCTTGTCTGTATTAGTGATTTTGATTGGATGAACCTTTGGATTTTTGCTGAGTTTGACTTTGGGATCATCATGTGGCTGTGAAATTGTCATAAGTCCCTCAGTCCCCTCCATTGTAGTAGACATGCATTGTTTTCTGGCTGCCTAAGACCCATTCACTCTTTCTTCCTAGCAGCAGCCTTTCTTTCATTATTGGGATGTCATCTTCTGCACCCATGGGATACAGCCTGGTAGATTTTTGATCAGGGCTCTTGGCCTCTCCTAGTCAAAGGCTAAGTTTATGACCCAAGTCAGGTCAATTGGATCCTTTCTTTCTGGAACTGGAATCTTGACCAGAGGAACAAGGAGATTGGACATAATGGTTTTCCATTTCATCTAAGCACTTTCAAAAGCATAGACCAGACTATGCCTGCTTCCCTCCCACCCCGCCAAGACCTGTTCTTAAGATGCTCATTGAATCCAGGAGTTCTTGATAGCTTTCTAGAGAATTCCCTTTCACTCAAGTTCATAAGATTGCAACCAAATTTCCAAATGAGTGAGAAAGCCACAAACAACAAACTTCTGGGGAGAAAATGGCACAATGAGAAAGATTATGCGTGGCCTTTGGAGAAAGGCAGACCAGGTTTGAATCACAGTTTTACCATTCACCAGCTGGGTGCCCTTAGGCAAGTTCATTTTTCCCTTAGGATGTCAGCATCATTGTAAAATAAGGATAATGAGTCCTGAAGCCCTGGTTCTCAAACTTGCCTGCATATTGCAATCATCTGGGGAGACTTAAAAAATTACTGATGCCCGGGCCAATCCCCAGAGAGTGTGATTTAATGATTTGGGGGTGCTTTTTGGATGTTGGGATTTTGTAAACCTTGCAGGTGTTTCTGATGTACAGCAGTGTTTGAGAAAATTGACCTCAAGAAATTCTTCAAATTATAGGGAAGAATAAATGAGGTAAGATATGTAAAACATTCAGCATAATGTAAGGATGATAAAAGTCACTCTGTTCTCCTTTCCTGTCCTTTCTTAAGGTGAACCAGAATCGCTTGCTGTTGCTTCTAGCACAGTTTTCTTTGTTTGGAGTAGTCATAGCAATGCATGACAACCACGATGCAATATAACCTCACTTATTTATCCCATTATAGGTGAAGGACAATCATAAATGTAGCCAGAATTATAGAATATACAAAAATGTGATTACTTTCACATCCCTGGAATAACTAGGGCGAGTTCAACAATCCTTTGTGAGAACGTTCTATGGAGTAACTGCTTTAATGGAGAGACATAATTGATTTATAATTACCATGGCAACAGCAAAATGGAGTGATGTCTTCCTGAGGGACCTGGACCAGGACCCAGGAGAATTCTCTCCTAGGTCTGCCCTGCAACTTGCTGAGTGACCTTGGCTCAGACGGTTCATCTCATAAGTCCACAGTTTCCCCAGAGCCTATTTTCTGACCTGTGCATCTTCAACAGATTTTTTTGAGGGAAATATATTGAGGTGACAGTTGCTAAGACAATGACGAGAAGAGGCTGTAGGAGGCAGAATGAAAGCAAGGCCTTGAGCCTCATAGAGGAGATAATTATAGATGCTGGTTCTCCCACCTGCCGGCTTCTCCCATATCCAACAAAACCTATCCAAGTCTCTATCTTCAAAAAGTTCTTTCTGTAGAGAGGATGCAAGGGGAAACTTCCACGTAGCTCAGGCTTTCTCACTTCAGTACTATTGACATGTTGGGTTGGATATTTTTGTTGTTTGGTGGGCTGTCCTGTTCATTATATTTAGCAACATTTCTGACCTCTTCTTCTTAGATTCCAGCTGTACCCTTGTTTCATAACAACTCAAAAATGTTTCCAGACATTGCCAAATGTCCCCTGGGGGGGAAAATTACCTCTGGTTAAGAAACACTGGCTAGCCCAATGTCAATGAAGTATGCTTAAATTAATAAAGCAACATAATTGTGTGCACACAGTGTTTAATCTCTGTAGTGCCCTCAGAAATTTTTGCAGATGTCCATGGAGCAGAGATGGTTATCAGGAATCTTTACATCCATTGTTTCAGGTGGGGGTTCTGAGTTACAGAGAAGTTAATAGTAACAGTAATAACGACTAATGCTATTGGCTCACATAATTTTTTTGTGTCCATTTCCCCCCATCAATTATTTATGTATTTATTTACATACATATATGCATACAACACAGTGTGGTTTTAAGAAAGGAACCGCAAATACAATAGCCTAGAGGAACTGGACAGATGAGATCAATGAGCAAAGCTGGGTCGAGTTGAGACAGATTCTTGCTCTGTTGCCATGCTGGAGTGCAGTGGCGCCATCTCGGCCTACTGCAACCTCTGACTCCCTGGTTCAAGTGATTCTTCTGCCTCAGCCTCCCAAGTAGCTGGGATTACAGGCACCCGTCACCACGCCCAGCTAATTTTGTATTTTTAGTAGAGACGGGGTTTCACCATGTTGGCCAGGATGGTCTCGATCACCTGACCTCATGATCCGCCCACCTTGGCCTCCCAAAGTGCTGGGATGAGCCACTGCGCCCAGCCTCCCCCTACCATTTTATAATAAGATTAGGGGAATACATATACAAATCTATTTCTAGTTTCTTTTCTAAAATAAAATCCAGCAACAGAAGCTCAGCTTGGCTCTATGGCAGTAATTGACTGGCTTTTATGTAGATGGGGTGTGTCTCCATTTCACTGCAGTCCCTACCACTCCCTATTGTGACCCCAACACTGAGACAGTACGTCAGCTGCCATTTGACATTATGTTTATTGTCTTTTGCTTGACCCAGCTTTGCTCATTGATCTCATCTGTCCAGTTCCTCTTGGCTATTGTATTTGTGGTTCGTTTCTTAAAACCACACTGTGTTATATGTATGACTGTTCTCGTTTTAAAAATAGAAAAACTGAGGCTCAACAAAAGAAAAGCTATTGCCCAAAGTCACACAGCAAGTCATCAGCAAAGCTGGGAGGGAGACAGACCTGAGCTTCCTACCTGGCCAGCAAAGCCCTGCCCAGCATCACAGAACAGCCACTGGTAGAGTCTCCCTGCATTCCGAGATGCTCCAGCCAGATCTTCTGCACCTTAGAGTTTCCTTGAAGAACCAAATCTCAGTGTCCCTTTTGCTCACCAGGAAACCCACATGTCACCAGAATGGCAAGAGTGTCCTCTGAGTGTAGCTTCCCAGACTACATTTTTCCTGCGTCTCTGCCACTCTTTGGGCTGTGTCCAAGGGCTGCTCACACACTCCCACATAGCCGAGGGGCCAGCTGGTGTGTGTGCTTCTGCCTGAGACGAGGCCGCTTGCCTGTGGGGAGGATGTGATTGCTTTAGGAAATTAAGTGGGAGTGATTAATTAGGAAATGTACTGAGGATGCTGGAAAGAAATAGCAGAAAAGAAAAAAAAAATTGGAACCCTCAATACCAAATGCTTCTGGCCACATGGCTAAGGATACTGCACTCAGTGGGACCAAAAGCATTTGATCCTGTTATTTCTGATGCTGCTGCTTTGATAGCACCTCCTTGCATGAGGATTTTGGAAGGAACCATAAAGTCAGCTGGTCCAACCTCTCCTTTCATTGAATGGCAAATGAAGGCACAAGGAGACCCCCAGCGGAAGCTGGGCAGCTTACAAGAAACAGCAGGACTTGGGACTCAGAAAGACCTGAGTTTGAATTCCTGATGCATCCTTGCTAGATGTATAATCCTGGGCAAATCTCCGAGTCTCAGGCTTCTCACTGTGAAATGAAGGTAGCATTGATGATTGCCAAGGATTTTTGCAAGGAATTAGTGAACAAAAGCAAGCGTGGTGACTGCTAATAAGTGACATGTGCCAGGCACAGTTTTAGCACTTTGTGATTTCTTAATTCTTACAACCATTCTGTGAGGTGGGTACTATTATGAGTTCATTTTATAGATGAGGAACAAAGGCACCAGAGGGGACATTATTTACTTCATGTCTGGAAGCTCATAAGTGGCAGAGTCAACTTTCCCATGCAATCCAATTCAAGAATTCACCTTGTCAACCACTAAGCATTCTGCCTCTTGTGCATATTATATAATTTATGGATAACATTATAAAATGAATAAAATATGAAATGTATGATATCCTTTTATATAGCTTATTAAATTATTATTTACATAATATGTTATGTTAGGTTGAACCCTGTGGAATTGGCACTTTTGTTAGAAAAGGTGGCATAGTAGTAATTTCAGAGAGTTCATCCTAATATGGAATATATGTAAGTCACAGAAATTTCTCTTTCTCTTCCTTTTCTGTATGTATGCATACAGATTCAGCTAGTTCCTAACTCAGAACCTCAGGTTTCCTCCTCCGTAAAATGGGGCTAACACTGCCTAACATAAGGTGCTGCTCTTCCATGCCAGTGAGACAGGATGTGGGGAAAGCACCTAGCCCCTTGCTCAATAAGTAGCATCTGTTGTTATTCTACACACACCTGCAGGGGTCTGCTATTTGATACTCCTTCCTTCACCACCCTTCACTCACACTTTGTTTTTGGTTAGAGAGTCTCCATGTCCAATAAAGCTTTTAAGTTACACACAGGTAAAGTATTGGGCCCAGAAGCTGTATTTTTATTTCACGGGACTTTGATATTTTCAATATGCTTCAGTGTAACACAAAGCTTCCTGTCAGGCCAAGCTGAATGCTGCCGTCTTCCCTACATGTAAGAATTACAGTGCTGCCAACATGAGATAATACCACCTTACCTAGCCTCATGGCTCATTCCTCCTGGATTTTCTCCCGGGTCCTCATGGTACAGCCCCCGTACCATGAATTCTTGGCCTGTCCATCAACCTTCTCTTTGGAAACTTTAACCAACTCCAGTGTCATCTGTGGTTTTAATGCAGTGAAAGTTCTCTGAGACCCCTTGAGCTGTGGGTTCTGGGCCTTGCAGGAGAGGCTGGTGGTGATGGCCCTGCTCTCTCCCCAAACCCCTTGCCAAAATGAGCTTTGAGGGATGGGTAGCCCATGTGAAGAAACATGGCGGAGGGGTTCCTTGTCTCAAACCTTGGCTCTGTACCTGGAAAATAATGAAGGAAATGAAGTCTGCCCTCTCATTCTGGAGCCACTTCTGTTTTCCCACAGACCTTGGGGGGTCAGAGGAAGTAGCAGAAGCAGGGTTTTCTTTGGGCCTGCGCATTAATACTGGAGCGTTACAGTAACAATAAGAGCTAACTTTTACTGAGACCTCACAGTGTGCCAGGCACTGTGCTAAGTGCCTTTATTGATTCATTTTAGTGCTCAGAAGAATAGGATTAAGTCCAAGTTAACGCACAGAGGGGATGAATAGTTTTCCCATGAATCCCCACATGGCAAGAGGCAGAACTGTAATTCAGGCCAGTCTGTTTAGCCCACTGCTTTGGTTTCTTAGTCACAACACTCTATAGCTTATCCTACTTTTCAGGTGTTACCAAGTGGGCTTCCTGATTCTAAAGCAGCAGGTTTTACTGATTTTCAGGCATGGAAACAATGCAGAAAGGTGGTACAGATGGTCGCTGGAGGAAAGCCCCCTATTTGTGATCTCAGTTGCTGCCTGGGTCTCTTCTGTGTCGCCAGGCTTCTATATGGGAGTTCCAGATCCTGTCAACAGGGGAGTCAGGGAAAAGTTGAGCAGGACATCACATCCAAAGGAATATTACAATATTGTAAGCAGGAGAGACCATTTATTCATTCAACAAAGCTATAGTCCATGCACCCATGTGCACCTCGTGCAGTGGTGAACAAGCCACGTCTTACCAATTTGCTCTTACAAAAAACAGGCTCATCACACCTACTGTGAAGGCTATAGTCAAAGAGAAAACATAACCCAGAAAATAATAAGTGTAATTGGAAATTGGAACCCTCCTACATTGCTGGTGAAACGTAAAATGGTGCAGCTGCTGTGGAAAACAGTAAGGCAGTTTCTTAAAAATTTAAACGTAGGACTACCATACGATCTGGCAATTCCAGTCTTAATTATATACCCAAAAGAATTGAAAGCAGGTACTCAAACAGATACTTGTGTGCCAACTTTCATTGCAGCATTATTCTCAATAGCCAAAATATGGAAAAAAACCCCAAGTGTCTATAAACAGATGAATGGATAAACAAAATGTGGTATATACATACAATGGAATATTATTCAACCTTAAAAAGGAATGGAGTTCTGATACATGCAACAACATGGATGAACATTGAAAACATTCTGCTGGCCACTCGTGGTGGGTCACCTCTGTAATCCCAGCACTTTGGGAGGCCAAGGCAGGCAGATCGCTTGAACCCAGGAGTTCAAGACCAGCCTGGGCAACATGGGACCTGCCTGAAACCCCATCTGTAAAAAAATACAAAACTTAGCTGGGCATAGTGGTGCAAACCTGTAGTTCCAGCTACCCAGGGTGCTGAGGTGGGAGGATCACCTGAGCCCAGGAGGTAGAGGCTATGGTGAGCCATGATCATGCCACTGCATTCCAGCCTGGGTGACAGAGCAAGACCCTGTCTCAAAAAAGAAGAAAAGAAAAAAGAAAGAAAAGAAAAGAGAGATTATGCTAAGTAAAATCACCCAAACACAAAAGGATATTACAGATTCCACTTACATGAAGTGTCCAGCATATTTCCAGAATAGGCAAATTTATAAAGACATAAAGTAGATTAAAGGTTATGATGGGCTGGGGAGGGGAGAAAGGGGAGTTAGGGCTGAATGGGTACAGGGTTCCTGTTTGGGGCAATGAAAAAGTTTTGGAAATATGTAAATGGTGATGGTTGCACCACATTGTGAATGTACTTAGTGCCACTAAACTGTGCGCTTAAAAATAGTTAAAATGGCAAAACTTATATGATGTAGATTTTACAGTTTTAAAAAATCTCATCACAAGAGAAACAAAAAGCCTGCTTTATAAAGGAGGAAAATTATAGAAATTCTTTTCTCATCCACCTCAGCCCCTAGACCTTATGTGTAGCGCACAGCCCAGCCTATAGTAGATGCACATTTCTGTTTTTGTCAAGCCTTACTGGGAACATAATCATTCTATTTGTAGTTGAAAATGGCACTGAGGCTGTTGAGTGTAAATTTTACTACCATGGCAACTGTGGAACACAAAGATGATAAATATGAACATGCAGCAATATTTTTGGCAGGTAGAGTCAGCTGGAGGTAACATGTCTCCTTGCAGGTAAGTGCAAGATTTGAGGGAGGGTAAATTGTTAGGAATTGTTACAAACTCTCAGAATCCCAACCAGGAAATATCCTCTTTGTTCCAATGAAGGGCATCCCGGCGACTCTTTGGACCAGTTGAACCAAAGAGGATAGAGGATGAAGTCCAAATTGGTAATGGACTCCAGGAATCTTTGTTAGCAGCTCTTGGAAGAAGATGGGAGGCCAACCACACTTTTCTCCGCTTATTGACGACACAGTTCAAATCATCAGGAAGAGACATTATGGGTCTACAGGTCTCCTGGGCTGTGAGCAGAGTCGCAGCTGGCATCTGGGAGAAAAAAGAAAGAAGACCACAATTTGGCCTTTAAGGAAATAGACCTGGGAGGAGATAAAAGGGAGTCATCTCACTGTGTTGTCTGATGGGCCAGAAACCCTCTTTCAGAAGAAATTGGTTTCTGAAAGCTGATGTGAATTTCGTGTAGCGTTCAATTGCTCTCTTTCTTTGTTTAGGCTTAGCTCACCATTTTTGGATTGAGGAGGCAAGACTTCGCGTCACTCCCCCGACCCATCCTACCCCACAGCCCACACACTGACATACACACAGACATGCACACAGACACATGTACACCCTTTATCACTGGCAAGAGGGACCAGTTTTACAATCCAAAAGCCTTATCTGCTGCAGGGTCCACCATCCTGACCCTAGCCCACCCATGACTTCCCTCTTCCAGGCTCAGTTCTGAGCTCCATCCCTGATATGGTTTGGCTGTGTCCCCATTCAAATCTCAACTTCAATTGTATCTCCCAGAATTCCCACCTGTTGTGGAAGGGACCCAGGTGGAGGTAATTGAATCATGGGGGCTGGTCTTTCCCATGCTATTCTCATGATAGTGAATAAGTCTCATGAGATCTGGGTTTATCAGGGCATTCCACTCTTGCATCCTCATTCATTTCTCTCTTGCTGCTGTCATATAAGAAGTGCCTTTCACCCTCCACCATGATTATGAGACTGCCCCTACCGTGTGGAAGTCCAATTAAACCTCCTTTTCTTCCCAGTCTTGGGTGTGTCTTTATCAGCGGCGTAAAAAAACAGATTAATACAATCCTTTTCCAATGCTGTATGTGACACAGCGACATCAGGACAAAGTCTGGCCCTCTGACACTGCAGCTAGGTGAACCTTGTTTGGAAAAGTCTTTAGGCAGCCTCTGAGGGAAGGCTGGGTGATTTTACAGCAGTAGAAAGGCTATGGGTTTTAGAATTAGGGCTGAACTTGAATCTCATTTTGACACTTGACAGTCGTATAACTAACTGATGGGTCACCAAACCTTAGTTACCTCATCTGTAAAATGGGTGCAGTGATACCTGTTGTCCCAGGGTTCATGTGTTCAGCACCTATGCATGAGAAGTACTTACACACCACCTGTGTGTAAGTACCAATCTCAGCAGCTACTGCTATTATGAAGGCACGTAACAACCATTTTGTGTTAATGGATCTGGCATTCGAGTGCACTGACATTTGTTGGCTTGAAAAATCTCAGCCCAGGCTAATTCTGCAGAGGTTAAGGCAGCATCAGCTGTGTGCCGTACAAAGCGCTAACGTTTATAGATCACTTATTATATTCAAAGGATCAAACTGATTTATACACATTATCATGTTTAATTCTCACAACAACCCTATGAGGTTGAACCTATTTATTACATCAAATTTCCAGAAGAAAAAGCTGAGGCTTAATGGATTTAAATGACCCACACAAGACCACCCAACTGGTAAGTATTTGAATCCAGATGGTCTGACTCCAGAGCCCAGGTGCATAACCAACACCCTGGGTGCTATGAGCAAGGAAGGAGGCTGAGCCAGGAAGATGCCAGTGTCAAGATTGGAGATGTTTTCTCACCACTCAGTCTTGGAAGCCCTTATCCTATCATGAAGATCTCCCTGTTTGCCCAGAGATTGTTGCTTTTCCAGGCTTGCCAAATCCAGTTCCCATCAGTCATGCCTGAATCAGTTCATTCTTTCCTTCATTCATTCCATCAACATTCATGTACTGAACGGCTCCCTTGCACCATGACTGCTAGTGTTGGAGATCATTTATTGGCTACTGACTAGGCCCCAGGCACTGTACTAGTGAATTTTATACATTATCTTATCTGTTTTTTATACAACTCTGCGTGGTTGGCCTCTAAAACTTAATGCTTCTTTCGATTTGACGAAATAGATGCATAAGGAGGTTAAAGTAGTTGCCTTTCATTGTCCCGAAATGTAAGTGTCAGAGCCAGGATTCAAATCCTACAAGGCTTTCATCAGCCCTAGCCCAAGGAGATGTCTTCCTTTTTCCAATTCCCACAGCATAAATCGGTCTTCTAGACTAGTGGTTCCCAACTTGAGCAGGCACCAGAATCACCTGGAGGGCTTGTTAAAACACAAATTGATAGGCCCACCTGCAAAGGATCTGACTCAGTAGGTTGGGATGAGGCCCTACAATGGGCACTTCTAGCAAGTTCCCAGGTGATGCTGATACTGCTGGTCCGGGAACCCCATTTGGGGGATTATGATGCT
This sequence comes from Homo sapiens, assembly GCF_000001405.40. Taxonomy (NCBI): domain Eukaryota; kingdom Metazoa; phylum Chordata; class Mammalia; order Primates; family Hominidae; genus Homo; species Homo sapiens. Next base: position 169,274,036 of record NC_000005.10, on the reverse strand, counting down.
GTCTGAGCTCTTTGAAGATAGGGATTCTGCCTTTGTTGTTCCCCTAGTATTGTACAGTGCCTGGTACAAGGTTGCTTGATTGTTATTTTGGATTATTTTGAATTGTTCAGCTGCACATTAACTTATTTATATACCATATTGTGTTTTTGTATCAATGTGAAGATTCTTAGGCTTTACCATTTAGGTTTTAAGCTCCTTGGGGTCAGGAATTTCACACTAAGGACCTTCTGCAGAACATTGCACACACTAGATATTTGGTAAATATTAGCTGGTCCTTGTGGCCAAAGTCCTGAAGGTTTACCTTATCTTAAGCCCAATTCAAGCTTGTAAACTCAGCCTCAAAGCATAAGTTGGTGGATGGAATTTTCCAAGACTTGCCGTTCACCTCCAACAATGATTCTCAACCCTAGCTGCACATTGAAATCACCTGGGGCCTTTAAAATAGTATGAATCCTGGTCTCTATCCCCAGAGATTCTGGTTTAGTTGGTCTGCAGTGTGGCCTGGGCAGCAAGTGTTAAAGCTCCCTCAGGTGATTCTAATTTGCAGCCAAGACTGGGAATCACTGACCTAGAGCATTTGGCTGCATGACTTTCTCCTGGGCAATTTCAGAGGCTGTGTATGTGCATACACATGTACATGTGTGCAGAGAAGTGGGAAGCTATGCACGCCTCTTGAATGTACAGAGTGATCATCTCTCTCTCTGAGATGAGGATACAAAGGCCTGGAAGCCAAGCCTCAGGTAGAAACTTGGCAAAGCCAGAGGTACTTGAGAGCATCAAGGGTGCCTGCCTCCCTCTCCTGTGGCCACCTTTGGCCGAGTGCCGGTTGCCACATTCCACGGTGAGGGGACTCTGTTTCAAGGCCAGAGGCAGGGGGTGGTGGGCTGAATGCAGGTAGTATGGCTGTTGCAAGGCCTTTTTGTTCTCTCTCGGTTCAGAAGGGGCCGCCTTCCCAAGGGCTGAGGTGTGGGCCTTAGCATTTGGCACCATGTGTGTCGGTGCTGAGTTTATTCTTGGGTTTCTTGGTGGAAACACACACGGCTACTTGAGACCCATGAGCTGGCTGAGAGCAACGGGAAAGGTCATGCCTGGGCTCCCACCCCAGCAGGTTGACTGACTCAGCACAATCCCAGTGTAATTAAGCATGACAAGAAGAGAAAGGGGAAAGGGCTGGTGCTTGCGCGTGTGCACTCAGCCCAGGTCCCGGGGGCCCAGAGGATTCAGAAGTGCCAGCTGCTCTCAATTTTACTGGAGCCAATGTTTGGCTCACCTGCAGCCACCTCCATCTCTTTTTCCCTGGGAGCTGGGGTCAACTTCAGTAGACCTGCAGGATCAAGTCTGGCAGAGGGATGATGGGGTGAGTGCTTCTTGTTCCCTTCCCTTCTCGTTTCTCTTCTCACATGGTCTTGGAAGCTGTGAATGAGAGACACGATCACATCAGTGCATTCAAATCCCCCACTGTTGTTTAAGCAGTAGCCTGGGCAAGGCACTGTGCTGGGCACCAGAGTGAGGACTGATTCATGGGCTTGGTTTCTTTCCTAGCAGAGCTTTTACGCTAGGTTGGAAAACATTTCATAATTATGAAGTCTGCAGTTAGATCCAATTACCTACCTGGGCCAGACAGGTAATATAAATGGGTGAATTGGGCTGCTTGTGAAATCTTAGGAAGTAACAGGGACCTTGATGAACTAGGGACTGCATGCCCAGCTGCTTGCAGAGCCAACATTGCGTAAGCAGCCGAGAACATCTCCAGAGTAGAACTAGGCAAATCAAAACTTAACCTGGGATTGTGGGTCAGGGTGGAGGTGTGTGGTCAGGTTGCAAACGGAACAGGGACTCTGCCCTCCAAATGTGACATGAAGGTCCATTTCTCTCCTGTCCTTTTACAAGCAAGGGAACTGAGGGATGGAGAGAAGGGACGAAGTCAGATCCCCAGCCCCCTTACCCATGGGCCTCCTATAGCTCAGGCACTGCCCAGGCAGAGAATGTTGACATGGAGAGCTTGATGGGCTTCTGCCCCTGCACCTGCCCAGTTTCCCCTACTCTCCTCTGTACCCACTTGCCTGCTTTTCCCCAGCACTGTGCTCATTTGCCCATTACGAGTCTATGGACCCAGATGTCCCTTGGGATACCCTGGAAGCCTAGTCTGTGGTCTCAGCCTCAGAGCTCTACCCCATAATGATAGGGTCTACGGCAAGGCCTCTGTAGATAAAGAGGCCTGTATCTGCCCCAAGGGTTCTTCCTCTGAGAGGCTAAAGGAGACTTGGACTCATGGAATGGGAGTGGCAAGTGCTTTTCTCTGGAGTTTGAAGCACTCTGTAGCTTCCAGGGCTTTCTTGCTTCTGGTGTGATGCTATTTTGAGCATCTCTGTCTATATATATAGGATACTCCCGCAGTTGTTTTCTTTTTAATTGTCCATCCACGTGCTTGTGTTTTCCACAGAATATGTTGCGGTGAAATTGTTCCTGCAAAGCCCCTGCCTCCTTCCTGAAACCCTCTACCCCCTCGCAATGCCCCGTGCACCAGCACCGTGGCCCCAGGCCACGTCAGAGTAAACAAACCACAGAATAAAATTGCAGCCATTCAAGAGAGGAGCCTTTAATTTGAGCTTAAAATAGCCCACTGTCTGAGAGTTTGAGGGACCAGGAGCAAGGTGTAATCGCAGGAATGAGCGTAGGAGACTCATCTCAGGATGACTGAGAAGGGGCCGTGAGCTGGGAGAAAGGCAGGCATGGGGATTGTGGGTTGCACTGGAGCCCCCTATAGCTTATTCGAAGTTAGCCTCTTTCATGATGGAGTAGCACATGACATGGCAATAAAAATACACAGGACCTGCTGCCTCCATCTGGAATGCTTGTCTGCCCTCCTGCCTTTCCTCGAAACTATGAGCATCATTGTCATATCACCTACAGTCAGGACCACAACATTGCTGAATTCCTGGGCCACCATTCACATGATGTACTCCAGGTGTGCCATTTTCACTGTATACTGTTGAACGATGCCCCCTGGAGTTGTGTGAGCAGCAATACTGGCAACAATAAGAGCAAAGAGATGGAGCACTTATGAGCTAGGCATTGTCCTAGCCGTTTGACATGTATAACCTTGCCTAGTTCTTAACCCAACCTAAGGAAGAGGACACCCATTTTATAGATTATCCACATACTACAGATAAGGAAATAGAGGCACAGAGAGTTAAAATAACTTCCCCAGAGTCATGTTGCTACTTCTGTCCCCCAAGTGCAGAATAAGCTTCAGTCTGATGCAGAGTGAGAACCCACACTTTTAACCATTATGTTTCATCCACCATACTATTGTTGTGCTTGTTATTCTTATTTTTTTGACTGCCGCTTTCTTGTTTTCGACCCTCCTAGACTATATAAGCGCCTAGATCAGGGTCAGCAGACAGCCATGTCATACATGTATATTTAGGCTCTGGGTCTCTCAGTCTCAGTGGCAGCTACACAACTCTGCCCCTGTCGCGTGAAGGCAGCCATAGACAATGTATAAACGGATCAGTGCGGCTTGGTTCCAAGAAAACTGTATTTATGGATACTGAAATTTGAATTTCATATAATTTTTATGTGTCATGAAATATTATCCTTTTGATTTTTTCCAACCATTTAAAAATATAAAAACCATTCTTGGCTCCCAATCCATATGAAAACAGGCAGTGGGCCGGATCGGGCCTGTGGGCTGTAGTTTGCTGACCCCTGTCTTGGTGTGCGGGGATATGGAGCGTGATGTATTTATTTTAATCTGTGCCTTCTTAGGATTAGACTCGGTCCTGGCACTAAGTTGCCATTCATAAACGCTGATTGAATGAATTACTGTATACTCTTTCAGGTGTGCTGGATGACTTGGGGACACTGCTGCTTTTTGAGGAAAGAGTAAAAATTTTTCTGAGCAAGGGATGAGAATCCAATCTTTGTGGCAATGGCTGAGGAGAGGGCGGGAGCCTCCCTCTTGTGGGTCTTCATGGATGTTTGTAAGAGTAAAGAGAATTTTCATTTTTATGTAAAGTGTAGAGATCTATTTTTCACAAACAGACCTACAGAACGTGATTTGTAATAGGAAACAGATTTCCCTCCCCTTAAGATAAATGGAATGTCCCCACCTCCCAAACTGAGAAGAGAATTGTTTCCTCCTTGCAAAGGAAACAAATTGGATTCTCAAAGGAATAATCAGAAGTTTTAAAAATTGTCATAATAAGCAAGATATGGTTTCATGGATGATGAAAGGATGTTTGTCTTCGTTGGGAGTGGACATGAAGTTTTGGTTGGAGAGGCAGTTGGGCCCTTCTCCCTCCCTAATTCCTGCCCCTTGGCATTTTATCAGTGCCACATGGGAGAAGTGGCTTCTGCCTGAATGGGGTTGGTGGTCCCACTCTGGTCCCACTGTCAGACTGCATTCTCTTCCTTTCCAAATCTTCATCACTCTACTGAAGTAGGTCCCCATTCCTCAGCCAAGCTTCCTGACAGCTGCAGTTCATTTTGATCCATGGGAGAGGGTATTACAGATGGGAGAGTTGCCTGAGCAAAGTCATGGGGCTTGGAATGAGCCTGGTGAGTGCAGAGGATCTGCCTGGCTGTTTGGGGACACATTTCTAGGCAGCTGGGGCATTAGTTTGAGGCCTCTCATGTCAGTAAAGGTGGAGAACCATAGAGAGTGGAGGAGCCCAGTGCTAAGCACCTGGCCAAAGACAGCATCAGCTGTGTCTTGGGCCAAGGCCGGTTGCGTGGAGTCAACAAGAGTTGGTATATAAGTCAGAGTGGTTAAGGAGAGGGAGGACCTGCAGTCATTGGATCCAAAGGGTTTACCTCCCTAGTTCTTCCCTGGGTCCTGGAGACATGAAGGTGAACCCCCACAGCCCTTGCCCTTATTGCTTACAGGCTAATAAAGGAGACAAGCTGGGCACCTTCAAGTCCCTGAGAGTTTAGAGCAAAGAGCAGGGAGCTCAGACCATCCAGGCCTGTCCTCCAGAATCATTACTCCGTGGATAATACTTTGAAGATGTGTGAATTGGGGCAAGTTATTTAACCTCTCTGGACCTCACTTTCCCATAAATACTATTTTTGGCTTTCATAATAACATACGATGATGGTGATAATAAGAGTGTCCCCCTTATAGGATTCCTGTAATATTTCAGGGGAGATGAACAGTGCCTGATATGACATGATAAATCAATACGTGGGAAAACCATTATTAATTGTTATTTTTATAGTTTTCCAGCAGTACAACTTTTTAAAAAATTTATAAAATGCTTTGTCTTGCATTGGCTCACTTGAGCATCTCAAAAACCCTCTGAGGTTCTGCAAGTGCTGCTAACCCATTTTGCAGATAAGGGTGGTTTGCCCAAAACACACGAGTAGTAATGAAACTGGGACTGGAGGCCTGATGCTACAGCTGCTGTCCAGTGTTCCTCAACTCCGTGCCCTGTTGCCTTCTCTCATGGATATGGGGGCTGTGTCTGCTCTGTGGGTGATGCCCAGATGTGTAAGAAAGGTTCTCTGCTTTCAAGGAGTTTATATCTCATTCAAATTGGAAGAGCCTTGATCTGGAAATTGGAGAGTTCCGCCTGCAAGTGAGGGCCACTTCTGCTGTCTCCAGCAAGGAAAGACAGGCAGGAAAATGACTGGGAGTCTTATGTGGTGCCATCAGATGACATTCAGAATTTCCTTGGGTCGAACCTGCAGAGACCTGTCTCTGATTTCCTGCGTGTCACTCGGCAAATTCCCTCCATGTGTGAAATGAGCAATGAAGCTAACTCTCTGGTGCATGGTGTTAGCACCAAGTTGCATCACATTCCCCCCTCCGCCACTCCTCCTTCGCAACAGACCTTAACGTTATTCTGTGATTACTTCGCATCATCCTTCCCAAATGTGCATCAAATTAAAGAGTTATTAGGGCATGGCAGGACATGTTTATGGGGAAGAATTTCCTTTAAAGTCACAGCTCAGCCTGAACTCACTTTATTAGTGTTTATACAAAGTATGTAGCCTGTTCCAATGCAGTCCATGTTTATATTCCTGCAGCAATCATTGCATTCCTTGGGCTGTTCCTTCGTTTTCTTAAAGTGATTACTGCACCTATGTTAAAAGTTAATAGTGTATGTGCTCTGTGACTGGTTGGACTTGGGAGGTGGGCACCATTCAGAAAATGACACTTAACCAAGATGTGTCCTGCAAATAGCCATAGACTTAGAAGTGGTCTTCAGCCCAAGTGGACAGGAAGAAGGTCTCCTTAAGAACAAAGACATGGTGGGCAACCAGGCCCCATATGAGTATTTCCATTGTCACCCACTCCTGTTGCCGATATTTTGTGGCTCAAGCTGGGAATGACCATTTGTGTTGATCTGATCTTTGCCTGTTTCTGTGGTATAATTATTAATGACTTCCCCTTTAACTCACAAAAGTATTCAAGTTTGGATAATCATATGGTCATTCCAATTCTAACTGATACCCAGATTTACTGGTATAAGTGAAGTACATCAACTTTAGATCTCAAGCCATTGTCAATTAAGGGCAAATGTAACTCAGTTAAAACTGTCAATAAAGAGCTCAAGTTAACATCAGTCATTCAACAGATATTGATTTGTGCCTTTCATGTGCCAGGTATTGTGCTGAGCCTTAGGGATTCAAACATAAATCAGATATGGCCCTGGAGCCCAGTAAGTTGGAGCTTATTAGTTTAGCTAAACTTTTTGAGTATGTTACTAAAATTCTCTGACCAGGTCATTTCAATTTCTCTTTCACCCTTTAGGACTCTATATTTACTTGCTGCAAGTTGATTGCTAAATTTTCAGCCACTAATCCTTGTTCATTTGGTACTTCTCAGCTTGTGACCATAGACAGGTGTCTTAATCTCCCTGTGCCTCTATTTGTTCAATCATAAAATGGGACTAATAAGTAGCATCAACCTCATAGGCTGGTTGTGAGGATTAAAAAAGGCCCCAAATGTGAAGTGTTTAGCATAGTCCTTGGCACATGGTAAACACTCATTGTAGATTGGCTCCTGCATAGTAAATAGCAGAAAGTTATTTGGACCTTAATGTTGGTTGGGTGCAGCATTTGTACCTCTATTGACCGGAGTTAAGTGGCCTTCTTAAAAACATTGCTTAAGGTAATATGTGTTAGGATCCAAAGCCAGTGAGAATTATTGTGACCCTAGGGGATCAGTTTATTTTCCTCCTTTTAAAGATGAGGAAGGAAAATTTTACAAAGTCATGCTCTGGATTATCATGGATGAAGATCATGGATGCTTAACTTGGGCCATTCTTTCCTACTATGCCGTATTGCTAGGTGTATCAGTTAGCATAGACAAGGCTAAGCTGCAGCAACAAATAAGCCCAGATATATCAGTAACAAAACAATATAAAGCTGTATTTCTTCCTCTTCCTCCCACCCACCCAGTCCAGTAGAGCTGGTCTGGGTGGTGGTAGGTGGCTTATGATCCATATTGTCACTTAGGAACCCAGGCTGCTTTCCTCTGGGGGACCCCTCCATTTATGACACATGATCTCTACATGCCATGAAGACAAGAAAGGGAAGGAGAGTGTCATGCTTGCAGGATGTTTTATAGCCTTGCCTGGAAATGGCACGTATTATTTCCACCCACATTCCTTTTCTTCAGAAATCAGCCACATGGTCCCACTTAGATTCAAAGGGCACAGGAAATTTAATCTTGTTGTTTGCCTAGGAGGAAAATGGAACAGTTTGGTGAACACAGAGCACTATCCTTGCCATACCGTATTCCCTACATTTCTTGCCACATTTCCAAAGGTTGGCCCCAGTCTCTTCTAGGATTTGTTTCCTGCCTCCCGGTGATTGGAGGAGCCATTTTATCATGTGCTCTCCTATGCAGTGCAGGGAAGTGTTTTGAGAACAGGCCTTGCAAGGAGTTTGGAAGGGTTTGAGATTTCTGGGCATGATAAGGGAAATAAAAGGTGAAACTTTTGGACTGATAGTCGCCACCTGGAGGTTAGTGCTGAGAAAAGAATACGTTGCCTTAAGTCATTACAGGAAGAATTTAGGAAGAATTTTTTATTTCTGAGTGTGTTGGCTGGGTTGTCCTCTGTGTGACAGGAAGGAAGCACTGTCTCTGCAGATGCTTTGATGTGCCTGAAGTGGATGAAGGAGATTTGGGGTGGAGCTGTGGATTTGACCAGGTGCACCTTTGTGTTAGAAGCACGGAGGTCCTGCCAACATCATCATCTTACTTGTGCTCACATTTTGCCTGAATAATAATCAGCCAATTGATGGTTACTTCTTGAGTACTTACTGCATGACCAGCCCTGGGCTAGAATCACTTTATACGTATCATCTCATTTAATTCTTGCAGTATCCTAGGAGGTAGGTACTGTGATTATGGCCATTTAAGATGGAGAAACAGAAGCTTAGGGATGAGTTAAATAACCTGCCTAAAATCATGCTCTATTTGCTAAGATTTGAGCCCAGGCTATCTGATTCTAGGGCCTGCCACCTTAAGCGCTATGTTTGGCAGCAGGGATCTCAAACTCTGATGCGAAAAAAGATTAAGCAGGTAACTTGAGTGAGGGAATTGGATCAGGTGGACTGGTGAATTGCAGGCATGTACCTTATGCAAAGTGGGCAATTGCCTCTTAGTACCAGCTTATGATGGCCACTAAAATCCATTGTTATTTGATGGACTGACCTTTGGAGACAAGCCAGAATTGTAGATTTGTATTTGAAATGCTCCCAAATTGGCAATTAATTTGCATATGTGAAAATCACAGTGAGAACCAGACTACGCAGGTCTGCAGGCCAGAACTCACCGGTGGGCTACCAGTTTGCAAGTTCGTCTCTGCTGTTCCCAGTAAAGAGCTAGTTGTACGTTTTGTTTGTTTGTTTGTTTGTTTGTTTTTGAGCATGGAGCTGAACTGAGCAAAACAGGGGCAGGGAGTCCTCCTGGTGCAAGGGATGAAGGAAAAGAGACCCCATGCCCAATACTCCTCTTTACATGCCCTCACCATGACCACATCCAACCACCCGGGTTGCCCCTCTGTTTGGCCCATTCTTCTCCCTGCAGGTAGCTGTCTGCACAGGGCTGGCTGCAAGCTTTTGCAGGTGTAAAATTATATATGCGAGAGTGTTGCCAAGCCAAAAATTTAGCCCAGAGAGGCTTAGTTCCCAAACAACTGAGGTAGTGTGAAGCCAGTTTTTAAAATCAAATTCAGCTCATTTCTTTCCCAAATGCGTGTATGTTTTTAAACTTGCATGTGGTTATGTAACAGATGAGAACGAAGTGCAAAAATCAGAATAGTTAATAATGCCTCCTGTGGTGTGAGTCTGGAGAGGTAAAGCATGAGATGGGAGCCCTATAAGGGTGGCCCAAAGGGAAACACTGCTCTCCTTGACCTGGTAGGAAGGTGATTTGATGGTTTTCAAACACATGCTGTTTCTCTCTTTCATCAGGGTAGCTGGGTGGGTGGCATTAGGTCCTTTGGACTGGGGAGAGGAGACAGAGGAAGACACCCATTAGGACCGCCTGATGTGAGCAGTTTCAGAGGTCTGCCCTTGGGCTCATCAAAAAGCATCTTCCGGCCAGGCACGGTGGCTCACGCCTGTAATTCCAGCACTTTGAGAGGCTGAGGTGGGTTTGAGGTCAGGAGTTTGAGACCAGCCTGGCCAACATGGTGAAACCCTATCTCTACTAAAATTAGCCAGGCATGGTGGTACATGCATGTAATCCCAGCTACTCGGGAGGCTGAGGCAGGAGAATCCCTTGAACCCAGGAGGTGGAGGTTGCAGTGAGCCGAGATTGCACCACTACACTCCAGACTGGGAGACAGAGCGAGACTCTGTCTCAAAAAACAACCCCCAAAACCAAAAAGCATCTTCCTTTGGCTAAATGGCTAAAATTCCAGAGTCTTGAATGGCTTAAACTCTGCATGGTCACTTTATCTATGGGGAGAGTCTTAGGTTAACTGGACTCCTTTTTTCAGTGGTTTTTTTTGGAAGGTAGGAGGTATATTGAATAATACATGTTTACTCCAGAAAACATTGATAATACTGATAAGCAAAATGTAAAATGTTTAAAAAAAAAAAACCCCGTTTCTCCACCCCGAGAAACCTAGTGTACATTTTTCTGAGTGTCTCCATGAGGCCTTCATCCAAGGTGTCTGGAGGAAGTTGGGGAGTATCCTCTTCAAGGTCCTTTGGGAGACAAGGCAGACACACAGGAAACAGGCAGCAGCAAGGCAACGTGATGAAAGACCAAAATGAGTTGTGCAGAGAGAGGGTAAATGATCCAGAAGTTCAGAAGTTCAGGGAAGGGAGAAGCCAGCACGAGATGGAGCAGCTGGGGGAGGCTGCAGGGGGAGTGTGGGGTGTCTGTGCTATGGCAGCCCTAGCACACAGATACGCCCAGAGAAAGCCTGAACGTTGGGCGTATCTGTATGCTAGGGCTGCTGTAACAATGTACCACAAACTGGGTGCCTTACAACAGCAATCATCCTTTCAGACTTCTGGAGCCTCGCAATCTGAAATTGAGGTGTCATCAGGGCCAGGCTCCTTCTGAAATCTGCAGGGGAGGGCCCTTCCTTGCTCCTTCCTGGCTCCTGGGCTTGCCAGCAGCCCTTGGCATTCCTTGGTTTGTAACTGCATCACTCCAGTCTCTGCCTCTGTTGTCACACGGCACTATACCTGCATGTCTGTCTCGTCGTCTTTTTATTATTTTTCAGAGACAGGGTCTTGCTCTGTCACTCTGGCTGGAGCAGTGCAATCATAGCTCACTGCAGCCTCTGCCCCCCTGGGCTTAAACAATCCTGCCACCTCAGCCTCCTGAGTATCTGGGACTATAGGCAAGTACCACCATGCCTGGCTGGTTTTCTCTTTTGTAGAAATAGGGTCTTGCTATGTTGCCCAGGCTGGTCTCAAACTCCCTTCTGGCCTCAAGTAATCCTTCTGCATCAGCCTCCCAAAGTGCTGGGATTATAGGTGTGAGCCACTTTGCTCAGCCCTGTCTCCTCTTCTAATAAGGACACCAGTCCTATTGGATTAGGGTCCACCCTAATGACCTCAATTTAACCTGATTACATCTGCAAAGACCCTACTTTCAAATACGATCACACTCATAGGTAGCTGGGGTTAGGACTTCAATATATCTTTTGAGGCACACAATTCAGCCCATAACAGAGCAGTAGGATTTAAATGGACGCAGGACTTTGAGGGCTTCTGAGGCCAGCATACAGACAGCAGGAACATATGTGCCAATGAAGTGCCTAGCACAGTTCCTGGATCTGATAGGTGCTCAATACATGTCTGTGGCTATAAAGAAGAAAGAATTAAATGAGGCAAGCTGAGGGCAGTAATGAGAACCCCCTTCTTATTGAGCTGTGGAATGAAATTGACATTTGGGGGAAATTAATCTGGCAGGATTGATGGCAGGGGAATGAGGCTGAGGGCTCTTAAATTGGTGGTTTCCTTGCTCGGCCCCTTTTATGGTTCCAGTCCCCAAGCATGTTGTCAGCCCCATAGATGCCTCACAGCCTGGACACCACCTGCCTCTGTGATCCCATTTGGTGTCACTCTGCTGCCGTCACCTGGACCTTTTTGTTTCCATTCTTCCACCTGGAAACGTCTCCCTTCAGCCTGTCCTTCAACTGGATCCTTCTTTTCCTTCTAGTCTCAGACCAAATCTCACTCTCTAAGAGAGGTTCTTCCTGGACACCCTAGGGAGGGCAGTGCCTTCACTGCCTCTCACCATATCTTTATTCTCTTCACCTCACCCTGTACTGTTTCCTAGCTATGCCCATATTGCAGTCTGTAGTCTCCTTGTTTATTTGTGGTGGCCTATCTCCCCCTGTGTTTTTTATTGTCATATAATGATAGCAAACTTCGTGGCTTAAAACAACAGGCATTCAGCACCTTCCATTTGTCTCGGCCCTCTGCTTCAGGGTTTCATAAGGCTGCACACAAGGGTTTGGTTGAGGTTGTGATCTCATCTCAAGGCTCAACTGGAGAAGGACCTGCTTCCAAGCTCTCAAGGTTATTGGGATAATTCAGTTCCTTGCAGTCTATTAGAAGGCTTCAGGTTCCTGCTGGTTGTCTTGAATTCTTGGTTGGTTGTGGGTAGAGGCTGCCTCCAGTTCCTTGGCATGTGGGCCTCCCAAACATGGCCACCTGCTTCATCACAGCCAGCAAGAGAAAGAGTCCTATAGCAAGACGGGCATTGCCGTCCCATGTAACATGTCACAAAGGTGACATCCGACCACCTTTTTTGTGTTGCATGGGTTAGAAGCAGGTCTCTAGGTTCTGCCCACTCAAGGAGAGGGGAAGGTGTTGATACTGGGGACCACCTTAGAATCTGTCTGCGGCATTCAGCAAAGAAATAAAAGTTCCTTAAAAGGAACTTCTTTGCTATTGTTTTACTGTCTATCCTTAGCCATCAGCATAGTGCCAGGTCTGGAGTAGGTGTTTAATAAAAGTTTGTTGTAGGAAGAAAAGAAGCAAGGAAAGGAGGGAGGGATTTTAAAAAAAGGAAAGGAGATGGGGAGGGAAGGAAGGAAGGAATTAAGGAAAGGAGAGAGAGGGAGGAAAGGAAAGAAGAAAATAAGGAAAGAAAAGAAGAAAGAAGGAAGGGAAGAAAGATCTGTGTTTCTCTTGAAACATGCTTTAACAGCCAAATAAATCTGCTGGCAGTTATCCTGAGGCAATGCCTCTGGGCTTTTATACATGCTGGGGTTTTTTTTTGTTTTTTGTTTTTAAACCTAAAATTCTTTTTCTCTCTCTTGAATATTCCTATGCCAACCTGAATATAGCCAACTCTTTCTTGAGGTCTCAATTAAAATGTCACCTGTTCCTGGATGCCTCCCCCGACCCTACACCCCAATTACTCCATACTCCTTCCTCCATACTCTTCTGTAAGCTTTTGTTTATGCCTCTGGCATAGTAGAGAGCAGGAGTCTATAAACGACAGCCCCTGGGCCAAATCCAGCCTTCAGTCTGTCTTCGTAAATAAAGTTTTATTGGCACACAGCCATACTCATTTATTTATATATTGTCTAAGGCTACTCTCACACTACAAAGCTGAGTTGAATAGTTGTGATAGAAAACATGACTGGCAGAACCCAAATTATTTACTATCTGGCCTTTAAAGAAAAAGGTTGCCAACCTATGGTATACAGCGTTTATCATAGTCTATGGTAATTACTCCTTTATTTCTTCCTCTCTAAACTCTGAGTTTCTTATGGGCAGAGACCACGCCACTATTGTTTATAGCTATATACCAGCATTTAGCACAATTCCTGAAACTTAATGATGAAGACTTGTTGAATGAATGAATGAATGGTGTATCAGTAAGAAATAGAAAACAGGTAGAAAATTCAAATTAGGAATATTCCAGGAGAGTTGATTTATTTACACAGGGATCATTTCAGAGGTGTGGGTATGTTTCAGAGAGATACTGTAGAACCCAAGACCATAGAAGCAATGGAGCAATTATCACCTCTAAGCCAGAAGAAATAGGAAGAAAAGTGTCCTGGAACCAAGAAATGGACAGTCATAAAGACGAACTGTAACCTTTGTTGGCAAAACTAGCTAACGTGGGTGAGCTCTCAGGGAGGACGAATACCCCGTCCTCGGTCTGATCCTTCCTGCATCCCCTGCTTAGCTCATAGGGAAGAGAAAAAGCACAGAACCTTGCCCTTTCTGTGATGTGGCCCATTCAGGTGGAAAGCGTAGTGAGTGCATAACTGAAACTGAGGCCACTGCTTCCTTGCCAACTTGTTCTGATTTGGTTGGAACCTCTTTGCTGGTGGTAAATGAAGGGTCAGGAAGTGCTATGGGGGCCTCTTAATTCTGGCTCCTCTTACCCCTTTCCTGAGTAGGAGTCCTCAAATCACACTATGGGATTTTTTTTTTTAAAGTTGTTTATTTTTTTTAAGACTACTCAAGTGCAGTTGTGAGAAGGAGGGGAAAGAGTAGAACAACTACTTCAATCTGTAACTGAGTGAACAATCCATTGAGATAGCTATGCTGTGGGAACTTGAATGTGGAGGCGTCACACATTGAAAGGTTTATTCAGGAGCAGGAGGTCTTCTCTCTGACTTCCTGCTTGTCTACTCCCCTTGGTGTTTAGACCACATCCCTTAACGTTTCATTTTGCAAATTCTTGCCTTGTTCTCTAAGAATCTCCTGAGTCTTAGCTCATCCTCAGCTAGACTCCAGGCTCCTTGAAAACAAGGACCAAGCTATATTTCATTTTCTAAAAATTCATTTGGCTCTGGGCTCCCAAAAGATGACAATTACAGAGTTATTGACAGGACTCCATAGGTCATGTAGTTCAGCCTCCTACCCATCACAAGGATCTCCTAGACATCATGCCCAACATGAGTTAATTTTGCCTGCATAGCCTTGTAATAAGGAATAACTGCATTGTATGGTAGCCCCTACAGGTTTACTTCATGTTGAGACCTGATCTTCTTTCCTGAAACCCAGAAGGCAGTATTCTGTAAATACTCAGTGTACAGGGGACAGGTAGTCTTAAAAGTCTGGTCTGAGCAATGGTGTGCTCCCTAACTATCACAGATCTCACTATCACAGATGAACATCTTTTTAAAAGTCTATCCCAAGCTACACCATTGCATCCTCTCCCTACCTGTTGTAGCCCGTGGGTGAAAAATTAACCACTCTGAATGCTGTTTAGAAAGTACTTCCTTGGCCAGGTGCCATGGCTCACGCCTGTAATCCCAGCACTTTGGGAGGCTGAGGCGGTTGGATCACCTGAGGTCAGGAGTTCGAGACCAGCCTGGCCAACCTGGTGAAACCCCGTCTCTACTAAAAATACAAAAATTAGCCAGATGTGGTGATGGCACCTGTAATCCCAGCTACTCGGGAGGATCACTTGAACCTGGGAGGTGGAGGTTGCAGTGAGGTGAGATTGAGCCACTGCCCTTCAGCCTGAGCAAGAGAGCAAGACTCTGTCTCCAAAAAAAAAGTACTTTCTCAATTGAGCCTCATGGTGATCTGACAGACGTGGTATTTTGGGTCATGTTTTACAAAAGTCACAGCAACAACAATGGGAGTTCCATAAAGTTAAGTGCCTTTCTCAAAGCCACATAGCTAAGGAGTGAAAAGGTTGAGATTCAAATCCACACCATTTGAATTTATAATTGAAGCCCTTTTCCCCACACTATGCTTTCACTGAGGGCTGTTTTTTCACTCCTTGCTCTTCCCAGATGTGCCACAGCTGGAAGAAAATTTTGCAGGAATGCCACAGAATGAATAAAAAGAAGGGTATGGATATACATGTGCCAAGATAAGGCCAGTGGCCTGACCTAGAAAATGTCATTTTTGTTTCATTTTTTCCAGTGTTGTTCTGAATTCTTCTTTCTCCCTACCCCACCCAAGGTGTCAAACAGATGTGAAAATACCACAAAGCTCCAAGTCGCAGCATTGGTTTATGATTCACTGATTGGGATGGGGAAAAACAATCCAAATTACCATGGTGATGCCTGTTTATAGAGGCAACATGGCAGATGCTGAGCAACATGACCAAAACCAGACAGGGGTAAACACAGCAAGAAAGCTCTTCCTCCTTGAGCTTGCAGAGGGGCTCAGCCACTTCCCTTGGCCAGGACTTCACTGGGAGACAGGGTAGGAAATGTGCTCTGTTAGCTGGAGTGGGGGAAGCAAAGTTACTAAGGGTATGTCTTTGTTTTTCTCCAAGGCACGGGAGTGGGAAATTCTATTATGTTTGTTTGTGCATTTATTTATGCATTCTTTTAAAAAATTCAGTGGATAACCTGATGCAGTATAAAAAAAATGCTCTAATGGTAAATGAGCAGTAGGATGTGATAAGTGAAACTATGGCCTTTGCATTCAGAGAGCCCAGGTTCAAATCTCAGCATTACCCACTTCCCTGGTATGTGAACTCATGTCAAATTTCTTTATTGGTAAAAATCTTCTAAGCTTAGGGTGGGGATGGGGGAAACTAAACTTCAGCTTCCTCATGTGAAAAATGAGGTAATAGTACCTACCATATATGGTTGCTGTCTGGATTAGATAAATGAACACAAAGTCCTCAGCACAGTACCTGGTGCGTAGTATGGGTCCAGCAAATATCAGCTTTTATTAAGGCTGATCTACAGCATTTTAATTCGTTGAAGTAAGATTACCTACCTTTCAGAACTGTTGCAAAGAGAAGAAGAAGAAAGCATGGAAGGCTGGGCATGGTGGCTCATGCCTATAATTTTAGCACTTTGGGAGGCCAAGGTGGGCAGATCACCTGAGGTCAGGAGTTTGAGAACAGCCTGGCCAACATGGTGAAACCCCATCTCTACTAAAAATGCAAAAAAATTAGCCAGGCGTGGTGGCAGGCACCTGTAATCCCAGTTACTTGGGAGGCTGAGGCAGGAGAAGGAGAATCGCTTGAACCCAGGAAGCGGAGGTTGCAGTGAGCCAAGATCGTGCCACTGCACTCCAGCCCGGGTGACAGAGGGAGACACCGTCTCAAAAAAAAAAAAAAAAAAAAAAAAAAAAAAAGGAGGCATAGAAAGCTATTGTATCAAAGATATTTTATTTGTCAGCGTAGACTGCCATAACAAATAGTTTCCACATTTCAGTGGTTTAGGAGTTATTTCTTGAATAGGTCTGAGTTTAATGTGTGTAAATGGTTGTGGGGCGGGGTGGGGGCGGGGAGGTTGGGGTGGGGGGCTGTGGGGATCCAAAGGAGGAGAGGCCTCTGTTTCATGCAGTCATTCAGGGACTCGGGTTCTTTCAGTTTCCCATCCCTGGGATCCTCCAGTGTATCTACTGAATCCCACCCAAGATGAGAGAAGACAGTGTAAAGGATGGGGCAGAAAGTTTTATTCCTCAGGCCTGAAGGCAGCATATAGTACTTGTGCTCCTGTAATCGTGATGAGAATTCAGTCACATGGTTGCACATACATGCAAAGAAAGCTAGGAAATGTAATCTATCTGTATGCTCAGGCTGGTGAGTTGTCCACGATTATCATTCATAGAGCATTGTGGCAGACTGGTGAGTTGTCCATGAAACCTTTTTCCCTCTGTCTTGAGCACAACTCAAAACAACTCACCAGTCTGCCACAATGCTCAATGAATGATAATCATTACTGTGATTAGTAACCTAACATCATAGGTGATTCCCATGGTATCCTAAGCCCTACTTGGAGGGAGGGGCATCTCTAATTATGCAGTCTTTTCTCCTTTGAGCTTGAGAGAAGGAACAGTTCTCACCTCGTTCCCACAATAACTCGGGAGCCTTCTGCCCCCATGAGCCATCCTTGACCATAATGACAGGACTGAGGTTCTCAGAGGTGGCACAAAAGTCTCAGAAAGGCCTTGCCACCAAAAGCCATGTGAATGGGGTTCCATTGCTAATGGTAAATATTGTGTATTCAGAAGGTGGCTTTCTCCTCCTTTCTGTTCCACCTCTCTATTGTTATAAAATGAATCACCCCAAAACTTCATGCGTTAAGACACAGTGGTCACTTTGGTACAGTAATGTGTGTTTAACGACAGGGATACATTCTGAGAAATGTGTCCTTGGCAATTTCGTTGTTGCGTGAAAGTCATGAGTGCACTTGCACAAACCTAGATGGTCTAGCCTACTACACACATAGGAGATATGGGTATAGCCTATTGCTTCTAGGCTATAAACCCGCACAGCAGGTTACTCCACTGAATACTATAGGCAGTTGTAAGACAATGCTGAGCAATGGTGAGTATTTGTGTATCTAGATATATCTACTGTTTTGTTGTTGTTCTTTTAAGAGACAGGGTCTTGCTATGTTGCCCAGTCCAGTCTTGAACTCCTGGATTGCTCAAGCAATCCTCCTACCTCAGCCTCCTAAGTGGCTGGGACTATAGGTGTATATCACCATGACTGGCTAAATATCAGACATAGAAAAGAAAGGCACAAAAATAAAGATACGGTATAAAAGATAAAAAAAAAATAGTATACCTAAATAGGTACTTACCATGAATGGAGCTTGCAGGACTGGAAGTTGCTCCAGGAGAGTCAGTGAGTGAGTGGTGGGTGAATATGAAGGCCTAGGACATTACTATTCACTACTGTTGACTTGACAAACACTGTACACTTAGGCTATGCTAAATATTTGTACATTTCTTCAATAGTAAATTAACCTTAGCTTACTATATAACTTTTTTTTGAGGGACAGAGTCTTGCTCTGTCGCCCAGGCTGGAGTGCAGTGGCGCGATCTCGGCTCACTGCAAGCTCTGCCTCCCGGGTTCACACCATTCTCCTGCCTCAGCCTCCTGAGTAGCTGGGACAACAGGCACCCGCCACCACGCTCGGCTAATTTTTTGTATTTTTAGTAGAGACGGGGTTTCACCGTGTTAGCCAGGATGGTCTCGATCTCTTGACCTTGTGATCCGCCCGGCTTGGCCTCCCAAAGTGCTGGGATTACAGGCTTGAGCCACTGCGCCCTGCCAACTTTTTAACTTTATAAACTTTTAATTTTTTTTTATTCCTTCGTAATAACACTTAGCTTAAAACGCAAACTGTATAGGTATACAAAAATATTTTCTTCCCTTGTATGCTTATTTTATAAACTTTTTTTACTTTTTAAACTTTTTTATTAAAAACTAAGACACAAGCACGCACATTAGCCTAGGTCTACACAGGGTCAGGATCATCCATCTCACTGTCTTCTGCCTCCACATCTTGTCCCACTGGTAAGTCTTCAAGGGCAGTAACACACATGGAGCTGTCATCTCTTATGATAACAATGCCTTCCTCTGGAATACCTCCTCAAGGACATGCGTGAAGCTGTTTTACCATTAACTATTTTTTAAAATAAGTAGAAGGAGTATGCTCTAAAATAGTGATAACAGTATGGCATAGTAAATACCAGTAACACAGTCACTTATTATTATCAAGTATTAGGTACTGTACATAACTGCATGTGCTGTACTTGCATACAACTGGCAGTGCAGTAGATTTGTTTTCACCAGCGTCACATAAACATGTGAGTGATATGTTGTGTTATGATGTCACTAGGAATTTTTCAGCTCCGTTATGATCTTATGGGACCACCATCAGATATGCCATCCTCATTGACTGAAACATTGCTATATGTTACATGACTGTATTATCTCTTACAGCTTCTGTGGGTCAGGATTTCAAGAGTGGTTCATTCAGCTGGGCGATTCTGGCTTAGAGTTTCTCATAAGTTATAACCAGATGGTGGCTGAGGCTGAGTCCCAAAGGTATCTGCACCTAATGTGCCTGACCTCTGGGCTGGAAAGACTCAAGCCAGGGCTGGCATCTCTCCCTCATCCTCATCCTCTTCCTCCATGTGGTTTCACCAGCATGGAGGCTTCAGATCATCTGCTTTTCTCATATGGCAGCTCAAGGCTGCAGTACAAGTGAGGGGAGCGAGAGAGCAAGCCCCTCCCCTATTGCCTCTTCTAAGCTAGCCTCAGAAGCTCTGCAGCATCATTTCTGCCACAGTCTTGTTTGTCCAGCAGTCTCAAAGCCTGCTCAAGTTCAAGGGAAATTGGCATAGACACCATCTCTTGATAGCAAGTGTATTTAAAAAAAAAAAAGAAAGAAAGAAATGGCAGACATGTTTGGAGACCACCACACTTCCCACATCCACATCTGGACACTGTCCTTGGCCCCCATCCAGGATCACCCCTCCTGCTGACAGTTCAGAACCCATCCCAGGCTGACATACACTGACTCCCTTGAGGCCAGAGCTGAAGGTCATAAAGGTCTGGAGGAGCCTGGGCCGGGACAGTGGGGGCTGGCCTTGGGACAGGCAGCCTCTCCTCAGGGTCAGTGTAATCCATTCCCATTTCTAACCGCGTGTGTTGAATCCCCAGCTTTGTGTTTCTCATCATCCTATGGCCTGCAAGTAGGAGACAAAGCTCCTACAAAGCATGCAGGCCCAGAGAATGTAAGTAAGTTACTCAAACTCACCCAGACCCAGCTGTGTGGAGTTGGGGGCTAGAGGTATCTCACCTCAAAGCCCACGTGCTCCCTGGCCTTCCTGGCAGTATGTGTGTTTGGGAGGTGGGCAGAGGCAGGCAGCACAGCTCAGTGGGAGGGGAGAGCCCATCCCTCCTCCGTAGCCCCTGTGTCACTTGCACTTAGATACTAAGGAAATAGAGGTCACAGAAATGCTGCGAAGGACAGGCAGTGGGCTGGGGGAGTACCCTTGGCCCCATTATTCTATTTGTCAGCCACAAAATAGATGCCTTTTTTTACCCGTAGGAAGAGAGCACACCAACAAGGAGTGTCTTGGGGACCCCAGGATTCATCCGTGGGCACAAAGTTTGGGGTATGGGGCTGTCAGCTTCTGCTGGTGAACTGAAATTTCAAAGTTGAGATGGGAGAGATGCGCTTCAACTAATTACAGTAATAGCTGCCATGATTGAGTACTTAACAAGTGCCAGATAAGTGCTGTGTGTACATCATCTCATTTAACCCTCATCAAAGCTCCTGAGGTCAAGATTGTCAGCCTCATTTGTAAATGGAGAAACCGCACCTCAGAGATGAAGTGCACTGCCATTAGATCACTCAGTAAGTGGCAGGACAGGGATTCAAGCTCAGGACTGCCTGCCTCTGAAGCTCAGCTCCCAAACACTAACTCTGTGCCGGGGACAGTCCCACAGCACACCTTCTGCCCCCCGCCACATCCTTAGCATTTCAGCAGTGCACTTTGTGTGCTTTGACATAATAAATATTCAAAATATTAGTGCTGCAGATGCTGGCACAAGCTGCTGAGATACCATGCTGTGTCCTGGTAATTAAACCCTTGGTTGCATTGTCATATTCACAGTTGTCAAGGTCCCCAAACATCCATCTGAATTCAGATGGGAGGTAAGAAGAACACGTGTGATGCTTTGGAGTGTGTACAGATTTCTGTCTGCAGGTTTCCCATCCCTGCATGGATAACCCTTCTTTATTTTCCTGGGTAATTCTTGCTATGCTTTTTTTTTTTTCTTCTAAACCAGCACTCAGATTAGCCAGAGAAGTCTAAATACTGCTTTTCTCCATCACAAGCTAGTTCAGAAACAACTTTGATGCTGTTTTAGGTATTGGAAAACTCAAGGAGGAAAGGAGGAGGTACCTGTGTGAGGTTACTCAAGGACTCACTTGATTTTTATTTCAGTATTATGTCTGATACCAGGAGATTAATCCCTCCTCAAACTTGAATTTTTTATATATATATAAAGTGCTGGAATCTGAAAATGCCTTTCCTGTTCATTTTATGCAACTGTATAAAGGAGGCATAATTGCAGGGTGGCATCTTTAGGAAGCAACTAGGAAAACCGAAGAGATGAATGTTTGGATGGGGATTCATCATTGGAAAAATGGCTCTTAGTATATAAATGTTCAGAAAGAAAAGACAATTCACAGATACCTTGTTGAAACTCCAAGGGCCAAAACCCTGAAAAGTGAGGGTTAAAGAGGGCAGAATCTGTAGGGATCAATTATTCAGCATCCATTATTGAGAACTGTAGCATATTATTCATGGTTCCTTTTTTTGGCGTTCAGTCTTGTTAGATTATTTTAGTGAACACGGAATATTCATGCAGTTGTTCACAGGCTTGTTCGTGACTTCAGTTTTTCTTAACTGTTTTTCCATCATCCATGCTGCCCTCCACCCTCACTTCAATATCACCGCCACCACTTCAGCTCTTCTATGGCAAATCCTTCTCTTTGGGGCTATATTCAGGAGCTTAAGCCTATAAATTGAGGCAGGAGTAATCCATGCAAATGTCTTTACCTAACATGTGAAATGAGTTAAGTTACCTCTACTGGGTGCCAAGCACATACTCTATCTACTATGTTGGGTATGGAGTTAAATGAGATGTGGCCTTTGCCCTCAGGGAGTTTGCAAAGTAGCTGGAAAATAGACAATTTTTGTCTTGTTTGTTGGTTTCTAGCTACATACCAAAGTCAGGCAAATTCTTTTGATTTCAAGTGATAGAAAATTCAACTCAAACTGGTTTAAATCAAAATATAGGAGAGATGGGATAGAATGGGTCATACACTCTCAAAATACAGAGGTATCTGGCTTCAGGCATGAGTGAGTCTGGACATTCACAGGAGAGCACCATCTGCTCACTGTTTTTGTGGCGGTGAGATGGCTTCTGGCTACCCTGAACAGCTTAGCAATCCCAGTAGATAAACAGTTATTGGGATTTTGAGTCATTTAGGCATTTCTGAAACATTTGCTGTGGTCAGGAAAACTGAAGATACTTATCAGCCTGGCCTGGATCAGATGCCAGTGCCTAGAGCTGGAAAGAGGGGTCAGCCCCATTTGTATGACATGATCTGAGAGTTGGGGGAGGGGAAACTTCAACAGAAAAATTTGTTACCTAAAGAAGGGACCACAGAAGGCAGGCAGTTACATATAAAAGAGTTCTGCTATGTGCATAATGAATGGTTTATTCCATACAATATCCTTAAGGTTAGCCGGGCACGCTCAAGGGATATCGTTAATCATCAGAATTGCCGCCTTCTGGACAAGCAACATCCCTTCAGTCCAAGCCAGTCTGGATTAAATAGACCGTAATTGTAACCCACAAAAATCTGACCTGAATTTGCTCTCCATTGCAGTGACCTGGACAGAAATAATATCACCAGGATCACCAAGATGGACTTCGCTGGGCTCAAGAACCTCCGAGTCTTGTAAGTAGTTGATGGCTCTCAAGTGTGTTTTCATTTTTAGCTCTTCAGCCTCACAAAAAAATGTTCCACTGCCCCTGACATCACACTCCCAAGCCCTGGACAACAGGAATTCACCATTCTGCAGCAGAAAGCCCCTCGTTAGCGTACCCACATGCTTACAGGTATCACATTCTGTGTCTAGATGCTGCTGGCTGAGCTAGATCGATGGAAGAACTTAGTTCCAGTGATAGGGAAAGTGGAAGGCTATGAACAAATAAATCACCATGCCCAGCTTCTAGGATGACAGCGATGTCAGGTTGACTAACCATGCTTCCCTTTCATAGAGATGATAATTTCTTCTCCAGCCTGTGCATTAAAAGAGCAATCAGGACAAAAGTTATCTGTCTTGTAGCTTAATGGAGAGGAGGGGAGGAGAGCATCAGAAAGGGTCAGGGCCCTTGCTGAACACCCACAGCTGTGCAGACAGGTAGCAAAATTTGAAATGGGCATTGATGGACTAGAGGAGCAAGGAATATTAGGTTTCATTGCTGAATATTGAACACTTTCATCAATCCTTAAGTCTGTGAGTGATAAGAAACTTCCCAAGTGCTTGTCTGTCAAAAAGTCTAAGACATTCAGAGGTACAGGAAAAAGCAATTTAGATTTTATTTTCCATCTTTACTTGGTAGTTAATTTTGACCCATAAGTGTGGCTCCATGCAAGAAGTACAGACTGGGCCAATTGGCCACTGCCTTGGTATTTGTATGCCATGGAATCTTAGCTGGCAAATTGTTACTAGAAGTGACAGCTAAAGTCTTGGTACCTGAAGCTACCTTCTTTTTACTAATAGCCCTATATAATAAATATAATGAATTTTGTATTTGGTTCAGAAAGTACCAGGCTCTGGTCCTGATTCGGAATTAGCTACCCATGAAACCTTGGGCAAATTATTTTTCCTCCTTGGGCCTCAGTTTTCTCATCTGCAGTATAGGGAATACGTTGTTAGAAGTATTTTCAACTCTCATAGTTACACGTGTAGTGCTTCATTGTTTTAACATTTTCTGATTATTTTTGTGATTACTTGTGAAGCGTTAATTTTACAACATTGTTTGCCATTTCTGATTGAGTTGTTAGTAATAATGATGATGGATATGATACTTTCATGGGCTCAGCACAGTATTACATAGTGGTAACAAAAAGGTGGGGCATTATTATGAGCCCCTATTTGTAGCAGAGGAAACCAGAGGTGCGGATAGGTTAAGTAGACCCAACTCTACATAGCAGGTGACTGAAGGAGTTGGAATTGGAACCTAGACTCTGTGCTTTCTAACCTCCATGCAGTGCCACTGTGTATTCACATTATAGAAAGCTAAGAAAACTAAGACAATGATAGTCTACCCATTTTGTAAATGCAGCACTGATAATGTGGGGGCTTGTCAGAGTTTCTGTTATGTACACATGTGTGGGGACATGGGGAATCTGAATCCTGGGACTCCAGCTTGCAGATGCTCTCCACACCGACATGTTCTCCGTCTTTGGTCTCAAACACTCTCCTCTCACCACCCTCAAAGGGAAGGCACACCCTGTGCCAAGTCTTTTGCCCCAGCAGCCATGTATCTGTCAAGTAACTGGTAGTTCTGACAAGGTGTGCGTGGATCAGAATCGAGACTGAGATCAGGGTGGGGGAATTCCATGGTTCAGTTTTAGGGCGATTGTTATTGAAGAGGTATAGGTAGCAACTCTTGATTCTATGTCATTTGCCAGGTTAAAAAATAGATGCTTGTTTACCTTCTCACTTTATTTTTTTTTATTTATTTCCCCTGCATCTGTGAGAGATTTCCTTTTATATTTCACCTAATGCTTCATTTTCTAACAAAGTCAAAAACAACCCTTGATTTTCTTAGCGTTACATCAGAAAGACTAATAAAAACTCCAATTTTCATATCTGCTTTCTGCAAATAGAAAGTTTAAAATAATCACAAAAGATTGTTTTAATATCCCCTGGATGGTCTACAACATTCCTTTGACTACAGTTTATCTTTTCAGTTAATTGGTACATTCCTCTTATTTTGATAAGCAATGCCAAAAAGCCTTCCCCTACCCCCCATCCCCCAGTAGACTATTAATATACTCTGTTTCATTATCTTCCTTATCAACTCAAAGACAATCCCATTCAAGTGGCCCTTTATTACTGTGAAAGAATCTGCCTGGTGGAATAGCTGAAATGCTTTCTAACTAACACCAATAAAATATCCAGACATTTTTACCATATTTTTCCTCAATCGATTCTTTTTAGCTGAGTAACCTAGACAACTATCTTTTTTAAAAAGATTTTTTTCACACCTTGGCACATTCCCCATATCTGTTTCTTATTTACAATTTCTAGAGAAGCTAGAAAAGATTCAGTAGTCTTGAAAAATTGGCCACCCAACAGTTTCTGTGTCAAACTGTTAATATGGGCAAAAGCAGATAAAATGGAGATTGAGGAACTTCAGTCTCAACCCAGGGCAATTTTCCCCAAATGAAGAGCATTTAAGGAGAAGATAGAAGAATTGCCCAGGACATTTTTTTTTCTCCCATGGGATGGGAGTAGGAAAAAGTCTCTTCTGGTGGTATCAATTATGTCCCATTTCTTGGCAGTCTAAGGGCTCTGCTATGCTCACAATGTGGGAGCCAGCTTTATCCCAAATGGGGTTAATAAAAAAGTTAAACTCCACCCCAGCCGTCATCACATGGGGGGCGATTTCCGATCCTGATCCAGTGCTAAAGCTAAAAAAATAACAATGCCAAAAAAGCTGAAAATGAACACAGGCTCTGTTCTAATTCAGAACAGACTCCAGCCATGGACAGCCTTTCTGGGTGTCCAGCCCTTCCCGGATTCCCCTGTCTGAAAATGTGGGGAAGGTATCAGTGGCTTTTAGTGCATGCTCCTGGCTTGCATCTCAGCCCAGAAGTCTGGATGGGAGGGTCTTAGCTCATTCATTCACTGATCCATTTATTCATCAAATATCGATGATTTGTTGAGCCTCTGATTGCCAGGTTCTAGGCTGGAATGTGATGGAACTAGGAAGTAGATCTGGAAGGGATGTGGATACTTGGTCAGTGAGGGTCCCAGCAGAAAAGAGGGCAAATGAGGAGAGCGAAGTAAAGACTTATTTAGCGGTGTGGGCAAGATTAAGAGAAACGTAGAGGAGATAGTGTAGTTCCTTGAGGCTAGAGTCAAAACGGGGTCACTACTGTCCCCTGGGCCTTAAGGAGCACAGGGAGGAAGTGGTTATCAGAGCCTGGCAAAAGTAGGGACTGCTTGACAGAAGCTGTGGTCTTAGGTAGAGGGATGCAGTCAGCCTGAAGTGGCTTGGCAGGGAAGGAGAAGAGTAAATCCCCCAACCACACTCTTCCTCCACCCTCTGATCTCCTGCCGGTGACTCTCTTTGGCTGAACCTGACAGGAATCCAGAAGTCAAAAAACTTCTTGATGGTCTTGATGGCTAGATGTGGTGGCTCACGCCTGTAATCCCAGCACTTTGGAAGGCCAAGGTGGGTGGATTGCTTGAGCTCAGGAGTTCAAGACCAGCCTGGACAAGGCTGCCCAGGCTGGGCAACATCGTAAAACCCTGTCTCTATGTCCCCTCCTAAAAAAAATTAGGTGGGTGTGGTGGCATGCGCCTATAGTCCCAGCACCTTGCACCACTGCACTCCAGCGTGGGTGACAAAGTGAGACCTTGTCTTGGAGGGAAAAAAAAAACTTCTTGATGAAGCCAATAAAAGTCAGCTTTCCAGGGCCTGCACAAGGTGGAAACGGTGTATCTCATATAGATATCCTTGCATCTCTTCTATTCCCATCTCTGAAAGAAGCTTGAAGTGTTAGATTCATTAGCACAGAACTAAGATTCATTATAGAAGGGCTGGGTTAGGCTCCCTCAGAAACCCAGAGGGAATGTGGTACTTACAATACCCTAGAGTTGGTCCTTGTCATCCAGCAAGGAAATAATGACTACAAAGTCTGTGACTGATTTGATTGGTGGATGGATAGTAAAAACTTAGCTCAGCAAACCTCCAGTCAGTAGTGTTGAAGTGGGACCCTATTTAGCGTGACGTGCTAGTGTGAGACTATTAGCATTCCAAGGCCCTCCTTGCATATGGTGGAATGGAAAAGGAAGACGAGAAGGGAAAAACATTTTTTTTTTTTTTTTTGAGACAGAGTCTTGCTCTGTCACCCAGGCTGGAGTGCAATGGTGCAATCTTAGCTCACTGCAACCTCCACCTCCCGGGTTCAAGTGATTCTCATGTCTCAGCCTCCTAAGTAGCTGGGATTACAGGCACATGCTTAATTTTGTATTTTTAGTAGAGACAGGGTTTCACCTTGTTGATCAGGCTGGTCTCGAACTCCTGACCTCGTGATCTGCCTGCCTGGGCCTCCCAAAGTGTTGGGATTACAGGCGTGAGCCACTGTGCCCAGCCTTTTTTTTTTTTTTTTTTTTTTTTTTTGAGACAGAGTCTTGCTCTGTCACCCAGGCTGGAGTAGTGCAGTGGTACGATCTTGGCTCACTGCAACCTCTGCCTCCTGGGTTCAAGCAATTCTCCTGCCTTAGCCTCCCAAGTAGCTGGGATTACAGGCATGCACCACCACACCCAGCTCATTTTTGTATTTTCAGTAGAGACAGAGTTTCACCATGTTGGCCAGGCTGGTCTTGAACTCCTGACCTCCTGGTCCACCTGCCTCAGCCTCCCAAAATGCTGGTATTACAGGAGTAAGCTACTGCACCCGGCCAACATTTCTTAAGCCTCTAATTGTATAGCAGAACCTGGGCTAGATGATTTACTTATTTATTCCATTTTTGTTCTCGTAAGAACTTTTGCAGTGTTTTATTTTCTCTGTTTTACAAATGAAGAAACTGAATCTGAGAGAGGTTGGCTAGTTAACCCACTCTTATATCATCAGCTAATGTGCAAGCAAAACAGGGCTTCTAAACTAAATCTACTATGCTCACCAGACTGGGAGTTAGAAGGCCCACCCTACCTGGCTGTGGGAATTGGCATAAATAATTTCTCCTCGAGCAAGTCTTTTAGCCTCTCCCTTCAATCGTTTCTATAGGTGTTAAGTGAGGAGCTTGTAAGGGGCCAGAAGTAATAGAAATGTGAGAAGCAGAGCAGATGAGGACATGGCAAACTGTGGGGCTGGGGACCCTCGCCTGACCAGTTCTACTTCTGGTCAATGGATATTTGGAAATGTGAGAGCTGATTTGTCAAAAGGAGTTTCTTTTGCGGGGTGTGGGTGTGAGTACATGTGAAATATCTTGATTTTCAACTGTTGGCAACAAATTCACAAAAATGTAAAATATCATCGAGCCCAAACGAAACAGTTACCTGTCCCAGACACATATACAATCGGTGTGTGCCATGGCCCAAAGTCTTCTATAGGTTTTCATTCATTCAGTAAGGATTTATGAAGTGCCTGCTGTGCTAGGCAACTGTGTTAGGACTGGGAGTAGGATGATGGACAGAATGTCTATCTTCTTGCTCCTTAGGCATAGTGGGGAAGATAGACTTGGGAACTAAACACAAGGGCCCAAGTGTTAAGGCTGAGAAGTGCAGGAGGTTATGAAACATCTAATGGGGAGAGACTGTCATGGAGCATTCAGTTTGATATAAAGATGCAGCCTTCCCAGGGTTGCTCTTCCTCTCCATCTGCCATTTGCTTAGGTGCTTGTGGGTACCTCTCCTCCTGAGTAATCCAGAGGAATCCATAGCCCTTCCGAAACTCCACTTTCTAAAGAAACATTCTCCAATCACAATTGCATCCCCGTTAAGTCCCATTCAGCCACCATGTGCAATCTGTGTCATTTCCCAGCCTAAGGTCAGCCCCCAATGGAAGCTACATAGCTTCATTGTTTCTCTCCCCTGCTGTTCAGCTCATCCATTTAAGCGGCCATTTTTTTTTTAAGTTAGGGAAACAAACATTTCATTATATGCTAAATTCTTTGGATATACTCTATGCGTGAACCAGACTCACTTATACAGAGTGTTTAGGATTTGTAATCACCTGCTTGGAGGACTGAGGCGGGTGAGTGAAGCGTGTGGCTGGAGGGAGGGAGCCTGATCTTTTAGGACCATCATCATGAGATTGGGATTAGCTGGGGTCTCAGTGAGAGGAGTTCCTGGGACCAGGCTGGTTTTCTTAGCGACAGCCAGTCGTTTCACAATAGCCTCACCCTTTCTACTAGGGTGAGCTGGGAAGGCCCTTTTCAATGAAGTATTTTTGAATCCTTGGAGGAGGGAGCTCCCAGGGAAGAGATGCTGAATCTATGTGTGGTTTTTATAAAGAGCAGCTTTTACCTCTTCCTTTTCTGTGCAACATCCTGCAGTGCTTGGGGGGACATTTACTGAGAACATTCTTAAAATAGAGGCATGGAAACCAATCTGTCAGGTAGAAGTGTGCAGGCGGCAAAACCCTGGTTACCGTGACACCAAGCTGGGATATGAGTTATCTTGTCCCATCAGACTGATCCCAGTTGAAGGGACACTGACGATCATGGGAAGGGCTGAGTGACCATGCCTGCATGGCATGAAGCCTAGTATGAGGGTCCCTGAGCCCAGCTTTGTCCTTAGTCATTGCTGTCTCTGTGGTTGTAGGCATCTGGAAGACAACCAGGTCAGCGTCATCGAGAGAGGCGCCTTCCAGGACCTGAAGCAGCTAGAGCGACTGTAAGTACAGTACAGCCTCCTTTCTTAAAGTATTTATTTACATTTAGTGTTTTTTGTTTTGTTTTGTTTTGTTTTTGTAAATTGGCCTTATAACCTTGTTAAAAAAGGTCTCCAGTGTTTAAATAGAATGTTTGCTATTATACTTAAGGCACATTAGATGCATGTTAAAGAAACACTGAGATCCACTTACACTCCTTTTCTGTAAAAGTTGCTAGAATCAGCTTTCAGGGCTTGTTTCCCTTCTTCTCAGGCTTGAGCTCTGTCTTGGTACCTGTATAAGGGGCTGGTTTTTACCCAAGTGTAAACCTTCCCTTCCACGGAGGAGGGAAGTCTGCAGTTATCCCTGCCATGAGATCTGGCATCAGATAGTCCCTAGTCCTCTGCACGGGCAGAAGCTCCCTCCTGAGGCCTTCTCCTCCCTGAGTGTTCTCTGCCCCACTCTTGCGGGGAGAGGAAGGACTGGTGAGTGGGCGCAGCCTTCAGCGCGCTTGTATCTCCTGTGAGTGAGCATCAGCCTGTGTCAAGAAGCCCCCACGTTTCCACGAGAGAATGCATTGCCAGTGGTTTAAAAATAGGCCACTGTTCTGACTCAATGAGAGGGAAAGAGGAAAAGGGATGGGAATGGAAGATGGTTGGAGCCTCCATTTGTTTTGTTGATGAATACTTTTGCAGAAAACTCTTGGATTACTTTGAGGAGAGCTGCTCAGATGGTTAAGTAGGCAACTTCACCTTTCTTCTGTTAATCACATCTGGCAGCTCATAACATCTGGATATTTGCTTTCTGCCCTCTGAGCAGGGATTGTCCCCAAGAGCACTTAGTCATGCTGGTGGGTGGCTCTCTTCAAAGTTCTCTCTGAATCTTGGTTGCCCTGACATTTCAGCCTCTTTCTTCTGCAGTCAGAGGGATGAAGCTGCAACAGCTCACGGCTCTGCCGGCTTCCCTAGAAGAACTGTGTTCTGTTTACCTGTCTGGTTGCCAAATCTCATTTACAGAGGTGGGCTTGGGTAAGGTGGTGTGCTTGTCCCTGACTAGTTAGCTTTGAGATGTGCCATCTTTTCCCCTGGAGTCAATTTATCTGGGGCCACATAAGAACAGGGAAGGTCCCCATTGCACGTCAGTTAGTATTACCCAGAAAAATGCTTTCCTCCCTCTCTGTTGTGTGAACCGTCTCATTTATTGTTCTCCTTCTGGGTCAAATCCCAGCATATGTTCTGCTGGTGTTGGTTTGAAAATATGACATTTATTTCTTGCAAGGGAAAATAATTATAAAAAGAATGAATGTTGTCTCTGTTTACACGTTTATTTTTAAGTTTCTTAACACTCAAGTTCTTCTTATTTAGACCAAAGAGAACATAAAAGTATTTGTTGAACCTGGTTCCTTTGTATGAAATATTCAGCATTTCTACAGAAAAATGAATACGTGGTCCTTTGTGAAAAGGCCACCCCTTGCTTAGCCTTCTGATTAGAAGAGTGAAAACAATTCCCAATTCATTAATTTCCTGGTTTTGGGGAAGGAACTAATTGAGTACCTTGGACATGCCAGGAACTATGCCAGTGTTTTACATGCTATTTGTATTTTTTTATTGCCACAAAAATTCCTATGAGGTGTAATTACCCTCATTTTGCAGATGAAGAAACAGACCCAGAGAGACTGAGTCAAAGAATGGTCAGGAGGGGAGCCAAGATTCAAAGCCACTTCTGTCTGACATGAAAGATGATGTTCTTTCATACTCATGTGCAGCAGATACTAGATGAAGTGTGATCTTTAGTAAGGGCCCTGAGAGTAGCCTCTCGCATAAACATTTAACTCCAGGGAATATCGATGAAATATTTTGGCAAAGCCTCTTTTCTTTGGCTTGGTGAACAAGGCTGAAATACCCATGCATGTCTGGGGAAGTGAATGGATTACAGTTGCAGAGGAAACCTGATTATTTCTCCGTGTTGGTGTATTAGGTGGGGTAATGCTAGCTGCTGTGCTAGATAAACCCTCAAATCTCAGTGACTTAACACAGTGGACGTTTACTTATTCATGTAAAACCCAATATGGGCATTCCTGATAAGGCCTCTCTCCTCCAAGTGGAGACTCAGGGACAAAGTCTTCTTCTTCTCCTCAACTTTACCCTCCTTAAATCTTGGCTTCCAAGGTACCAGTGTTTGTCTGCATCAAGCCAGGAGAAGAGAAAACAGCATGAAAAATTTCACATGGGAAGTTTGCAGATTTCAAGAAGTACATGTCACTTCCAGTCTCACATACTTTGGGCTAGAACTCAGTCATGTGGCCACAGGAAACTACAGAGGCGGGAGGAAAGGTAGTTGAGCTTTGTGCCCAGGAAGTAGAGGAAACAGGCTTAGTGAACAGTTGGCCAATCTCTGACTTCTATTGCAAGTGATCTGAAGAAGTACTTAATCAGGAAGAACATTAGAAACACAGGCAGCTGGGTTCATATACACAGCTGAATAGTCATTCTCATAATACCTTTCAGTGTTAGCAAGAAGGGATGTGTGTGACATTAATCCTGATAGGCGTTAATCTGGTTTTGGTTATTCGTTCTGTTTTCATACAGACTGGGAGATGTAGAATTGGAAAACATAATACATTTGCTATTAATAATATGACGGTGGATTGTGCCTTTCTAGCTCTTTCTCCTGGCTCACCTTATCTGTGTCTTTGTATTTTGTAATAGATAAATCTTTATTGATCACATTCTAAGATAGAGCCTGGAAATAATAGGGGTTATAATACTTCATTTCTGGAGGGTTTATTTCCACTCTGAGTAGTCATTATTGGTTTGTTCTCTTGGGTCTTCCTGGGAAAGGGAAAGGAAGTCTGTCCTCTGGGTCTCAACTTAGAATTCTCTATTCCCCCATGAAAGTACCCTATGCCTCTGGCTGAGTTAGGTACCCCTACTCTCATAACACAGGTGTCTTCCTATCACACCACTTATGACACCATATTTTAATTCCCTGTTTTCTGGATTGTTTCTTCCCAAAACCATGACTGTTGAGGTCAGGATTCATGTCCCATTTAGCTCCTAATCTCACAGACTTGAGCGAGGCATGACAGTAAGTGCTTGAGGAATATTTATTAAAGCGCTTGAGTTTTTGTTCTATATAAGTGATTCTAAGCTGGGCCTAATTTTGCCTTCCAGAGGACACTTGGTAATGTTTAGATACATTTTTGATTGTCACAACTGGGAGATGCCACCCAGCCGATGGGGTATAGGAATATCTCAACATCTTTAAATGCACAGGACGGCCCTACAACAAAGAATTATTCAGCCCAAAATGTCACTAGTGCCAAAGTTGAGAAATTCTGCTCTTTATCATATGTCAGATAGCATGTCAGGCACTTTACATATACCATCTCATGTAATCGATGCAAGAATACTGTGAAGTTAGAATTATCATAAAATATGATGTGATAAAACATGAAACTCAAAGTATCACCTACGAAGTACTTTGCTTAATATATTTACCTAAACCTAATTTAGCTGGATCTCACTTCTGGTTGCCAGAGAGTGGATGGGATATAGGAAAAAGTTAAACCAAGAGGAAACAAACACACTTTGTAAGTGGGATATTCTTTGAGACAGCTGCCCTGATCTTTTAAAAAAGTCAATGTCAAGAAAAACATGGGAGTTGACTTTTAAGTTCAAAAAAAGCTTAGAATAGAATAGAAACAGTACCACAAAATTGGAAGGGTCAATGGAATTAAAATGTTCTAAGATCCTTAAATTATTCAGGAAGTAATAGTGCTAATATTTATTGCCTTATTAAGTCAAAGATGTATGTTGAAATCTGTAGCATAGCCTCTAAAAAAAAAAAAGCCAAAAAATTATGATAGTCTCAGGGGAAAGGAGCACAGTATGATACAAAATATGAATTAAAATGAAGGATAAAAGGGAAGGAAAATGAACATAGAACAAATAGACAACAAACAGAAAGATGATACATTTAAACATGAATATATCATATTACCTTATATGTAAATGCACTAATTCTCCAATTAAAAAACATAGATTGTCAGTGTATTTAAAAAATACCAAACATATACTTTTTACAAAAGAATAACATTAAACATAAGGATAGAGAAAACTTGAAAGTAAAAAAAAAAAAAAAAAAAAGAAAATGATAGCATGAAAACACTAACCGAAAGGTTAGTGTCACTCTATTAAAGATAATATAGACTTTAAAGAAAATATATTAGATATAAAGAGGGAATTTTGTAATGATAAAATAGGAAATATCCCAGGAAGATATACCAAATCTGTATTTGTATGTGTCTAAAAACATAGCCTGAAAATATGGAAAGCAAATATTGACAGAACTAAAAAAAAAATAGACAAATTTATAATCATAGTTAAGATACACTTTTTGGTAATTAATAGAACAAGGAGGTACAATTCTTGGTAAAAATATAGAATATTAAATAACAATATTTGTAAACCTGATGTAACTGATATATAGAGAACACTCTAAACAACATAGAATAGACATCTTTTCAAGGGCATATGAAAGTTTTATTATATACTGATCTAGAAAGCAAGTCAACAAATACCAAAGGATATCATATGGAGCATGTTCTCTGTCAGCAGGAATAATCAAGAAGTTAATAAGAAAAGTAGAAAAATCCAAAATATTTTGAGATTCAGTAATATACCTCTAAATACTCCGAGTTGAAGAACATATCACAGTGGAAATTAGAACATATTTTTCTGAATGTTAATAAACATACAATGTCTCACAATGTGTGGACTGCAGCCAAAGCCATGCTCAGAGGAAAATGTATAGCCTTTAAGCTATATTATTCAATTCATGGTATATATTATGTATAGTATCTATTTTAAAAGAAGCACATATCTTGATTAAAATATCCTCCTTACAAAGTTAGGGCAAGAACAACAGAACAGAAGAAAGGAAATTATTAAGAGCAGAAGTATAAGAAATAGAAATGAATGTATAATAGAAAAATTCTAAAAAGCCAAACTAATTCTTGAAGCAACTAAAATTACAGACACTGACAAGACATATCAAAACACAAAAGACTAAATTACCAACATGAAGAATAAAAAGGGGGATATTAGTATGGATATTATAAATATTAAAGTGATAATAGGAGCAGACTTTGAACAAGTTTATCTTAATGATTTTAAAGAGTAAATGAAATTGAAAATAGAAACAGGAAGGAATAGAAAATCTGTCTTATATCAATTAGAGAAATTAAATATTTAAAACATTCCATCAAAAAATCTAGGCTCAGATGGCTTTAGCAATAAATTCTAACAAAGTTTTAAGGAATAAAGTATAGCAACTTAATACAAACTCATTCTGTTAAAAGAATGAACATTTGTCTATTTAGCCAGCATAACCTTGAGAACAAAACCCAGTAAGGACATTTCAAGAAAAAAATATAAACCAATGTGATTCATGAATATTTTTACAAATTTCCTAACAAAATACTAGCAAATTAATTCAGTTATAGGTGAAAAGGATAATATATTCCAACCAAATTTAGCTTATTCAAAGAAGGCAAGGTTGGTTTAATAGTGGAAATTTCACCTCTCAAATAAAAACATGCTGAAAAACTAGGACAGCAAAACCAAAGACATACACAACATCTACAATAAAATTATTTGGAGCAGTAATTCAGTGAATCCCCAGTAGATGGTTTCAAGACTGTTGTGGTATCTCATCTGTGTGGGAGAAAGCAGAGGGAAGGCAGCTACGGTTCTTAGGACCCTGAGAAGAGGGCATCCCTTAAATTACCCATCTCTACTCATTGGAAAATACAGTGGCCAATCTGAGAAAAGCTGCAAAATATAGAAGAGAGTTCTATCAGATCCAATTCATGGTAAGTACAAAGGAACCATGATGTAATAATGACTGATAATACTTGGAACATTCTGGGGCCTATAAACTCTTCAAACAAAAATGAGGCTCTTTTCCTAGGAAAGGTCTAACATTGGTAAGAAACTTCTGGGAGCAGTTGATCAGAAAAGGAACAATAGTAGAAATAAAAAGAGAACTCCTTGAGAAGTATAATGTTAGAATTCACCAGAAGAGTCAAATCTTGGAAAATACAAGGCCATGTTTTTCATTGCTTTGCAAAAACCAGAATGAGCTCTAGAGTCTTAAATCTTAAAAAAAAAAAAAAAAAAAAGCTATTTCACTGCTCCATTCTAAAACTACAGGGAAATTTATTTCACTTAAAAAATAAGCAGTTAAAAGGATTCTGATTGAAGCCCATATAAAGGTTTTTAAATAAGAAAAAGTATGAGAAGCAGAACTTTCTTAGAAACAATGAAAACATATAAAAGGAGATACCCACAAAGCAAATAAACTGTAATAGAATAGTTGAAAACTGGCTAGAAGAATTTAAGAACATATAAATTATAAGAGTACAACATAAGTCTGAATTTCAAAAACTCAGAAATTTAATAAGAGAAATGTAGGATTTGAAAGGAGGGGTGAAGAACTCAAAAAAGAACTTAACAATAGAAGTACTTCAAAATAAGTACTGCCAATACAATACTGAAGAAAAACTAACTTGTAGAAATTACACTATCCAGTTTCAAGACTTACTGTAAAGCTATAGTAATCCAGACAGCATGATATTTGTGAAAAAATAGACACACACATCAACGGGACAGAATAGCGAGCCCAGAAATAGACCTATGCAAATACAGTTAACTGATTTTTGACAAATGTGTAAAGATAATTCAAGGGAGAAGGAATAATCTTTTCAACAAGTGGTGCTGATACAGAAAAATGAATCTGGATACAAATCTTACATCTTACACAAAATTGAAGTCGAGATGATTCATAGACCTACATGTAAAATGTAAAACTATAAAGAAAATATTTTCAAAACATGTATCTGATAAAGAATTTATATGCAAAATATACAAAGAGATTTAAAAACTCAACAGTAAGCAGATACCACTCTCCCCCTATAAAGGAAAGAAATGGACAAAAGATTCAAATAGGCACTTCATTGAAGAGGATATACAGCTGGCAAGTAAGCATACAAAAACATACTCAACAGCTTCTTTCATTAGGGTGATGCAAATAGGTGTGTAGTGAGATACTACTACACACCTATTACAGTGGTGAAAATTTAAAAAATTGACAATGCTAATTGCTGGTGAGGTGGAGTAACAGGAACTCTCATTCATTGCTGACAGTAATACAAAATGGTACAACCACTTTGGAACACAGTTTAGCAGCTTTTTAAAAAGTTAAACATAGTCTTATACAATCCAGATCTATGGTTGCTAGGGATTCAGAGCAGAAGAGGGAACCGAAAGTTGAATAAAGCACAGTGGGGGATGGTGGGGTTTAGGATGGTAAAACTATGCTATATGATAATGAAATGGTGGATACGTGACACTATGCATTTATCAAAACCTATAAAATTTTACAACACAAAGAGTGAACTATAATGCGTGCAAATTTTTAAAAAGTCATGTAGGAGAGTGGGGTATCCCGGGATGGAATGCAGACTGTGATGAATGTATGCATCAGCGTCACTGAACTTAAGGGAGCAAAGGTGCTGACCTAAGCTGTGGAAATGAGTGGAGTCTGTAAGACTAAAGGCAAAAGGAACTGCACAGAAGAACTGTACTCTAGTTGGTAAAGTTGTTTCCCCTGGGGATATGGGTTAACAGTTCTGAGACACTGTACACGTATACTGGAATTGAACAATAGATGGTGGATGGTGAGGACAGATTTCTTGCTGTTGAAATGGGTGGTTAGAAACAAACAGTGGAGAAAGCTAGAATATGTGGGAATGGACTAGAGTTTGAGACATCAGTATCAACTCATGTTTAGCCTACTGT
This sequence comes from Homo sapiens, assembly GCF_000001405.40. Classification (NCBI taxonomy): domain Eukaryota; kingdom Metazoa; phylum Chordata; class Mammalia; order Primates; family Hominidae; genus Homo; species Homo sapiens. The sequence continues at coordinate 169,236,865 of NC_000005.10, read as the reverse complement.
AGGTACTTTTATTTAATATCAATGAATATATACATAGAAATATTTTTGATACATGTATTTATATGAATTAATATGCAAAAAATATTTCCTTGCTCTGGCTGGGTGTGGTGGCTCACACCTGTTATCCCAGCACTTTTGGAGCCCAAGGTGGGTGGATCATGAGATCAGGAGATTGAGACCATCCTGGCTAACATGGCGAAAACCCGTCTCTACTAAAAATACAACAAATTATCCAGGCATGGTGGCATGTGCCTATAGTCCCAGCTACTCAGGATGCTGAGACAGGAGAATCACTTGAACCCAGGTGGCAGAGGTTGTAGTGAGCCAAGATCACACCACTGCACTCCAGCCTGGGTGACAGGGAGATTCAGTCAAAAAAAAAAAAAACAAAACAAAACACTTTTCTTGCTCTGTCAGCAAGAGGGCCTGGAAGCAACAACACTGGAGTAGCAATGAGCATGCCCAGCACCCAGTTGATGATTTTTAAAATCATTTTCACACAAAAAGGAATTAAAGCGTCTTGGAAAAATGGTTTATTCTAGGACTGAGGCATGTTGTTGTGCCATAAAGGGAGTGCTCAAAACAAAATGTGAAACCCCACAATTTGGGGAGTATGTCAAAAGGACGTAAAAGCAAACAAAGAATTCTTAGTGGCCAAAGCTGGAACAATTTGAGTAACAAAATAATTATTGAATTATTACCAAAGTTTAAATATCCATGAGTCCATACTCACAGAAATAAATGAGTAAATAAATAAATGGAATAAAGAGAAAGATCCCATACAGAAAAATTCTAACTAATTTGTTGTGTAGGTTCTCTGCCCTCTAGGAGATTGAACCTAACTCACTGTTCCTTAAATGTGGACTTCACAGAGACACTTCCTTCGAAAGAGTTCTATGTGAAAAGGGAAGGGAGTGGGCAGTAGCTTTACAATGGAGAAATATGACACACACCACCTTAGCCGTGTGATCAAGGTCAGTGTCAACATTGATAAATCATTTGATAGTATGTACTTTCGATATGATGCAATGAAAATATTACTTTGTATCTGTGATCTTCCTCCCCGAAACCCATCATCTCAGTCTTAAGTGAAAAACATCAGACAAATCTCTATTGAGAAACTTCATAAAAAATACCTGAATAGTCCTCCTCAAAACTGTTAAGGTCATGAAAAACAAGGGAAATCAGAAAAACTGTCACAGCCAAATGGAGCCTGAGGAGACATAATGACTAAATGTAATGTTGTATCCTGGATGGGATGCTGAAATAAACACAGAAAGTAAAAACTAAGAAAATCTGAAAAAAGTATTGACTTTAGTGAATAATAAATGCAACAGGATTGCTTCATTAATTATGACAACTGTATTATATAAGATGTTAATAGGGGAAATTGGGTATGGGCTATATGAGAACTCTCAGTACTATCTTCCCAGCTTTTATGTAAATCAAAATCTATTCTAATATAAAAAGTTTTTATGCTGACCCATGAAACCCTTCTTGATTTACAGACTTACGAGCAAAATAAATGTTTTTTATGCCAAAAATACATACATATATTTTAATCTAGATGGATTTTAAAAAGAAATGGATGAATACTGCTTTAAAAGAAATAGAAGATGGAAAGAGTATTCTTAAGTCAACAAGAAATTAATATAGAGATAAAGGGATTTAAGAGAAAGTGAGAGTTAGGCAAAGAGGTTCTAACAAACTTATAATAGGAATCTCTGAGGAAGAAAACAATGGAACAAAACAAAACTGATAGTACTGATAATTACTATTCAAGAAAATGTTCTTAAAAGATGATTAGAAGGTACCTCGAGGAAGTGCACTGAATGTTTGGAAAAGTCAACTCTGAGGGGTCAAAACAAAATATGTTCTAATAAACTATTACATTTTAAAGGAAAAAGTCCTTAAGCATTCAATCAGAGACTCATAATGAAAGAAAATTGGATTTCTTGCCTACTTTTTGATGCCAAAACCTTATGTCAGAATACAAGTGAATAACCTAAAAAAATAAAATGTGAGCAACAGCATTTATATTTAGCCTTGCTGACATTCAAGTGCAGTGACTGCAGACTACCTATTATGAACATTCAAGAACTTAGGCCTCATGGTGCCCATGGACACTTTCTAAGGAGTCTACAAAGAACAAGCTTCAGGCTGGATGCGGTGACTCACCCATGTAATCCCAGCACTTTGGGAGGCTGAGGTAGGCAGATCACTTCAGGTCAAGAGTTCCAGACCAGCCTGGCCAACCTCGATGAAACCTCGTCTCTACCAAAAATAAAAAAAAAATTAGCCAGGTGTGATGGCACACGCCTGTAGTCCCAGCTACTCAGGCTGAGGCTGGAGAATCACTTGAACCCAGGAGGTGGAGGTTGAGGTGAGCCAAGATTGTGCCACTGCACTCCAGCCTGGGACAGAGTGAGACTGCATCTCAGAAAAAACAAAAACAACAAGCTTCATACAACCGAAAGACTGGAGAGACATTGGTATAGGACAGACACAGTCAACACTTCCAAAAATCCTAGAAGTTGGTGCGGAAATGTGACTGCGTCTGGAATTCTGTGGAATGAGAGTAGAAGTGACATGCCCTTCATGACCCTCCATACTTGTACTCTTTCCCTATGTTGGCTAAATTGACAGCACTCTAAGGAGGATGTAGAGCTACAAAGTAGAAGGATCCAGGGCCCCTGCTGACCTGAATTTGGCTGTGACATGAACAACAAATATACTTTTATTGTTTCAAAAATAAAGATGTAATTAATCACATTAACAGAAGAAATAAGAAAAGTCATTTCCTCTTCTCAGATACTGAAGAAAGTATTTAATAAAATTCAATACTAATTTGTGATTTAAAAGCATTTTACATATTAAGAATAAAAGGGAAATTCTTTACCTAAAAAACCTACAGCAAACATCGAAGTTGATGGTGAAATATTGAAAACGTTTCTCCTAACAGAACTAGACTCCTGCCGTCATAGCTTCTATTAAACACTGTATTGGAAATTCTGGTTCTGGCAATGATTCGAAAAATAGGAAAGGAAGGAAGGGAGAGAAAAGGGAGGGAAGGAGAGAGAGGAGCCAAAAAACCACAGAACCAAGGAAAAAGAATGGATATAAAGATTGGAATAAAACAAATTTAAGTGCCATTATTTAAATGATGGATTACATGAAAAATATAAAATAATCTACACATAAACTATCAGAATTCTTTTTTAAATTTTAAGTTCCGGGGTACGTGTGCGGTATGTGCAGGTTTGTTACATAGGTAAACGTGTGCCATGGTGGCACATTAGATTGTAAATTGTGTTGTTAGGTGCACAAAGGCTGCATGTATCAACCCATCACCTAAGTATTAAGCCCAGCACACGTTAGCTATTCTTCCTAACTATCAGAATTCTTAAGTAGATTTCTAAGGTCACTGGACACAAGGTCAATACACCAAAAAAAAAAAAAAAGACAATTTCTATATACCAACAACAAACAATTGGGAAATTAAAAAAAACTATGTTTACAATAGCACCAAAAAATACCAATGCCGACCGGGCGCGGTGGCTCACGCCTATAATCCCAGCACTTTGGGAAGCCGAGGTGGGCAGATCACGAGGTCTGGAGATCGAGACCATCCTGGCCAAGATGGTGAAACCCCATCTCTACTAGTAATAAAAAATTAGCTGGGCGTGGTGGTGCGCACCTGTAGTCCCAGCTACTCGGGAGGCTGAGGCAGGAGAATCGCTTGAACCCAGGAGGCGGAAGTTGCAGTGAGCCAAGATTGTGCCACTGCATTCCAGCCTGGTGACAGAGCGAGACTCTATCTCAAAATAAATATATATATGTGTATATATACCAGTGCCTAGGAATAAGTCTAATGAAAGATGCACAGGCCTTAACACAGAAAGACAGACATTACTGGAAGAAATTAAAGATGAGTCAAATATATGGAGTGCTGCATGGTGTTCATGTATTGGAATACTTAACATTGCAAATATGGCAACTCTCTCCAAATTGATGGATGGATTCAGGGCAGTCCTAATCAAAATGCCAGCAGCTTGTTGTTGTGGAAATTAAGATGATGCTAAAATTTATATAGGAATGCAAATGACCAAGAAAAGCAAAGACAGTCTAGAAGACCCAGATATAGAAGGATACTTGATTTTTAACAAAGGTGGCTCTGTGAGGCCACCTGGAATGGATGGTCTGTCTAAAAAATTGTGCTAGAGTAATTGGGTAACCATATGGAAAACTTGTTCTGTTGATCCCTACTAATGCCATTCATAAATCAATTACAAGTGGATTTTAGAAAGATAAAGACACTTCTAGAAAATAACAATATTTTTTGGCCGGGAGTGCTGGTTTGTGCCTGTAATCTCAGCACTTAGGGAGGCTGAGGTGAGTGGATCACCTGAGGTCAGGAGTTTGAGACCAGCCTGACCAACATGGCGAAACCCCATCTCTACTAAAAATACAAAAATTAGGCAGGTGTGGTGGCATGTGCCTGTAATCCCAGCTACTTGGGAGGCTGAGGCAGGAGAATCGCTTGAACCCAAGAGGCGGAGGTTGCAGTGAGCCAAGATCGCACCACTGCACCCTAGTCTGGGCAACAGAGCAAGGCTCCATCTCAAAAAAATAACAGAATATTTTCGTGGCCTTGAGGTAGTTGATATTTCATAAGCAAGGCACAGAAGACGCTAAAGAGAAAAGATGATTTGGACTACATTAAAATAAATAATTCGCCAAAATACATTATTGAAAGAACATGTCCCAGAGTGGGTGAAGATATTGGCAGTGCATATAACTGACAAAGGACTTATTTTAGAATTGAGAAGAACTCCTACAAATCAATAAGAAAAAGACAAATGACTCAGTAGAAAAATGGGTGAGAGTTTTGGACACTTCGCAAAAGAAGATAGAGAAGTGGCCAATGATCGTATGAAAAGTTGCTTAGTGTGTCATTAGTCTTTAGGGAAATATAGAATAAAACCACAATGACACATACCACACACTAATTGGAATGGCTAAAACTTACAATATCAAGTGTTGGTGATGAGGTGAAACAACTGCATTTACCATATACTGTTACGGGAGTTATTGATACAGTTACTCTCGAATATGGGCAGTACCAATCAGAGCTGAATGTACATGTACCTTCCACTCTTGGGTACATACCCTACAAAAAGACATACACAGGAATGTTCATATCAGCACTATTTGTAGTAGCCCCAGACTGGAAATAAGCCAAATACTCGTTGACATTAGAATAAATCAATAGACTGTGGTGTATTCATGTAATGGAATTGACTGGTAGAAAAAGAAAACAATGTGCAAAAAAAACTGCTGTCTGTAACCACATGGTAAATCTCAGAAGCATAATCGGGGACAAAAACCGGACATAAAAGAATATATATTACCTGATTCCATTTGTGTAAACTTCAAAAGCAGGCAAAACTAATCTATGGTGTTAAAAGCCGAGGTGGTGTTAAGCAATGGGGAGTTGCGAATGGAGAGGGGCACTAAGGGATTTCTGGGGCGTGTCATCAGCTGTTTCTTGATCTGGGTAGAGGTTTCATGGATCTGTTCAGTTGGTGAACATGCTTCAGGCTGTACAAATTTGATTTGTACATTTTTCTGTACGTGTTATACTTCAAAAAATTTATTTTAAAAAGAGACTCAAGAGACAGATATAACAACCAAATTTCATGCATGGCTCTGACTTGAAGCTGTGAGAAAACCCATACAGATATGGGACATTGCAAACTCCACAGAGACAGTGGTCTCAGCTGGGAAGTGATTTTTTTCCTAATCAATGTTACAATGAAGGGACATTGAAGGAAATGCCATTATTCAAGGATCTGCTGCACTTTAAAATGGTTCAGTAAATAAAATAAAACAAATGTAGCAAAATGAAAATAATTGTTGAATCTAAGTGGTGGATATAGGGATACTCAAAATATATTTATCCTTTTCTGTAAGTTTGACCATTTTCGTGACTGAAAACTTTTTAAGATGCATATTTAAAAAAAAAGTTTTATTTTGGCAGAGGAAAAAATCTGAAAGTCAGATAGTTAAAGAAATTTACCATTCTGAGATTTGAATCCAGGACTGTTCTGAATCCAGGTACCAGGAAAAGAAAACAACCTTCAGGAGTCAGAAGGAGATTGAGATATTGCATTATCCAATTTCCTCCTCTTACAGAAGAGGAAATAGGCTAGAAAGGAATTTGACTTTCATGAAATTTTAATGCGGAGTGCAACGTTTAAAGTTTAAGTTGCCTTGGTGTGTTAGCTCCGTTTTTCCAAAGAACAGAAAAACCATGACGTTTTTAGCTCTAACCCAGAGTTCCATTTACTCTTTCATTAGATGTGAAACAAATAATTAGATTACATATTTAAATGCATATGTGTGGCAAATATATTCTTTTAAATTACTGCAAGAGTTATTTTGCTCCTAGTAGAGAGGAATCGGCTTCTGTTATGTGCGTTATGTTCCTTAGAGGTTTAGTGGGTTCTAGCCTAAGTATGCAGAGATTCAGAGCATGAACTTTAGAGTTAGGATAAACCTGGATTTGAATCTGGATAAATCTTCTCATTTCACTTACCAGTCATGAGATTGCAGGCAACTTTCTTAGCAGCTGCGAGTAACATCTGTTAAATGGGGTTAATCATTGTTCAGTGGAGTTACCTTTTAAAGAGAGACCTGTTTGTAGAGTTAGCATGGAGGATAAAAATAGAATATATTCAAAATGATTGACAGGTATAGCTCCTAGAAACAAGACATGTAGGGCCATGTATACTGAGAAGTACCATTGATTACTGAAATTACACTCCATGAAATGCTTATACAGTGAGCAGCAGATGAGGACTGTGAGACCGAAGGAAGAGCAGATTCACATCCCTCGTCTCAGGGTCATTTGCGGGCACAGGTTCATTGAGAAGAATGGCTGTAGGATCTTCGGCACCTCGAATTTCTCACCTTCTCTTACTCCTTCCCCCTTAATTTTTGCTGGGTGCCTATGCTCAGGTTCACTTACAAGTTAAATGCATGTACGCCATGCCTCCATTAACCCACTTTATGAGGCTCTTATGAGATTACCTATATGAAGTGCTTCATTTTGAGATCGGCACAGCCATCACTCAGTGATTTCAGCACTGCTCCTCTCCCTCATCATCATCACGGCCCAAGAGTGATGAATAAGGAGAGAGAGAGAGAGAGAGAGAGAGAGAAGAATTTATTTGACTAAGTACGCTTTACATTTTTACTCATTGGCTTTAGTCCATCTCTTAGGTCAAACATCCCATGCCAAATACATACCAAACTGGCATTCTTTCCCTGTTCTCCCATCAGAAGCTGCTGAAGCATGCTTCTTCTCATCTGAAAAATGAACTTAATAGTCTTTTATGTCTGATAGGAATGAGGGTGTTGTCAGAAAGTATGTATGTGTTAAAGTACTCTAAAAAGACATACAGACAAAACAATGCGAGTTATCGTTCTTATTTCTATATTACTATCCTTAGTGGGTAAGCCCACATTAATCTGTTGAGAGTTGGGCCTCGCTCTTTCCCCTCAATGTCTTGAAGATCAAAAAAACTAGATTTTAGTTTTGTTTTATTCTTTAGATTCCATTTTTTTGGTAGAATTTGGAAAAAAAAAATAGCTGAAGGATCGACTTCTGCATTTCAAAGCATAACAAGGAGAATTGTTGTGAGCCTGGGTATATGTCAGCCAAGTTTTGAATCTCAAAATGCTTATGTCTCCCTCTCTCTCTCTCTGTCTCTGTCTCTCTCTCAATCTGTGTGTGTGCGCACGGCTTCTCCAAGATGTGGAGGTTTGGAATAAAAATGGTGATTGACCTTTAACGAGAGAGCTGAGAGAACTGCTTCTGTATATTACATGGCTGTGCGCTGGATTTTAAATGTTTGATTAAGTTATTAGAGTGTTTTGCTTTGGCATAATGTACTATAAATTCATGATTTCTGGCCAAAGCAGTTAGTCAGTGGAGAAGAATAAATTATTTTGAGAGGTGCTTCAAAACCAGGATTTTATTCTCTTGGAAAGACAAGGCTTTAAATAAATCACATAATATAAATGAGAATTTCCATAATTAAGGTTCTAACTAGGAAGATTCCTAGGAGCTTTCAGAGCAGGAAAATGAAGGAAGACATTCCAGTATGCTTTAATTCTCATGTTTTAAAAAAATTTGTATTCTGAATGTTCTATTTCGTTTTAGAGGCGCAGAGACCAAAAAGCACCAAACAAGCATACATGAAGTATATGTTGTTAAACACTTTGTCTCCAAGATGTGAGTGCTGTAGGGGGATTGACATGTTAAATGTATTAAAGCAAGTCCAGGAAGGCTCTGGTGTTGCATTGCTTCCAACAGTTTGAGGCCCCTGATGACGGCACCCGTGTCATTACTTAGAGAATTTCTCCGGGCAGTCGTCACTCCTTGTCACCCAGTAATTTCATTTTCTGGCAGCTTTTGTGTTTTCAGAGTATGTTCTCCTGCTTTGGTGACTTTAGAAAATCTCTCTTAAATGGCAGCTCCTCCCCTGGGGAGGCCTTTTTGGCCCTTGACCTCAGGTTCTCTCCCCAATATTCTTCCAGCAGTTTCCTCAAAGTCCCACAGTCGCTCTTCAGCACTGCTAGGTTTTTCTCCCAGGAGCTCCTAAGTAAATAAAATGCAATTAAATATATGTGATTGGTTCTTGTACTGTTTTATTTATGTGATATATGTACACACCAGAGAACTGTATACTGTACAGTGCACAAATGTACCATTTATAATTGATTCAGTAGGGCCATCATAGTCATTTCTAGAAAAAACATGCCATCAGGCCTTCCGTTGGGAACCTGGGCACTTACTTAGACATGTTTCTCTAGGATCAAATAAGATAAAGTTGGAAGATTGCAGAGTGCCCCCACCTGTATTGCCAAAATGCTGATATTTTAGACATCATCTTGAAGATGAGGAGCACAGGCTAAGACCTCAGGCTCCCCCTGCCTGAATCTCAGCTCCTCCTCTGCCAGCTGTGCAGATTTAGGCAAGTGCCTTCATCTCCTCATCTGCGAAAGGGGGTAATAGAAGTATTAGGTTAGTGCAAAGGTAATTGCAGCTTTTGCCATTAAAAATAATGAGAAAGGTCTGGGCGCGGTGGCACGTGCTTGTAATCCCAGAACTTTGGGAGGCCGAGGTGGGCGGATCACCTTGAGGTCACTTTGAGACCAGCCTGGCCAACACGGTGAAACCCTGCCTCTACTAAAAATAGAAAAATTGGCTGGGTGTGGTGGTGCGTGCCTGTAATCCCAGCTACTGGGGAAGCTGAGACAGGAGAATCACTTGAGCCCAGGAGGGGGAGGTTGCAGTAAGCCAAGATCGTGCCACTGTATTCCAGCCTGGGTGACAGAGTGAGACTTTCTAAAAAAACATAATAATGACAAAACCACACTTATTTTTGCACCAACCTAATACCTACGCTGAGTTGTTGAGAGGACTAATTAAGATAACGCATGTAAGGTGTCTAGCAAAGTGCCTGACACAAAGTAAGTCCCCATAATATGCATTAACCATTAACTATATCATCATCCTGATTATCAGATTTAAGTGGCGTAATTTAGTATATAAATCTTGTCCAAGAATGTAAGCAAGTGTAAATTAGAAGACAGACTGTTCAGCTATTCCCTACCTCATGCTTAAGTCTGTGCCTCCCATTCCTATATATGCCAGTGCCCACTAGGGGTGGCCCTGTCTCCTCTGTGTCTTCCACCCCTCCCACTTATCCATTATCTTGTAGACCTGTGGTTGCCTGGAACCCGCCCTTTTCCATGTTAGTGGGTTCCCCAGACACAAACACAGTGTGGGGGCTTTAGTGATAGGACTGAGGGAGGCAGGGCCGAGGGGTGTGAAGTATGCAGACAAAGTCACTGTCAGTCTAGCCTTAGTATATATCTCATTGAGGCATCCCCTTTGGTGCAGATGTTAAAATACCCGCCTCCAGTGTCCCACATTGTAAAACGTAGAAGTGAATCTAGGCCACGATTCTAGCAAAAAACTGAAAGTGAATCTTACCTGAGTCTTTGAGCCTCCTGAGACCCATTGTTACCACCTCTATAGATAGAGACAGAGTAAGAGAAGGGACTGAGGATAATATGGGGTAGGGGTTTTGATTCTGGCCTTAACCTCACCCCTAGAATGCATGAATAATGCTTACATTTATTAAACACCTACTGTGTCTCACACTGTGCTTGGTGCTTTGTGTCTACTGTCTGATTTCATTCTCTGAGCTAGCCTGCAAGGTGGGGACTATTATCAGCATTTGACAGATGAGGAAACAATGTCGGCGAAGGCACCCAATTTGTTTTTAGTCCCGAAGATCAGAGACTGCTACCTGGGACCAAAGCTCAGGCCCCTCTTAGTGTGTTCTAGGCCTTCAGGGACTCTTGTTTTGTGACTGGACTGAGTAGGGGGGTAGTGGGGATCAGGCCACTTTTTGTTCAATCCTGGAAGTGGGAAGGGTCAGGGGAAGAAAAGGGGCTGCAGAGGAGTCGAAGGTCTCCCAAAGGTGTGCCTCAGCAGGAGACTCTCTGACCCAGAAGCCCAGCCATTCAGCTTTGCCCCCCTACTCCTCTCCCCAGTTTCCTGAGAGCTCTGGTTTCTCTCCGGCTCTGTGTCTCCAGAGTGCCTGCTGCCCAGCTGTAAGTGGTTAGTGGGCATAAGGATGGGGATTCCACATCTGTATCGTTACACCCAGGGGCTGGCAGAGACTAAAGTGGGGTATGGAGGGCAGAGATGGGGGAGCTGCCTTCTACGGTTGGCCTTTCCCTCTCCCCTTGCCTGCTTATCCACTGTGCTGATCTCATCCGCGCCATTATCTTCTCTTGCTCAAAGGACTGCAGACCTCCTCTCTTCCCTGTCTGCTTCCACTCTGGCCCCACAGACAATGTACTCCACACTAGAGCAGCCAGAGTGAGCTTCCCAAACACAGACTATGCTTAACACCCTTCCTCAGCTTCCCTTGGCTCTTAGAAACCAAACTTTGGTTCCCTGCCATGGTGCTCAGGGCTCAGTAGCACCTGGCCCCTGGCCCCTGCCTCCCTCTCTAGTGTCACCTCTGCTTTTCCCTCTATTGGGAAATCACCCCCTGCCGCCCACCCCCTGTCTTCTCTTTTGTGGCAACTGCCATTCATTTTTCAGCTCAAAACAGTCACTTCCTCCGGGAAGCCTTCCCTGCCCCTCGGGCGTGGCCCCACTCCAGTCTCATACAGTCTTATGGGGCCTTTGTTAGTGGTGTTGGCTTGGCATCTCTCTCTCTCCTTAGACTATAAGGCCTCTAAGAGGGAAACCACATATTTGTGTGGCCAAAGCACAGTATCACTGGTACCTAGCATCGTGCCTGGCCGGAACCCACACTTGGTGATGTTTGCTGTGAGAGTGAGCAGCGTCCTGCTTTGGAATCCCAGTCAGAGCACTGAGAGAGGGGCAGCCAGACCTGGGAGCTCTGTGTTGCCCCTGCCATTGTCCTTACATCTCCAGTTAGAGAGATTTTGCTGGGTTATTCTTCAGCCTGCTCTTTTCCCACCCACTTGCAGTGGGAGTGGTAAAAATCTAGAAAAACTTCCAGTAGTTACCTTGTGGGGCCACACCCCTGTCCCAGTGATGGACCTGTCTGTAAAACACTTCTTGTAGAGCCTTGGCCTCTCCCTGGTTGTCATACAAGACTTGTCACATAGTGGGTGCTTAGGAAACATTTGCTGAATTCCCAGCAGCCAATTATTTTGAGTATCCTTATTAGTAGGAAGTACTTTTCTCTTATGATGTAATTTACATAAAATATATAGATTTTAAGTGTTACATATTTTAAAGTGTGTATTTAATTTAAAAAATGGGCCAAACGTGGGGGCTCATTCCTGCAATCCCAGCACTTCGGGAGGCCAAGATGGGCGGATCACTTGAGGCCAGGAGCTTGAGACCAGCTTGGCCAATATGGTGAAACCCCATGCCTAAAAATACAAAAATTAGCTGGGCATGGTTGCCGGCACCTGTAGTCCCAGCTTATCGGGAGGATGAAGCATGAGAACAGCTTGAACCCTGGAGGCAGAGGCTGCAGTGAGCCAAGATCGCACCACTGCACTCCAGCCTGGGCAACAGAGTGAGTCTGTCTCCAATAAAGAAAGAATAATAATAATTTTTAAAATGGGCCTGGCTGAGTGCAGTGGCTCATGTCTGTAATCCCAACACTTTGGGAGGCTGAAGTGGGAAGATCACTTGAGCTCAGGAGTTCAAAACCAGTATGGACCACATGGTGAGACCCCATCTCTACAAAAATACAAAAGGTTAGCCACGTGTGGTAGTGCACGCTTGTAGTCTCAGCTACTTGGAAAGTTGAGGTGGGAGGATCACTTGACTCCAGGAGGTCGAGGCTGCAGTGAACCGTGATTTTGCCACTGCACTCCAGACTGAGCAAGACCTAGTCTCAAAAAAAATAAATAAATAAATAAATAATAAAAAATTTTAAATGGACAAACCATTTGGAACCAGGTGGAATAAATACAGTATGTTGGTAAGCTGGGTGATCTCCTATCATAGTAATTTTCTATATGCCATCTAATTTCTGTAGTGATATCCTATTGTATGCCTGACAAATATGTATTTCTTGTTTTAATTCTTACCGTTACTCTATGGAGTGCATATTATCATCCCATTCTACCAGTTAAAAAAAGGACCCAGTGAGCTTAAATGAGACCAAAGTCTCATTGCTGTGAGAAGTGGAGGCAAGATTTGAAAGCAGCTCTCTTTAGCTTCAAAGCTAATGATCTTGCCATTTCCTAATCCGATGTATCTTCTTAAGACTACTTAGTAAAAGACGAGATATGATTACAATGTCAAAAGCCTGTTTCTTTTGTGTACCTTGTACACAGCCTCTAGAGGCAGAAACAAAGGTGAAGGACCCATTTATCAGCCCTCCCCATTGCCTGCAGCCTCCTCCTTTCCCTCCATGATATTCCTGCAGATGGTCCGGAAGACAGATTCACAGGCATTTCTACAGAAACAGATCTCTGAGTCAGCCCTTGGAAAAAAAAAGCAATCTCTTTGCTGGTTTTGTTTTTCTTGGTTGATTTATTTGACAAGGACCCATTTTGTACATCATTTTTGGAATTTCAAAATCTTTTTTATCTCCAAAGGTCTCTCCTAAAAAGCTCAAGGAGAAATAAAAGACAGGCTATGTATATGACTCCAGTGTGATGCTTACTGAAGCCTGAGCCCTGCCTTTGCACTTGGTTTTCTGACCCTCAGATCACCCAGGTTGCAGTATAGAGGCCTGAACAGAGCTAAATCCCATCAGGTAGGAGTCCTGATTTGCACTAATCCCTAACTGCACGTCTCTATCACTTTTGTTTGACTTGGCAGGACACCTACGCTGCTAAACGCCATAGAGGAAGAGCACATGAATTATTCACTTTCTAACAGAGGTTCCTTGGTGAGATTAGGTGTTAGAACCAGCCAGCAAAAGGAAAGGTCCCCAACTCTGGCTGGCTGCAGACTGCAGATTCAGTCACTCGTTCTTTACCTAGAGGTCATAGCATCCCCACTCCAAGGCTTTCTGCAGAGATGCTAGGCTGGTGTTCCTGGGATCTTGGTTTTGGCAACAAGTCATTTACAGAGGTATTTCTCATCCCGGCACATGGTATGTCAGATGCTATCAAAACAGGCACTGAGCTTCCCTGGGAATTCTCTCTGGTTTAACATGTGTTTCAGCTGTGGGAAAAGCACAGGAAAAAAAAATCCGGACTGAATTTACAGTTGCCTTTAATAACCCATGCAGCTAAATTTATTAGGTCACAGTGCCCCTTTGAACTGTGGCATGGAATTTTCCATGTAGCGTCTAGTTTCTCCGGTGAGAAGCAGACCTTCCCATTCGGTTTTGGCCATCTGTCTCCTTGTTGAGTGAACTCCCATGTCTCAGCCATTTTGGTTAACAACCAACTTTGGTCAACGGTGGGCTGGGGAGATTTCACCATGGCTCCTGGTGCTTCTCTCTGGGTGACAATGGCTGAAGTGCTAACCTGCATTCATGTAATGGCTCTGCATATACCAACACTGCATGAAAGGACTGGATCTGGAGACATTCTTCCTAAAGCAAAAATTCTGCATTATGTTTTGCAAGCTAAGCTTTCCTGAGTGCTTTGTTGTTTTACTAAGAGTAAGTTACGGCATAGCTTGTCAGTTTTCTTAGACCCTTCTACTTGAACCAAAAACTGAGGTGTTTTTTTCAGTAGCTTCCAAGTCTCAAGGCCTAGAAATCAAGGAAATAATTTGCTTAGATTAGATCCTGAACTATCTTTTTTTTCTTTCATCACAATCCTGACAAGTAATTGTCACCTGAGATCTAATCAATAATCACCAAATTGATATTGAGCATGTACTGTGTGTACGATTCTTTACTAGCAATGGTGGGAAATATAAAGACACAATGGAGTCTATTGACTTCTGAGTCATTATTTTCCTTCTACGTGCCCCAAGGTGTAGCCAGCATAGTATTTTCATGGATTTTTTTGGTGATGTATGTTAGATACACAGCTTTTCAAATGCATGACCCTACAGATACTTTTGCTTAGGACAAAGATATAGCAGACATTTAAGTAAAAATGAAACAGGAATTAATTCACAGAAATATATTAAATCATACAGATAATACATAGAAAGAATAACAAGGTAGTATGTGAATGATTAAAAATCTCAAAAGCCGCCATCCTAGGTGTACTTCAACACACATCCCCAAGGACCCAAGTCAGTTTATTATTCAAGGAGGTAAGCCAAGGGCTTTTGAGTATTTGACAACACCTGGTCATTAACTTGCATGGCTCAACCACACAGCCAAGCCATAATGGACTTTTAATGAAATTGTTGTCCTGTACATCCTATGTATTTCCCGGTGTCATTAAGATGTAAAGCAATCTCTGTACATCCTATGTATTTCCCAGTATCATTAAGATGTAAAGCAATCTCTGCAACCTTGACTGTCTGGATGAGGCAGAGACATAGTGGGAAGAAAGGAGCTTCTCAGTGAAGTGTGCACATCCCACTCTGTGCATTGGCATTGGAAGAGGGATACCAAGACGTGATGAAAGGCAGACACAGCACTAGGAACTGATGGCTGGCGGGGGAGTCAGAGGAGGAACGGAGGGCGAAGGATGTCTGAAGGCAAGTCACACACCACACATCACCTGAGAGGAGCTGGGGTAGTGACCACCCACCCTTGCAACAGAAGCAGTGAATAAATCCCACCCTGCGCCCCTGGGGGAGCCTAACACCCATTCAGATGTGTAATACTGTTGAGTGCACTGAGTAGACTAACATTGTCTTGGCATCTCTCTGGTGACTAATCTGTGGGCTCCCTGATTTGGTTCTGAGTTAAGTGGTCTTTATGTTCTAATTCTGGTAGCCCTCAACACTGATACATCATGTCCACGATTCTGCCCAGTGTATTGACACTCACATAATGACAGCCTGTTGAATGGGAAGAAACAGTGCATAAACAAAAGAGCCGGAGCCAGAGAGAAAGCACGAATTTTCTGAGCCATATTTGCTCTAATGGAATCATGAGATTTTCTTCTGTTGGTGTGAGCCAGGATTTCAAACCTCAAGTAGATTTGCTCTTGCACTTTGAGCTCTAAAAGAGCTTAAGTTTGATTATACAAAGAAATCAGAAACTAGCACAAAGGCAAAATTGCCTGATAGAGAAAATGGGTTCTGGAATCCTGAGCCCTCACAATGACTGCAGTGGGACCCTATGGGTTAGGGATCTCAGGGGTGTCCCACCCTAAGAAAAAGCCTGAGGGCACATCATGGGGCAAAGCACTTTGTCTCGAGAAACCAGATCAGTTGATTAATACAAAGAGTGAGAGCTGGAAATGGGAGCCAAGTGAAGGGTCAGATGCCAGAAGGGGCTGGTACAGAAGGGAGAAGTTGGGGGGTAGTAGGATTGTATAGATCGAGTGACCTGAAGGACACTGTCCCATGTTGGCTGACACCTGCACCAAGCTTTGGGAGTAGGGTTGGTTTGATGAGCCAGTTTGGAGCAGGCATGTGAGATGACCATATTTCTCTCAGCAAGTTCATGTATTTTTATTGTTACTATTGACTACTTTTGAAATTGAAAGTAGAAGTACATATTCATGGTGCAAAACTCTCAAGGATTAGAAGATAATATAAAAGATAAATATTCCTGCCTTACCCAATTTCTGGTTCCCCTTTCCAAATGTAGCTATTGTCGTCTGTCTTTTATATGCTTCCAGAAATTACTCTTATACAAACTTATGAGAGAGAATATATATGTGTGTGATCTCATATACCAATCAGAGCCAGCCTTATCCATAGTTGGAGAAGAGAATCATTTATTTGGTGTGATTAAAGAAACTCAGGAGGTCCCCTAGCCAAAAAAATACACATCCCCAAGGCCTACTGTAGATTGAATATTTTTCAACCATTTGAGAATTTTCCTTACATTGATTTTTTTAAAACCTAAAAATTTAAGCTTTTTTTTTTTTTTCCATTTGGCTAGGATCCATCTTCCAGTTTGTGAGGAAGAGGGCCTGTTTGCAAGTGAGTTGATTTTAGTATCTTCTCTCTGCCTGAGGATCCCCGCCATGGGACCAGTGGCTATACAGGGCACTGTGGTGTCCAGAGCAATGTGGGGTACCAAGGACAGGGCAGGAGGTGAATGGGAAAGCCATGAGTCAGGTGGCTTGCAAGAATGAGAGTGGTGCTGGGTCTAAAGAGGGGAGCCAGGAGACACTGCTGGAGAACTGGGGGCTGGGACAGGATCCCCATCATTGGGATTGGTCACCTCGTGTGTGAGTGAGCAGACGTGAGCTGAAGACACCGGCATGTAGCAGCGAATCACGGTATCCATGTCTGATTCTGCATCTGTGTCTCACACATAGAATGTCAAGTCTTGCCCACTGGAGACTTTTCGAGATCTCAAAAGGCTTTGAGAGCAATGAAGGAAAAGCCACTCAAGGAACACTCAGCTATGATCATGTTCCTTTGTTGACAGATGCCTGTCTTTATACTTGGGTGATAAACTGCTTCTGCGATTTCATCTTTTGAATTTCCATGTGGCTCTATCTCAGGATAGGAATAGACACCCCGGAATGTGTCACCACTGGCTTCTAGCTGAGGCTGAGTAAGATGAGAAGCCCTCCCTTGGGCAGGGTCATGCATCTGTGGGTCGTGGGGTGAGCCCCTTGCTGCATTCCTCAGCAGGGCCCACCCCTGCCACCTCTGCACAGCTCAGATAGCTCCCCACCCAAACAGGATGGACAGATAGCAGGTAGGTGTTGGTTGATGAAGGCACAGATAAGGTGAGAGGTGCATTCTGCACCTGACAGAAGTCCTGTTTCAGCCACTTACCAGTAGTGTGATGAGTTGTATGACACGTAACTTCAGTTTTCCGAGCTTCAGTTTTATTGTCTGTAAAGCGAGATTAATAATGGTCTGCACCTTCTAGGCATGTTGGGGGATTAAATTAATTAAAACCTACAATGTACTTATAGCACTGGCAGAATGCATTCGAGGAAGGTTAGGAGTTGCTGCTGTTACACTGGAACCTTATTCTGCCTGTCAGCAGAGGCTGTGGTCTGTGCTGGAGGTGGGACAGTCGTCTCCTGTGGTCTTTTTTCTTCTGATAATAAACCACCCCTGGGCAGGGCTGGAGCTGCTTCATGTGTGCCTCTGTCCTGGGGGAATGTGTCCTAAGGCGGCAGCGCTGGTGTGTTTGCTGATCTAATCAGGAGAGAGATTCAGGGTCCATTCTGTTGTTTACATTGGCTCTGGACCTAATCTTGTCTGTCTTGAACTGTAAGTCTAAGAGGATGGGCCAGATCTGATCTGGTTCACATACTGTTGCAGGATTGGAGCCTCCCAACATTTCAGTGATAAATCATTGCAGCTGGAGACCGTGGCTGGGTTGGTGGCAACCTCATCTTAATGTTACCAGTTGTATCCCTTTTTAAACATCTCATTACCTAAAGAGTACTCAGTTGGACCAGCATTCTGCATTCTGCCTTGAACACTGAGTTTTTAACAACCATGGGTAGCATGAATTCAGCAATTACCAGCTGCAAGCTCTGTGTTAACCACATCTATACGCATGATCTTAAGTAAGACTCAGAACTACCCAGTGAGTTAGCTCTGTAAGTCTCCCCCTTTGCCTAGATGAAGAAATGGAGTTTTAGGGGTGTTAAATCACTCGCCTAAGGTCACAGAGCTAGTGAGTGCAGAACCAGAGTTTAGGCAATCTAGCTGCAGAGCTCTAAACTCTCAATCCCTTAATGTTCCCGCCAGTCACCTGGAGATGTGGTTGTGATTGACAGGCAGAGTCAGAATCAGCAGATCTGGGGCATGGCCTGAGGTGCTGAGTTTCTCACAGACTCCTAGAAGATGCTGATGCTGCTGGTCTCTGGCCCATGTTTTGAGTCACAAGGCTCTCAACTAGGCAGCCACATAGCCTTGGCTGGCTTTGTTATCTAGTTTGTTTTGCTGGGTCTAAGGTGTGATATCATGCACAATTGCCTGGCAGCCATCCACTTACCAATTCATGGCGAAGGTGATATCTTGTGGCTTTCCTGAGATAATGATGATTAAGCAAAGATCTGAAGTGACTCAAAAGAATATGGGGACATTTGAAGGACATACAGTAAGCATGCAGCTGGTACAAACAGTCCTTGGTAGAAAGGAGCATGGCCTATGAAAATATCTTCAAGGAAGTCCAAAAGCAGACACCTTCTTCTTTCTTCACTACTCGGAGACCTCCAAAGCATTTTGCAACATGCTCTGCCCATGTTAGGCACTGAATTAAATTTCAAGTTTGGGTGTGAGACGAAAAGGTCTCGCTTTCTGTGAAAGGTCTTGCTTTCTGTGCAACCTCACCCATTTCTTCCTCAGAAATGTCTTAGCTGGACAGCCGGGAAACAGCAGCTGCCATTCCATCTCTGTTCTGTGTGTTTCAGCCAGTGAGGAATATTGTCTTTTTGTCTCAATGATCCTTTTTTACCACATGGTTAATGACCTCCCACCTCTCGGAATTGTGGGTATACTTTGGAAGAGATGTGGCCATAGGTAGGGGTTAGAATCACAGAGCGGCCTGTGTGTTGTATTCATATGCTCATTGATTCAGCAATTACTGGTTCGTTGCCTACTGCAGCAGACACTGGTGTTGAGCGTGCAGTAAAGAACCCAGGAGATAAATGCCCCTGACTTCCAGGAACTTGTGTTGTACCAAGGGCCCCCAGGAACCCCAGGCTGGATCAGGGCCACTAGCTCTTCATTAGACCTGTAGAGTGTTTGTGGCAATGGTGTCATGTTCTCCTGGATTACTACAACATTCAAATATGCTCCCCAAACCCAGTCATCCAACACTGGGGTCCCAATCCCTCAGCCACAAAGTCGAGCCCTGGGATTGCCACGTACTTCAGCTGTGAGCTCCTGGGACCTAGGCATAATTTGCTCTATATTTTCCCCAGGAACTCTGCCCTGCTTACAAGTGGAGAGTGTGTGAATTCTTGAGAGAGTCATTGTCTTTTAATAAGAAGAAAGAAAGAATTCCTTGTTTACACCCTGCTTGCTGTCTTCACACCAATTTATTCACACCCTTGGCTCACAAAAGAACTTAAAGTTTAGCTCCCCAAGGCTGGGGGAAGGGTAGAAAGTCTAAGTTTTTTTTTTTTTTTTTTTTTTAACCTACTCAAGGTCTTGTCCAAACGAGTTGTCACCGAAAAATGAAAGCCAGATGTTATTTTAGTGAGGAATAAATATGTGGCCAAGCTGTGGATTGAACCTGAGGTCTCCCCGGATGGTTTCCATGTGTGTTGGTAGCTGGACTCCCAGGTATCAGTGGCTCACATTCTTTCTCTTGTCTTTTAACTGAAGTACGGCACACACAGATGGCTAATGAGCAATTAACATCCGAGCCACGCATCTCCCCGTAGCAATACCTATCGGCTCATAAGTCGGTTTCAAACCAGCACTGCTGCGGGCTGCTGAATTTGGGATGACAGACATATAAAGACCCACATCCGGAAAAGAGAGAAAAGACAAACTCAGGCTGAAAGTGCTGCCTCCAGCTTCTCAATGAGTTATTTGCTTTTGTTGGGAGCCCTCACATCCTCACAGGTAGCATACCTCAGATAACCATCGAGGAATTACAGATGAAATCAGGGCTCAGGGCAAAGAGTGGCCCTTTGGGGTTTAACATTACAGCACGTTCTTCCCCAAGTCTGATTCAATGGTGAGCTTTTCAGCCAAAGAAAGTGTTTTCGGTAATTGGCCAAATCTCTATAGGAAGACTGCTGAACTTGCTACTGTTTCTATCAGAGCCTTTCTCATCTCTTGGATTTTTCTCACACTTTTCAAGTTCTAGATATAATCCATTGTGCATTAATCTTTGAAACGTGTCAGGTGGGTATTAGAACTTCCTTGGAGGCCAGAAAAATGGTGAGAGAAGGGAAAAGGGACGGAATGGAGCTCAAAGGGTCACTGGGGCCCAGAGCAGAGATGAATCCATTGGACACAGGAAAGCAGTGTCAGACCTGGAGATGGTGGATAAGGGAATTAGAGAGTTAGGTGAGCAGGTGATCTGCACTAGCCACCTGACCCCTGGCTGGTGGCACAGTGTGTGAGCTGATCAGGGCAGGTGGGAGGCATGGATTCAGGCCAGTCATGACAACTTTGGCAGAAGGAGGCCAACCCAGGGGCTGGATTCCAGGCACTGAGTGAGGGTCTCTAGGAAAAGAGGAATTGGCCAAGGGCAAGGCACAGCCCTGTCTTTAAGAAACCCCTCTAAGATTTCTTCCTATGTAAATTAGGGATAATAATAGGCATGAACTCTCATAATAGGTTTGAACTATCATAGGTTATTTTGAGCATGAAATAAATTAATCAATGTAAAATGTTTAAAAGAGTGGTACTCCATAAATATTATGATGATGATAAAGGGCTTTAGACATGAGGGAACAAGAAAAGACAATTCCTAAAATAGGAATTTCATTCTAGGAAAGAAGTTTTTCAAACAAGGTTAGCACTTGGCCTTTGAAATGTATCATTTATTTATTCAAATATTTATTCAATCTTTCCTTCTTTATTCAGGAAATCTTTAGGAGCTCCTTTGATGTACAAAGCATTCTGATCGGGCCAGGGAGATGGGCAGGGGATGGCAAGCAGCAGCCATGGGCCAAATTTGGCCCACTGCCTGCTTTTATAAATAAAGTTTTATTGGAACTCAGCCACACTCATTTATTGATGTATTGTTTATGGTTGCTTTTGCACTCCTTCAGCAGAATTGAGTAATGTTGACAGACACCATGGAGCCTACAAAGCCCAGAGTAATTACTGTTTGGCTCTTTACAGAAAGGGTTTCCTAGCCTTCATTCACTCTGTGATGAAAGAAACAAATAAATAGAAAATTATAGTAAAATAATGACAGAGGACTCTGGGAGTAGACAGGAGGATCAGACAGACTTCCTAGAATGGATGCCCTCTCAGCTGAGACCTAGAGGCTGAACTGGAGTTAATAAAGTAGAGGAGAAGGAAAAAGTATTCCAGATAGAACAACATCAGCAAAGGCCCAGAGGTGAGAGAGTGCGAGTTACGTTCAAGAACTAAAGGAAGTTCGTCATGGCTGGGGGGCAGAGGACAGATGACACAAAGCTTTCCAGGTAGGATTAAAACATTTCGATGATTTCCTGAGGGCAATGGGGAGCTACTGAAGGATTTCCAGCAGGAAAACAACATAATTAAGTTTGTATTATAGGGAGATCATTCTTTCTGCAATAAAGGTGGATTTAAGGCTTAAGTGGAAGGGTGAGGAGCGAGACTGGAGGCAAGGAGGTGCCCCTTTCAGTAATGCGGAGGGAAGATGGCAGCCTGGACCAGGGGAACGGCCATACAGTTAGGAGAAGGGGATTGTTTGGAGACATATTTAAAGATGCATACCTCATGGCATACAGCGATTGATTGCACATCATGAGTGTCAAGTGAAAAGGAGGGAAGCATGAGCCCTTGCTCAGAGCTATTCTCTGAGATGGGGACCAGGTTGGGGATGGAAGGAGATGACAGTGTCCATGGTGAACATGCCTTTGGGATACCCACAGGAGATGTCACGTTGGATTCATTGCAGAGCAGCATATCCCTTTCACTTTACTCTTGAAGACAATTAGGGAGTCTCCGTTAAATGTTGGGTAATACCCAGGTTCAGTATACTGGTGTTAAAGAACTCCACCCACTTCCACCACCACCATCCCCTCTACCCACCTTTTCACACACGGATTTGCCGCACCTCCCCTTTGGGAACTTTATTTGCCTCTCCAGAGGGCCCTCCCAGTCACCCTGGCCTCCTCCCAGTTTCCCAGACAAGCCTTGGTTGTTGCCACTTCCTCACTGCGGTTCCTGGGTTTTCCTCTGCCTCTTTTCTCTTTCCACATCCCAATTCCCCTTTAAGGCCCTTGTGGGAGCTGTTATAATTACTGCCTCACACAGTGCTTTCTCCTGAGCCCTGACTTCTGCTGCCTGCTGCCTTAGAGCAAACTCTGCATGGGACATCTTCTTTCCCCCTTGATGGGCTCTCCATGAAGCGGGTGTTGTCAACTTACTTGGAACCAGATATTGAGCACTTATTTTATATCAGGCAGAATACAGAGCCACTTATATGATTTCAATTAATTCTTACAACTCCCTTGGGAAGGAGGTGTTTGTCTTCTTTCCATTTAACAGATGAGAAGACTGAGACTTGATGAGTTTAGTCAATTGTTCTGAGTAGTAAATGACAGACTCTCCCAATGCTCATGGCTTAGCTCTCACCACCAAGTGGATGATGCCTGCTGTCTCTTTGAACTTGACCTATTACTTGCCATCTTGGTACCTTCGTTTGGCCACTCTTACTTTATTCCACACCTCTTTCTCCTTCCAAGCTTCTGAGTCTGTCAAAGCCATCACTATTATGCACATTTTTCTAGAACAGAAGCCTGGCTATTTCTTTGATTCATTTATTTAACAAATATTTATTGTGTCATGTGCCAGGCACTGTTCTTAGTTCTGGGGATATAGTAGGAAGAGAAAAAAGTTTTTACCCACATGGAATTTATATTCTAGTGGGAGACCATAGACAGTAAACAAAACAAGTAAAATGTGTAATAGGTCAGATCATCACTTGGAAAAAATTAAGCAGGGGAGTGAGTCAGAGAGCTCAGGAATGGAGTTGCAGTTTTAATGGGATGGTCAAGGAAGATCTCCTGGAGGAAGGGATATTTGAAGAGAGATCTGAAGAAAGTGAAGATGTCAGCTCTAGTTTGAAGTCAGATAGCATGATGCCTCCAGCTTTGTTCTTTTTGCTTAGGATTGTCTTGGCTATGCAGGCTCTTTTTTGGTTCTATATGAAGTTTAAAGTAGTTTTTTCCAATTCTGTGAAGAAAGCCAATGGCAGCTTGATAGGGATAGCATTGAATCTATAAATTACTTTCTCCTATCCATGAGCATGGATGTTTTTTTCTTTTATTTGTGTCCTCTTATTTTCTTGAGCAGTGGTTTCTGGTTCTCCTTGAAGAGGGCCTTCACAACCCTTGTAAGTTGTATTCCTAGGTATTTTTTTTCTCTTAGTAGCAATTGTGAGTGGGAGTTCACTCATGATTTGGCTCTCTCTTTGTCTGTTATTGGTGTATAGGAATGCTTGTGATTTTTGCACATTGATTTTGTATCCTGAGACTTTACTGAAGTTGCTTCAGCTTAAGGAGATATTGGGCTGAGATGGTGAAGTTTTCTAAATATACAATCATGTCATCTGCAAACAGAGGCTACAGTAACCAAAACAGATATATAGACCAATGGAACAGAACAGAGGCCTCAGAAATAACTCCACACATATACAAACATCTGAGCTTTGACAAACCTAACAAAGACAAGCAATGGGGAAATGATTCCCTATTTAATAAATGGTGTTAGGAAAACTGGCTAGCCATATGCAGAAAACTGAAACTGGACGCCTTCCTTATACCTTAGACAAAAATTAAGATGGATTAAAGACTTAAGCAAAAATTAAGATGGATTAAAGACTTAAACATTAGACCTAAAACCATAAAAACCCTGCAAGAAAACTTAGGCAATATGATTCAGGACATAGGCATGGGCAAAGACTTCATGTCTAAAACACCATGTCTAAAGCAATGGCAACAAAAGCCAAAATTGACAAATGGGATCTAATTAAACTAAAGAGCTTCTGCACAGCAAAAGAAACTATCAGAGTGAACAGGCAACCTACAGAATGGGAGAAAATTTTTGCAATATATCCATCTGACAAAGGGCTAATATCCAGAATCTACAAAGAACTTAAATTTACAAGAAAAAAAAACATACAACCCCAACAAAAAGTGGGCAAAGGATATGAACAGACGCTTCTCAAAAGAAGACATTTATGCAGCCAACAAACATGAAAAAAAGCTCATCATCACTGGTCATTTAGAGAAATGCAAATAAAAACCACAGTGAGATACCATCTCATGCCAGTTAGAATGGTGATCATTAAAAAGTCAGGAAACAACAGGTGCTGGAGAGGATGTGGAGAAATAAGAACACTTACACTGTTGGGGGGAGTGTAAATTAGTTCCACCATTGTGGAAGACAGTGTGGTGACTCCTCAAGGATCTAGAACTAGAAATACCATTTGACCCAGCAATCCCATTACTGGGTATATACCCAAAGGATTATAAATCATTCTACTATAAAGACACA
The DNA here is from genome assembly GCF_000001405.40 of Homo sapiens. Classification (NCBI taxonomy): domain Eukaryota; kingdom Metazoa; phylum Chordata; class Mammalia; order Primates; family Hominidae; genus Homo; species Homo sapiens. The sequence goes on along the minus strand of NC_000005.10, from coordinate 169,212,090 downwards.
TGCACATGTATGTTTATTGCAGCACTATTCACAATAGCAAAGACTTGGCCCCAACCCAAATATCCATCAATGATACACTGGATAAAGAAAATACACCATGGAATACTATGCAGCCATAAAAAAGGATGAGTTGATGTCTTTTGCAGGAATATGGATGAAGCTGGAAACCATCTCAGCAAACTAACATAAGAACAGAAAACCAAACACCACATGTTCTCACTCATAAATGGGAGTTGAACAATGAGAACACATGGACACAGGGAGGGGAACATCACACACGGGCCGTCTGGGGACGGGGGGCTAGGGGAGGGATAGCATTAGGAGAAGTACCTAGTGTAGGTGACAGTTCAATGGGTGCGGGAACCCCCCAAGGCACGTGTATACCTATGTAACAAAACTGCACATTCTGCACATGTACCCCAGAATGTAAAGTATAATAATAAAAATATGCCAGCTACTTAGACATGTTTTCTAGGAATAAAAAAGGAAGAGGCCCAAAGGAAGGTGCACCCTAATGTGTTCCAGGAGTAGCAGGTAAAGCCACATGGCTGGAGTAGAGTGAGAGAGTAGGAGAGTGGTAGGAGGTGAATTTTGAGGGGTAACGGGATAGGGAGATGGACAGATCATGTAGGGATATATGGCCCATTGTAAGCACTTAGACTTTTACTCTGAGTGATGTGGGAGCAACTGAGGGGCTTTTGAGCAAAGGAATTACCTGATTAACATGGGTTTTAAAACGTTCACTCTAGCTGCTCATGGAAAATAGGATGTAGGAGCAAAAGCAGAAACAGGGGAACCAGTCATGAGACCCCAATCCCTCCTCCTCTGCATTACTCAGTTTTCCTTTCTAGCCAGACAACCTCAGAATCTCAGCGGCTTACAAAAATAAGCATTTATTTTCTTTGTATATGGGTCATGGGTTGGCTGGGTTTGGCTGTTTCAGATGGTCTTAGCTGGGCTCAGTTGGGTTTGGATTCAGGCTGTGATTTGGGTTCAGGAATATCCTTGTGACTTCTCCTTCTATTTGGGTTCTTGGCTATCAAAGGCATATTTTTTGATGGCAAATGAAATAAGAGATGAGATCAAGCCAAGTCACTCAAGCACATTTAAAATCTCTGCTCACATCACACTCACACCAACCTTCTGTTAACCAAATCAAGTTACATGGCCACACCCAACATCAATGGAACATGGAAATATATACTTCCCACTTTAATGGAAGATACTGCAAAATCACACGGCCAAACCCTTGGGTGTATAATTCTACTAGTGTGCGGAAGAATTGGAAACAATGAACCAGTTTCCACGCCCTGTCTCTATTCTAACTGTCTTCATCCCATTTGCCACTAAGTTTTGCCTTGTCTCCTGTTTCTCCTCTTACTTTGATTCATTCATTCCTACCTCTGGTCCCCTTTGACTCACACAACGGTCTTTGTCATGTTCAACTCCAGTTTCACCCCCACCACCCAACACATTCTGCATACCACTGCCCAAGTTCTCTTCCTACTAACTGACTTTCTTCATGCCAGTCCTTCCCAGGAAACTTCAGTGACCAGCTGCTGAGCAACACATCATTTTCCAAGTGCCAGTACATTCTATACCTTCTTCATGGTTTTTGTCAATTCATGCAACACCTTTACTCAAATTATTTTCTTTAATTTGACTTTAAGTCAACTTCCTTTCTTTTTCCTTGGCCTCTCTTTAATAATGACCATGAGAGAGTTACGCATTTTTGTAAAAACATAAAAAATATAATGCAAGTAAATTTTTTTGTGCATTTATTTGCCCTCTGAAATCTTGAGAGATTGGACAACTGCATTTTGGAACCCGCTGGCTTCCCACAAGGCCCCATACCTTCATCCTACCTGTCTGGCCTTACCTCTCATTTCTCTCTATGTCCGTTGCCTGGGTCATGATGCACCCCTCACTGTGGACTGCCCTGGGTAGCTATCTGCCATAGCGATTTCTCCCACAGCTTCTGTGTTTTGTGGCACACATCACATGTTCACACGGGGCTTATCTTGCTTATCTTATTCTGCTGCTAGATTGCAAGTTCCTTAAGGAGGAGGTCTTACTGAATTTTGTATCTCAGAGTATGATGCAGAATAGGCACTTAGTAGACATTGAATTTTATAATTTTTTTTTATTATACTTTAAGTTCTGGTATACATGTGCAGAACGTGCAGGTTTGTTACATAGGTATACGTGTGCCATAGTGGTTTGCTGCACCCCGTCAAACCATCTTCTACATTGGGTATTTCTCTTAATGCTATCCCTCCCCTTGCCCCCTACCCCCGACAGATCCTGGTGTGTGAGGTTCCCCTTGCTATGTCCATGTGTTCTCGTTGTTCAACTCCCAATTATGAGTGAGAACATGTGGTGTTTGGTTTTCTGTTCCTGGGTTAGCTTGCTGAGAATGATGGTTTCCAGCTTCATCCATGTCCCTGCAAAGGATGTGAACTAATCCTTTTCTATGGCTGCATAGTATTCCACATGTGGCATATATGCCACCTTTTCTTTATCCAGTGTACCATTGATGGGCATTTGGGTTGGTTCCAAGTCTTTGCTATTGTGAATAGTGCTGCAATAAACATACATGTGCATGTGTCTTTATAGTTGAATGATTTATAATTCTTTGGGTGTATACTCAGTAATGGGATTGCTAAGTGAAATCTGGTTCTAGATCCTTGAGGAATCGCCACATTGTCTTCCACAATGGTGGAACTAATTTACACTCCCACCAACGTGTAAAAGTGTTCCTATTTCTCCATATCCTTTTTAGCATCTATGGTTTCCTGACTTTTTAGTGATCGCCATTCTAAGTGATGTGAGATGGTATCTCATTGTGGTTTTGATTTGCATTTCTCTAATGACCAGTGATGATGAGCTTTTTTTCATATGTTTGTTGGCTGCATAAATGTCTTCTTTTGAGAAGTATCTGTCCATATCCTTCGCCTACTTTTTGATGGGGTTGTATGTTTTCTTCTTGTAAATTTAAGTTCTTTGTAGATTCTGAATATTAGCCCTTTGTCAGATGGATAGATTGTAAACATTTTCTCCCATTCTGTAAGTTGCCTGTTCACTCTGATGATAGTTTCTTTTGCTCTTCAGAAGCACTTTAGTTTAATTAGATCCCATTTGTCAATTTTGGCTTTTATTGCCATTGCTTTTGGTGTTTTAGACATTAACTCTTTGCCCATGCCTATCTCCTGAATTGTATTGCCTAGGTTTTCTTGTAGGGTTTTTATGGTTTTAGGGCTAACACTTAAGTCTTTAATCCATCTTAATTTTTAAGTCTTTAATCCATCTTAATTTTTGTCTAAGGTATAAGGAAGGGGTCCAGTTTCAGTTTTCTGCATATGACTAGCCAGTTTTCCCAATACCACTTATTAAATAGGGAATCATTTCCCCATTGCTTGTTTTTGTTAGGTTTGTCAACGTTCAGATGGTTGTAGATGTGTGGAGTTATTTCTGAGGCCTCTGTTCTGTTCCATTGGTCTATATATCTGTTTTGGTACCAGTACCATGCTGTTTTGGTTACTGTAGCCTATTAGTGTAGTTTGAAGTCAGGTAGCATGATGCCTCCAGCTTTGTTCTCTTTGCTTGGGATTTTCTTGGCTATACAGGCTCTTTTTTGCGTTCCATATGAAATTTAAAGTAGTGAACTCCCATTCACAATTGCAACCAAGTGAATAAAATATCTAGGAATACCACTAACAAGGAATGTGAAGGACCTCTGCAAGGAGAACTACAAACCACTGCTCAAGGAAATAAGAAAGGATACAAATAGGAAAACATTCCATGCTCATGGATAGGAAGAATCAGTATTGTGAAAATGGCCCTACTGCCAAAGTAATAATATGTAGATTCAATGCTATTCCCATCAAGCTACCCAATGACTTTCTTCACAGAATATGAATTTCTTAATTTATAAGTAAGCAACTGGAATTTTGATGTTTCAAAACACTACTATGAATTCTTTGAGGCAGATCTTTCCTTTTCTTTTTTTTCTTCCCTGTTTGCCCCCAGGTAAGCAAACAGTAGGTGCTTGTTAAATTTGACATAAGAATTGTGTAGTCTTAGTCCATTCCAGCTGCTATAACAAAATAGCATACTCTGGGTGGCTTATAAATAAATAAGGGGAAGTCCAAGATCAAGGAAGGTGCCAGTATACTTGGTGTCTGGTGAGGACCCACTTTCTGGTCATAGATGGCGCCTTCTAGCTTATGTGCTCACATTGTGGAAGATGCAAGGAAGCACTAATCCCATTCATGAGGGCTCCACCCTCATGGCCCAGTCACCGCCCAAAGGTCCCACCTCCAAATGCCATCATCTCAGTGGTTGAATTTTGAATGTGAATTTTAGTGGGGGAAGGACAGAAACATTTGGACCATAGCACAGGGGAACACAAGAAGGCAGCTAAGATGGATAATGAACAGTGATGATAATTCAGGTCATTTAGCCGTTCTTAGTTCTTTTAAGCCTAAGCTGAGTTTGAACATCAAACACATCATGATTTTGGTTATTGAAGGCACAAGAGTGTGAATGTGGAGCCCTTTGCCTTCATCCACAATTGAAAATATGTTATTTGTGTTAGGTAACTACCTCTGTTCATCCTATACTGGCTCTAACTTGGAGATGACGTTGAATTCTTTTCAGGATGGACTTGGTGCCGTGTGTGTGTGTGTGTGTGTGTGTGTGTGTGTGTGTGTGTGTGTGTATGTATGTGTATGTAAAACAGAGAAAGATAGTGGTCCAGAGGCCAACACACCTGGAATCTATTTGTGAGGGTCCCTGCTTCAGTCCACGAATTGGGCCATTCATTTATTTCTCAGTAAGTGAACATCTGGGATTCAGTTTGAAACGCCAATAAGTTTGGATGGGATCGCAAAGCTGTGGTTGGGATGTGGAACTGCTCGCCTGAGGTGGGAGTGAGCGAGGTGAGCGGGGGCTCTTAAACTATTTCTGCAGACTTCAGTTCAAATGCAATAGCCAGAGGGTTGAGAAATCCTTCCCGTGCTGGAAAAGCATTAAAAAAAAAAAAAGAATAAGGAAAAGATTCAATCAGATCGAAGTGACAATGCAATCTGAAAAGTGCCCCTTTCCCCCTTTTACCCAGCTCCCTTTCCATCCTACAGTTCTCATATTATCCAGGTATCTTCCTTTTCTAGCAAAAGAAAAAAAATAACAAAAAAACCTTGGACCTGAATCGGGAAGAAATGCTATGAGAAAATAAAAATTCTAATTAGTTATAGATGAGAATTGGTCACAGATAATTATTCTACGTTCTTTGGCTTATGCCAGAAAAGGCTTAAAAGAACTTTTTTTGTTGTTGCTGTATATGTAAATGTAGATGTAAATGCCTAGATAAACACACAGAGAGGCACACCATCATTAAGAGATCTTGCAGATTTTGAGTGTTTAGAACAAAAATGAAAGAGAAATTTGTCATTCACAAACTAGGAATGTTTGAATCGTTTACTGTCAGGACTTTGTCACTTTGAACTAACTCAAAACAAAAGAAAAGGCCAATGGGTTCAAACAGGATCATTTTAAACAGTACACTTCCAGAAAATTTGTGCTGAGTTGTACCTGCCCTCCCTGATATCTACTAGCTAGAGTATTTCTATTTCAATTTGCATCTGGCAGTTTCCTACCTGTGAGTCGAAGGGGTTGGAGACCTAGATGAAAGGCCTAGAATAACCCAGAGAGAACATGGAGAATCTGTGGTGGGCTGTGCTCATGCCATCTGATTTAGAACCAGCTTTGCTGCATTGTTTTGGGGGTCTTAAAAGGGGAAAAAATCCTAATAGCTGCCTGAAGTATTTTTCTCTTAATTCCTCATAGAAATGAGTAGATATTAACCACAGGCTGCCCAAGGCATGCTTAATGTCTTGATGGAGCGTGCTTTTGCAGAGTGTTGCTAACGCATTCTCAGTCCCTCTTCCCTGCCCCCAACATAGCCCTGCCATATTTATTCCCAGGCAGCATGGAAAAAGAGAAAGTTAGCTTTTGGGGGCAATCTGCTTTTTCCTTTTATTAATTGCACCCCTCACTCTTCTCATATAGAAACCTTATGTGGATGTCCCACCTGGTGTAAGAATGCTTGCCCTGACTCTGGCTTCACTCTGTTCTGAAGCTGCCTCTGCTTCTCTCACCCTACTGCACAGAACTGCTGGCATGAGCCTCTTGCTCCAAGCTCTCAGGACCCTCTTTCAAGCAGTATGGGTCAAAGTGTTTGATTTGTGCTACTGTGATTGTGACTGTTCAGTAACCTGGTTGCGATACTCTGGAAGGTGCCTAATGAAATACTCTAGTTTTAACAGCTGAAGTGAAATAGCCAGCACAGGGGGCTTGGGCAGCAGCACGCAACTTATAGCACTTTCAGTTCTTCACAAAGTTTGCCCCCTTTGGCTCATCTGTTCCTCAGTAATTCTGTTAGATAAGTGGAGTAGATATTCACTCATTTAGTCATTCAACCAACCAATGAACCAACCAACCGATGAACCAACCAACTAACCAACAAGTATTTATTGAGCACCTACTAGTTGCCAGGCTCAAGTGGCAGTGAACAAAACAGACAAAAATCTTCTCATGGCACTACACATTTGAATGGATATCCTAGTAGGTATCATTATGCCCATTTTCACATGAAGAAACCAAGGCATAGGGAGATTAAATCCTAAGGCCATGCAGTACATTAAAATTCAAATATTCTCTCCAGCTCTCAGAATAAGGAGAATAGAATAGGTCATCTTAGGACTCATCTCATCCAACCCACTGATTCTGTTGATGGAGGAAACCAGGGCTGTGGTTTACATGGAGTTGCATAGCTCTAGGGCAGAGCTAGAATTATATAGCACAGCCTTCCTAAGCCCCAGCGCCATGCCCTGTCCAAGAGTTCTTAGACCCTGCAGAGGCATATAATTCATAGACTTTGTCGTTTGTCACCATTCCTCACCCGCTTAATGAGGCCCCCTCCCTCATTACTCAGCATAGATTTCATGGCTCATTTTCATAATTGCTCTCAGCACATTCCCTCAATTCCTGGGCCCCTCTCTTCCTCCATCATAGTTGCCTGGAAACGCCCTAACCTTGGCTGAATTCAGCCTTCTATTGTTTGCACCCTCTCACCCAGGGGACTTGAATGTTGCTGAAGAAACACACACACTTCTGTGGACGAATCTCACTTACAGCTCATGACCACTAACCTCAAATGGGCATTGGCTGCCGCCCGGCAACCCTCCAGCCTTTCCTAAGCAGCGATGTCTCACCTTTCCTTCTCAGTCATCATACCTCCTCATCTCTCCCTGGCCTCTGCTGAGAATCTGGCTTTGTTTTTCACTGAGGAAACAGAAGTGGTCAGAAGAGACCCTCCACAGACACCCACCACCACATCTGCCACCCCCCGTCCCCTGACTTCTGCCTTCCCGCTGTTGCCACAGGTGACCCGTCTCTGGCCCTGCCAAAGGCCACTGCCATCCCTTTGCACTGGGATTACCTCTGTTGCCTGTTCAGGAGCTTCACTCTAAAATTTTTCTCCTCTCTCCCCTGAATCATCAATGTGCCTCGCTCCTATGTCATTCTTATCAGCACTGAAGCATGTCACGATTTCCTCCATCTTAAACAATAAAACCCGACTTGACCACATTCTCTCCTAGCTATCAACCCGTTTTCTCTCCTCCTTTATTTTGGACGTCTCAACATCATTGTTCCTTTTTATTTTCCCCCACTCTTTTTTGAACCACTCCTGCTAATAGGTCATGCCCATCTTTGGACCAAGCAACTCTTTGCAGGGTCACCAGTGGGCTCTTCATTGCCCAACCCAATGTTATCCTCATCTTTCTCTGTGTCTCAGCAGAAGTTGGCTAACCAGTTCCTCCCTCCCTCCCTATCTCCCTCCTTTCTTGAAACTCTCCCTTCACTTGGCCTTCACAACTATGCTCTCTCTTGCTTCTCCCCCACCACACTGGGGGCTGTTTCCTCCTCTCTCTGGCTCGTGTAGCCCAGAACTCAGTCCACACTCCTCTTGCCTTGTCTTCATCTCCCACGGTAACCACATCCAAGTTCATGGCTTTAAATTACCACCTACATCTCTCTATCTTGGTCTTATCCCTGAGTGCCCCATATGTGTATATCCAATCATCTGTTGGGCATCTATAATTGGGAATATTTGTAGGCATATCAAATTTAACATATCCAAATCTGCCCCCAACCCCCTGCTCTACCCACAGTCTTCCCCCATCTTGGCTAACAGTAGTTCCAAAGTTTTAGATGCACAGGCCAAAATATCAGCCTCATCCTTGACTCCCCTTTTCTCTCTTGCCTTGCCTCCAATCCATCAGCAAATCCTGTCTGCTCTACCCTCAAATTATTTATAGAATTTGACTACTTCTTAACACCTCTGCGGCTGTTATCCTGGTAGCAGGGTAAAGAGCATTCCCAGAGAAGGGAAGAGCATGTGCAAAAACTCTGATCCGGGGAAAGCTGCAAGAGTAGAAAATCTCAAAAGAGATCCAGGAGTGATTCTTGAATCTGGGGAGTTGTCTGCTTTCTTGGCCGCATTGTGAGATGTCATGGGGAAGAGGTCACTATAGGGATGCAGCTTTGGTGATTGCCAAGTGGTCTGACTGCCTGAAATGGATCTGGCCAGCTCTGAAGTTATAAATGACTATTAACTTGCATGTACATTATTATCTGCTGTGTGTGTGTGTGTGTGTGTGTGTGTGTGTGTGTGTGCACATTCACATGCACGCATAAATATGTGCTTTCTTCCACCCTAGATATGTTTTCTTGGAGTCTGAGCCCTAGTGTACTAATATATACCCTTGTACAATCTTCTGGGGCTCCCCAGAGACCCATGCCCTTGACTTTAGTCCTAGATAAAGCAACCTATTGGCTACGGCCTCTGGGGTTCCCCTGCATTGTTCTGGGCAAAATTTACTTAGGCCTGTGAGTCAGCCATCCTGGAACTAGAGGACTCACAGTGCCTTTTGGCCCATTCTCTGCAGAACCAGTGATTTTCCACCTCTGTGTAGACAGGACTCTTGTCCATCTTCTCCCTCACCCCCTTCGTTTCTCCTGAAATCAAGATCTTCTGGATGCAGGGGCATTTGTGGGCATCAGGGGCATATGGGAGTAGCCAGGGCAGGGGTCAGAGGCAAGGCAGGCTCAGGCCATTATGTACTCTACATTTCCCTAACAGCCATGTCATTGGAGAAAAAGTAATCCAATGTGAGGTACAGGAAAGGTCAAAAGAGATTGTTTGGTATGTGTGTGTTGCGGGCAGGGGTGGGGTGGGGGGGCTTTGTGCTTGTTTTCTTTTCATACTTGAGTCCTGAGCTGGATCTCAGTAGGATGTGATCCTGACCAAGCTCCCAGAGTTCTCTATAACCACATAAATAGGGCAAGGATTTCCTGAGACTCTCATAGCCTTCTTCTGAAACCAGAGAGGCATGGCCGGCAAATATTCCTTGTTTCTATCCTCCCTGCTGGGATTATTGGGCATCCTTCTGTCAACCAAGGCTCCAAAAAGTTAGAGAAGCAGAATGGCAAGGGGGTTAAAATCACAGGTTTTAGTGTCCAAGAGACCTCTGTTCAAGCCTTAAGTTTGGGCTGTGTGGTTTTGGAAAAGCTACATAACCTTGCTGTGCCTCAGTTTCCTTATCTTAATGACTGTAACAGTGTCTGCTTCAAGAGTTTCTTTAAGGACGAAGTGAGATAATACAGATAAAACACCTAACACAACACTTAGCTCATAGTAGTAAGTGCCCTATGTGAACATAAAAAAGGAAGGAAGGATGGATAGATGGACAAGGACAGAGATTTTTATTTTATTTTATTTTATTTATTTATTTTTGAAATAGGCTCTTGTTCTGTTGCATAGGCTGGAGTGCAGTGGGATGATCTTGGCTCACTGCAACCTCCACCTCCCAAGCTTAAGCAATCCTCCCACCCAGCCTCCTGAGTAGCTGTGACTATAGGTGTGTGGCACCATGCTCAGCTAATTCTTTGGATTTTTTGTAGAGATGAGGTTTCACTATATTTCCCAGGCTGCTCTCAAACTTCTGGACTCAAGCAATCCTCCTGCTTTGGCCTCCCAAAGTGCCAGGACTGTAGGCATGAGACACTGCACCTGGCTGACAAAGAGATCTGTGCTGTTTTGATGCTTAAGGCATACTGGTGGTTAAGATAGTCCTCAACAAAATATCCAAGTGTTCCTGTAGATTTCCCAGCTTCCTTTGCAGCTAGGTTTGTGCCATGTGACTAGTTCTGGCCAATCATGTGAGAAGTGGTATGAGTCACTGCTGGGTCAAGGGAGTTAAGAGCTGATGTACTTCCTCCTTCCTTCTCTTCCCCTGGCACAGCAGCCTTGGAGGCCACATGTTCTCTAAGGTATCATACCATATGGAACAAACCCTTTATGTGAGTGTGGAATAAGTGTTTATTGTGTTAACCCACTGAGATTTTGGAGTTCATTTGTTATTGCCTTGCTGACTGATATAGTCATCTATGAAGGAGAAATAAATCTCCTGAATTTCCAACCTCTTGGGACATCTAGGGACAATTATACTGATAATAACAGTAGCTGTAACAGCTACCACTTATTGAGCCCTTGAGAAACATTGCAAAGCCCTTTACAGATGTTAAACCATTCAGCCCTCTCAGATATCCCATGAGGTACATGTTTTGCTATTACATAATAATTGTGTTCCTAAAATAATCTTTAGGTTATTTTTTAAAAGGGTTCTTGCAAACATCTTCAGTGAGGGTAAAAAAAACTGCTTAGGGATCAGAATTTTAAAGTATGACCACAAACTTCTTTCTCCTATAGAAATGTCAAAAATAAAGGGGTTTTTAATTGCTATTAGGACTTTCAGAACTTACAAACTAAAAAATAACTGATTTCAAAACTGATGTAAGCCAGCCTAAATGTCATTGATCAAATACTGAATACCATGGAAGACAAATCTCAGGTCAACTTGCAGCTAAGCCATCAAAATAAATTGTGGGTTGGTCCACACTTACTATAAGGAAGCTCCATTATATCTCAATGAAGCTGCTTGTCCCTCCAAAAAAGGGAAGCCTCAAAGGCAAAGAATAGCATCATTCAACTAAAATGGCCCTGGGTATTGAGTCTGTAAGCCATTAGACTTTCCTGCCCCACATATGGGGACCATTCCTGATCATGACACTGGTATAAACCAACAACCATCACAAATTAGCTTCCTTGCTGAATTGCTCAGATTACATCCAGTTTGCATTATGAAAATTTGCATAGCAGGAAAAAAAAAGCCTGAATTGGCTGTTAGACAGGTGAGGAAACCAAGGAAGTAAGAGGCCTTCAGTGACTACAGTAAACAACTAGTGGGAACAGCCCCAGATCAAGGATCTCTACTCTTTTGACTCTCCAGAGTTCAAGTTTTTTGCCCCCGATTTATAGTGACATCTGTACATCTTCATAGTTGATGATGTCATCTCTGAACTGATGTTTGAGGCCTGTGAAGTTTGGTTCTGCCCTTGCCCGGAGTCTGTAGTCATCATCCCTGGCGCTTGCTGGCCTGGAGCAGCAGCTGGCAGGAAGCATTGTCCCTCTCCCTCTCTCCATTGGGGGTGACTTGGAGCTTTTGCACTAGATAACAAAGCTGCTTGGGTTCTTGTTGTTGAGACATGTGAGTGTTTCTGAAAGTACCAGTAGACGGAGAAAGAATTCAGGCTGCCTAAGAAGCTGCCTGGGGAAGGGGAAACAATTGAGTTCATTACTAAAGCAAGCAGTCCTGGTGACCTGTAGGGGTTAGCACACTTTGACTTTCTTCCTCCCTCGGGCCTGATTGGGCAGCTGACAGCCCACAGCTCCCTGAGGAAAGGAGGGGATTTGATGTGCAGTGGGCCATGCCCAGGCCCTAGTGGCCCCTCACCCCTTCCCTTTCCTGAGGGAGGGGAAGTAGTGACCCCTTCGCCCTGCTCACCTTGCTTGTCAGTGAGGTTGATACCTCTGAAAGCTGAGTCTCTAAGAAGTTTCTGAATGATGAAGACAGACTCAGGTAGGCAGGCCCTCTGGGAGCCCTGTTTACCCTCACACAGTGTGACTTCCCGGATCAGCAGGGCTATTGATTCATCAGGCTCCCCTAGCTGGCCTTTCCTACCTTTTGATTTATTCATGAAATTCAGCAGGCCCTTCTGGAAGGTTCTTTGTGTGCCTGATGCTGTGTTGGCTACTGTTGGGACGCAAAGGACTTTTTAGTTGTATTTCCCACCCTTAGTCCTTGAAACTTAGATGATAAGACAGTTTATAATGAAGGGCTAAATTAAGAATTCTCACTACACATAGTAGGTAAGAGCACAGGCTTAGCAGCAGGCACCTGGGTTCAAGTCCCACCAACTATCACGTTGGTCAAGCTTGACTTTGGGCAAGTTCTTAACCTTCTTAGGCCAGTATTTCCTAAATATAGGGATGCTAAGAGCACTGGCCTCCAAACGTTTCCATGGAGATTAAATGAGGTAGTGCATGTAAAGTGCTCAGTACAATGCCTGGCTCATGGTTTTAGTATTATTACTAACTACTGCTATTAGCTGTCAAAACATATTTGAGAGATTTCAGCATTGCAGAAATCCTGAATCTAAACACACCACCTTCCGCACAGTGTTCCTCCCTTCTCTATTCCTCTCATTAGGGATTGGTAATTTGACTGATCAGTTACCCCACCTGGAGCGACTTTTCATACCCGCACTCCTGTAACTCCCTGAATCCTCACGTACATCCTGTCACAAAACCCAGCCGATTATACCTCACTTCTCTCTCCTACACTTCAGCCACACTGTTATCCTTAACCAGGTCTTCACGCAGAGACCAATCCTCACGTACATCCTGTCACAAAACCCAGCCGATTATACCTCACCTCTCTCTCCTACACTTCAGCTGCACTGTTATCCTTAATTAGGTCTTCATGCAGAGACACTAGTTACCCAAGAACACTTTTAACTGGTTTTCCTGCTTCCGATTTCAACCTCCTCCAAACTGGGCTTACTGCTACTCAGGAGACATGTGTATATGTATGTATGTGTGTGTGTGTGTGTGTGTATTTATATATATATATATAAATATACACACATATGTGTGTGTGTGTGTGTGTGTGTATAGTTTGTTTGTTTGTTTTTTGAGTTGGAGTCTTGCTCTGTTGCCCAGGCTGGCTTGCAGTGGTGTGATCTCAGCTCACCACAACCTCTGCCTCCTGGGTTCAAGTGATTCTCCTGCCTAAGCCTCCCGAGTAGCGGGGATTACAGATGTGCATCCCCATGCCAAGCTAATTTTTATATTTTTAGTAGAGACGGGGTTTCACCATGTTGGCCAGGCTGGTCTCGAGCTCCTGACCTCGTGATCTGCCCACCTTGGCCTCCCAAAGTGCTGGGATTACAGGCATGAGCCACCACGCCCGGCCAGGAGAACTTTTTAAAATTCAAACCAGATTATCACTCCCTTGCTCAAACCCTTTCTCTGGCTCCCTCTTACTATCTGTAAAAAGCCAAACCCAAATTCTTTATTATGGATAAAAAGGCCCTTTGTGGTATGACTGCTGCCTAGTTGTACACCTTCATCACTTGTGTTCGCAGGTCACCTCTGTGTTCTAGCAGTGCAAGCCTGCTTCCCAAATGCTCCTGTCTCCTGGCCCTCCATGGAGTACAGAGCACATACTGCTCTCTCAGTCTAGAAGTCTCCACCTCTGTCTCCTAAAGAGTTCTAGTCATCCTTTAAAACTAAACTCAAAACCATCTTCCTTGGGAAGCCTTCTTTTAACAAGGACTGGGTTAGCTGCTGCTCCATTGTGTTCCCACGACACCTTCGCTTTCAAGAACATGGCAATTTTTTGTTTTCAGGTCTGTCTTCTTCACTAGCATATGACATTTTTAAAAGAAGGGGCTGTATCTTATTCATTTTTGTATGTTCATATTGAAAAACTGGAGAAATGAAAGAATGGATGGATGGGTAAATGGTGGTTGGACGGATGAGTGAATGCTTGGGTAGATGGGTTGGTTGATGCATAGATGGATGGTGGTTGGATGTACAGATAAATGAACAGTTGGATGGATGAATGGTTGAATGGATACATGGATGGGTTCGATGAAGTGGCAAAAACTTCTATTTATATCTTACACCCAGGTACATCTAGAAAGGCCTTTAGTGGTTCCACAAAGACAAGGGCCTATTTCTTAGTGCTTCTCAATTCAGGCTGAAAAGCAGTATGGCTTTGCAACTCAGCAGCCAGTTGGTTTTTTTTTTACCTTTATGCTCCCCATTGTTGCATCAGGAAAGCTGAGGAGTTTTGATCTTAGTGGGAGAGGGAATACCTAGGAAGGCCTTATCCTGTCATTGCCCTGGCCCACATCTCATTTGCTGACTTCCTCAGTTCTGTCCTCATATGAGTTCCATTCAGTCCTGTTCTCCATTCAGTAATCATGGATTTACTTCCAGCTTGAACTATGGCAGGAGATCTCCACCTCTGGACCCAGAGTAACAGAACAGCAGATGGCATGAGTGTACCATGGCCAATAGCCACTGTCTGCACCCGGCACTTACCTGTTTATCAGGAGAACAGCATGTCTCATTCTGTTCATTTTCCTGTTGAGGGGCTGCTTTCACAGAAGCCACATGGGAAGTGTACCTTATGCAGCTTGGAGCCTTCATCATCTTTTCAAGGAAGACTTTCCAGGCCCATATTTACTCAGTAAATATGAGTAAATCCTGGAGTTACCTGGAAATACAGTATCTAGCTCCTTCTGATATTGAGAACCAGCAGGCGACCTGCTCGAGCTTAAGTGGAAAGGTCCCAAGGCTTTTGGGAGCAGAGCCCCACCCATCTGTCCCAGAATCCTCATTCAGGGTTTATGAAGCAGTGGGCAGCACACAATTGGCTAAATTTAGTTATATTTTTATTTTTGTCCAGCCACAAATACCGGCAAAAAACTGAAAATGATTCCTTCCCTTCCAGGAGCCTTGGAGCCAAGCTGGTTTTATTTTTAGCTTCAACTCTGGTTTAGGGTTTTCAGCAAACCGAACACCCTACTCACTGAAGACAGCAGCAAGCTGGGTTTTAGGATTTTTGCCTGGAATGGAGTGTTGGTTCTCTGAATATAACTCTTAAAAGACTTTGTACAGTTGTGACAATAGAGGGTGGTTCCAGACAGACCCACATAGAGACTCAGTTCTTGCCTTAGGGACCTCCAAGAGAGTTCCTTTCCAGGGAAGGCAATGTACACAGGGTGGTTCATTGCCTTGGATGGGTTGGAGGAAGTGGCAACTCTGGATGAAAAGAAACAGAAAAATTAAGAAAGGGAAAGGGAGAGGGAGCTGTTGTTTATTGAAAGGCTTTGAGTAGCATGGTGGTTCAGAACTAGAGCTCTGGAGTCTGACCGACTGGGTGCAAATCCTGCCACTACCACTTCCTGACATTGTGGCCTTGGGGATGGCTTGACCTCCCCAGGCTTCAGGTTCATTCTGTATGAGACAGGATTAATAATGACACCTACCATGAGCACTGCTGCAGTTATGATCCTGCCTGTGTAGCACGTGGCATGGCGTTTGACATGCATGTAGAACTCAATCCATACCATTATCATCACTGTTGTCATGCTCTTATTGCAGTGCTGAACGCTTGCGTAGACACTGTGTCATTTAAGACTCACTGTAACCCATTTTGCAGATCTGAAACTGAGGTCCAAAGGGCTAGATAGCTTGCTTCAGATCCCACAGCAAGAGCACAATATAGCCAGACCTGTGCCCAGCCCCGGTGAATCCCACATACATCACATCAAGCCTTCTCCAGTTCCAACGGCTTCCACCTGTTATCGCTGAGTACATGGGAACTACTCAAAACATAAAAATAGATGTTGCCTCATCCTCCTCTTCCTGGAGTCCCCCTCTTTTTTTTTTTCTACTTTAGTGATGGGAACACACAAAAAGCAGATACTGGCAGTGGTCAAAGAGCACCAGGCAAAATCAGAGACAGACAGTGGAACGGTGATTGCCAGGGGCTGGGAGAAGGAGGGATGGGGAGTTGTTGTTCAACAGGGACAGAATTTCGGTTTTGCAAGATGAAAAAGTTCTGGAGATTAGTTGTTCAATGATGTGAATATACTCAACGCTACTGAACTAACTACACTTTTAGTGTACAGTTTTTTTATTGCTAAGAAGATAAATCTCATGATATGTGATTTTACTGCAATTTTTTAAAAATAAAAAGCACTGGGGTAAGAGTCAGGCTTCCCTCAGCCGGGCACGGTGACTCACTCCTGTAATTCCAGCACTTTGGGAGGCTGAGGTGGGCGGATCACTTGAGGTCAGAAGTTTGAGAACAGTCGGGCCAACATGGTGAAAACCGTCTCTACTAAAAATACAAAAATTAGCCAGGCATGGTGGTGTGTACCTGTAATCTCAGCTACTCGGTAGGCGGAGGTGGGGGAATCACTTGAACCTGGGACATGGAGGTTGCAGCGAGCCGAGATTGCACCATTGCACTCCAGCCTGGGCAACATAGCGAGACTCCGTCTCAAACAAAACAAAACAAGAGTCAGCCCCAGTGGTGGCCAGGGAATTAGAGCTTATCTTATCCAACTTTCCAGCCTTTCCTCCTTGCCTCCTCCTCATCAGGAGTCTCGTGGATGGCTTCCCTGCCCAGTGCTTACCCACTCGCTGCATGGCTGTCAGGCTGAGTAGCACCCTCTTGACAGTGGGCTTATTATATGTGAAGTCTTCAATGCTTCTCTATCACATGCTTTGTCCTGCTTGACCTCCTTCTAGTCGCTCATCCCTCTAAAGTTGTTGTCCATAGACCTAGGAAGAAAGGGGGGAAATGGGAGCAAAATCCCAAATAGGAAATCATGTCTGCTTGGTGGCAGGGGAAGGGGGCCAGGGCTTTGGGGCCAGGAGCTAGGGAGAAGCTCACCTTTTCTATTCCTTAGTTAGCTTTAGCTCTCAGATGGGGATCATATAGTTACATCATGTAATAGGCCATACTCAATTCACTCTAAGTAGAAAAATTCATCCAGGCTATGAACTGCTCTTTGGCTCTGAAAGATTCTGGGGGACTGTGGGGTGTATGCTTTAATCATGGTTTGGGTGGCTTCCTGTTTCCCTTGCTAGGCTGTGTCAACTCACTAGGGCAGAGGGGCATGGGGCTAGCATGCAGCAGGGCGTCTCTCTTGGCCCAGTGCTCCGAAGAAAGCAGCCTTCATGGAGATCATAATGATGGCTCTGTGTCACTTAAAAACTCAGGTAGCCTTTCTGTGGGTGTTTAGCATTGACCATGCTTAAGAGAAACTGGCTCCGTTGGCCAACATCCAATGTGAGCCATCCCTACTGGGCAGATTTTGCCACAAGCCATACCTCATGCCCAGACCTTGGTCCCTGACCCAGGGCCTACTTCTCCACCTCCAGGGATGGTGATAAGGGTCTACAATACTGTTAGGGGCCCATGAAAATGTTTTAATTTCTTCTAATATTGGAAGACAAAAATGAACTTTTGGGTAGAAATGTTATGTAATAATATATTTGCATTTATACCGACATAGTTATAAAATGTAATATTAAAAAAAAATTTGATGTAGAAAGCAGCCCACAAAGGCAAAATTGCCAAGGACCCACAAAACTCACAATGGAATCCTACTCTGGTCCACAGAGCCAAGATGGCCAGAATTCCATTTTGTTCCTCAGTCCAAGGTGATCTGCCATGCCCTCTTCTTTGTTCCTGAAGCAACTACTATCTGCTCCCACAATCACTGTTTAGGATCCTGAATATTTCCTCTGATATTTCATTTAAGGTTTCTTTTTCTTCTTTTTTTTTTTTTTTTTTTTTTTTTTTTTGAGACAGAGTCTTGCTCTGTCGCCAGGCTGGAGTGCAGTGGCACGATCTCAGCTCACTGCAACCTCTGCCTCCTGGGTTCAAGCGATTCTCCTGCCTCAGCCTCCCAAGTAGCTGGGACTACAGGCATGCAGCACGATGCCCAGCTAATTTTTTTGTATTTTTATTAGAAACGGGGTTTCACCATGTTGCCCAATGATGGTCTCGATCTCTTGACCTCATGATCTGCCTGCCTCAGCCTCTCAAAGTACTGGGATTACAGGCGTAAGCCACCGTGCCTGGCCCATTTATGTTTTTAGGTGTGTATTTCACATGCCAGTTTCATCACTCAGTAATAGCTACACGAAGCTCATGGTGAGAAAAGTTCAAAAGTCTTGTCTGGAGTCCATGGGAAGGAATATTGTGATCCATTAGTGATGTCTCTCCAAGACTGATGGAGGTGTGGCAGCACAGCGCATGTGCTGTATTTTTACTTTTGACTGACCTTTGCTTTGCATTCCCAACCTGACTCTAAGCCCCGCCAACAGGGAATATACCTTACATGTGTTGAGCAGCCCATACTGAAAGACGTAGAGAGTCTCTTAATGCCTATTGATTGATTGACTGATTGATTAAAGTGGTATCTGAATACGTTTGATCTGGTTTAATGTCCCCTTGACATCCTTCCATTCTCTTTCCTCTTTAGGCGCCTGAACAAGAATAAGCTGCAAGTCCTTCCAGAATTGCTTTTCCAGAGCACGCCGAAGCTCACCAGACTGTGAGTAGAGTTGCCTTGTGTTCTCTACCTTGTGCCTTGCCTGGCTTGGGTGATGTGGAGGATGTGGTTTGTGGAGCGCCGTGCCGTGTGGAGCTTGGCAGTTAGGCCCTGACATAGAGACTTGGAGCAGGGCTTTGACATGACGTCTACCCCCAACAAACACTTCCAGGCCTGACTTCTTGCTCCTTCTCTCAGACATCAGCGGCTTGCATGACCAGTGAGGACTAGTGATGTGTGGTAGTCCATCGTTGCCTTGCAAGGAGGGAGGCGATGCTTCCATGGATTGTGGGTCTGAACTTACTTCAGGTAAATTCCCTGAGGTGGGGTTTGAGATAGGTTTATTCACACGAGACTGTCAGTGGTCTCAGAAGGCAACGGTTTGGACCGAACATGGCAACCTCATCACCTTGCTGGTTGAAGCAGCTCCTGCCTTTTTCCCACTTCCTAGCGCTGCCAGTCTAGGAACCCTGGGTCTGGGGGTTTATGATTTTGTGGGAAAAGGAAGAAATGTGTTGAATTTTGCTTTATTCTCTTCAGAGATCCAGGGTAAAATGAGGAGAGGGGAGAGTTGGAGATACTTCTATTTATTCAGTGGGAGAATTTGGAAGCCCAGGAGCTGGAGTTGCAGGTGAGGGTGGAGACTGTGATTCATGTATTGTAGATGTCAGGCAAGTGCTAATTAAATTATCGACAGTGAACCTGAAATCATGCTGGCAGTGACTCAGTTCATGGGGTGTACTGAATTGCCTAAGGTACACCTTTCTGAATGAAGCGACACAGTCCTGGATGGCTTTGCAGTCAGGTAGCAAGATTTACAGCCTGGCTGGGAAGGCTTTAACATTGCAGGGAGGCTCCAACGTTGTGGCCACCATTCTCATTCCCAGTGGTTGCATTTAATGCCTACTTGTGCAGCCAAACACTGCATATAGGCTCTGGGATAAATTGGGAAACATGAAACACATGTCAGTGTGTGCACTTACGAATGAGTTCTGAATTAGGAATATATATTTCTATATGTCTATACACACACACACACACACACACACACACACACAGAGACTATATACATAAATTTATTTTAAAAGGGCACTTTGCTGGAACAAGAACAGGCAAGGGTTGGCTGGTATTCCAATCATGCAGTGGTCTCGCTTGCCTTCTCTAGGACACACCTGCACTTTGTCAGGTCTCCTCTTGCTGTGTGCCCCATCTCTCTGGCTCAGTCGCCCTAGCTGACTTTGCTAAATGTAGGAAAGGCTATACCCTCCTTTTTACTCTTCCAGTCTGGGTCTGCCTGGATGGGCATGGGGGCGGAGGAAATGCTGTTCAGCAGCCCGGGGGTCCAGAAGAGCTGGATAAACTATGCCAAATGGGCATACCAGAAACACCCTGGTTTGTAACATCCCCTGCCTTTCATAGCCCTGCCCTTAGATGCTCACGTAATCACTATCTCTCCACCCAGTACTGCATTGCACCTTTCAACCTGCTGTTAACTAAGTACTACAGCAGAGTATATACTATTCATCTGAGACATAAGCATCAATTTAAAGGCAAAGGGAAGGTACCTGGGAGGCTGGAATGCTGGACGACTTTATGTGGGTGGGGTCTGAGCATCCCAGCTGCTGCAGCATGTCAGGTGGGCTGGTTCTTGCTCACAGAAACCTTCCCATGGCTATCAGGTGATGGCCATTTTTTGCAGAGTTGGTCTTGATCCAGGCAAAGTAGGAATTTCAAGTGGTGATAACAGGTCTCTGAGATTCTGGGAGCCAGGCACGTGGGCATGGGGAACCTATGAGTTATGTCCTCTGCCACGTCCTGAGAGCTTGAGAGAGTCACTTTTCCTTCGGTATCTAAATATCATCAGTAAAGGGAGATACCCTCTCCTCCCTTTTACCTACCTTGTAGAGGAACTGTAAGTATCCAATGAGATCATGGTGTACTTGTGTTTTGTAAAGTGCTGTATAAGTGTAAGCACCAAGACAACTATTATTACTCCTACAATTCCTGTCTTTATAACCTCAGTTTCTGATCTCCTTTCTCTGGGAGGCATGAAGAGACTAGGAGTTGCAACAAGCACTGAGGTAAATTACCCTGAGCTTTTGCTTCAAGTCAGAGAGCTGCAGCTGGGAAGGCAGGAATGGTATTTGACTCATTTTGGTATCCATCTCTTGCTGGGTCCGTGTCCGGGCATAGCTCGGCACACATAGGCACTCCATCAGTGATGGTTGAATGGTTAGATGAATAAATGAATGATATAGGCCTAAAGATATAAACAGTGCCCTTGGTGAGCTTTGATTCTTTTATCCACTATTCATTCATTTATTCATTCACTCACGCATTCAGTAAGGTTTTCCCTGGGTGTCTGTTCCAGCATGGCCTCTGTTCTGGGTGTTGAGCTGTAGACATGAAGGATGCCCAGTTCTCTATGTGCCCTATTATGACACACTTTGAATGGCTGCCAAAAAGCTGAGAGCTAAATATAATTTTTTTTACTGAAGCAGCTATATTAACCCAAGTTTGGGCTATAATCAGCAATCCCTTTTTCTCTCTGGGCTTGATCTTTGATTTTTCTTAATGGCCCTCTTGTGTCATTGTCTTATTTTGTCAGCCACTCCAGAGCCTTTTTGGAAGTAAGCAGGGTACAAATTAGAAATCAATAGCTGTGCAATCATGAGTGTGTATACATATGCCACTGGCTCTGTTTTGAAAGAGCACTGCATCTCAATAGACACAGTGAGGCATTTTTCATGCTAAATGTGGATTCTATGTGGGTGGCTACACCAGAGTATGCCATGTGGGATAAACAATTCTTGATACTACTTTTTTTATTAGTCTTATAGGCAAAACTACTTAATATTTCGTGTTTATCTGAAGACTATCTCTTGGAAAGTCTATAGTCATGTAATAAAAACAGGCTTTGAATAGTAATGAAAAGGGAAATAATATTTATTAGAACCTATGCTGTGACTATAACACCACTCACTAGCAAGTGACAGAAGTTAGTTTAGTGACTAAAGTTAGTTTAGCCCAAAGAGGCAATATATTGATTCACATAACTGAGAAGAGCAGTGGTAGTTATGAATGGCTTCAGGAACAGCTGGATCCAGGGGCTTGGTGATGTCATTAAGTCTTCATCTTGCTCCTTCACTCCCTTGGAACCGTGGACTTGTTTGTGAGCTAATGCAAAAGACTCAAAATGCACTAATTCAGAGATCCTGGTGAAGAGGGCCTTGGTCAATGTTCCTGTCAGAAAGAACTGAGGGTAGACACTGATTACTTAGCTTGGTCATATATGCCCATGTCCCAGCCAACCAATGCTTGGTCATATATGCCCATGTCCCAGCCAATCAATGTTGCTAATGAGATGGTGTCCTCTGATTATCAAGCTGTGTTCATCCCACTTGCTTAGAGAATGGGTTCCCCATAGTAGAGAGTAATTTTGTTATCAGAAGACAGAAGAGGGGATGTGAAATGTAAAAACAACAGATGTCTGCTAGTGTATTGAGCATCCACTGTATGCAGTTCCCTGCGCTTTGAGTACTTTGGATCCTTACAATAGCACTTTTAGATAGATAATAGCGCTAGTAAACACGTTGAGTGCCAGGTGCTGTTCTGAGCACTTCATGTCTATTAACTCATTTAATTCTCCTAACAACTCTGTGGGATAGGTACTATGGTTAGTACTGTTCTATAGATGTGAAACAAGTGCAGAAAGGTTAAAGAATTTGAACAATATCATACAACTACTTAGCGGCAGAACCAGGATTCACATTTGGTTCACATTTTGGTAAACCTGACTCCAGAGTCTGCATTTGTCTCTACTGGGAGTTCCCTGCCTAAGCCTCAATCAATGCTCTTATTTTATAGAGGAGGAAATTAAAGCTCAAAGTTTAGATTACTGCATATATATATATATATATATATATATATATATATATATATATATATATATATCCCATCTATCTAAGAAGCAGTACTGTACTGGGCACTTTG
Organism: Homo sapiens; assembly: GCF_000001405.40. NCBI lineage: Eukaryota > Metazoa > Chordata > Mammalia > Primates > Hominidae > Homo > Homo sapiens. The sequence goes on along the minus strand of NC_000005.10, from coordinate 169,189,488 downwards.
CCTCAATGCTTAGACTTAACCATCACAACAATCATGCGAAGAGAATCATTAAATCTATTTCTAAAGCTTAGGGGTATCTAACTTACCCATAGTTGTATAACTAGGATGCAATGGAACTGGGACTCAGTACACATCTGTGTCTCTGCCAAGTCCTTATGTTTTCTACCATACCACACTGCCATGCTAATTACCGTGGGCAGCTGAAGTTATGCTCAAAAGGATTGGTGATGGACCTGTCATATATCCAAGGGATTCCCTTAGGATTTTGCTGGCTACCCTCCGTGCACCCATCCTCAGAGCCAGTGCCATCCGACTCATGTGTGTATTAGTGGGGTGTCTGTCCTCTTATTCTGTGTTCAAACACACAGAACATGAGCTATAGAATCCCAGATCTTGGAAGTTCCCTGAACTTATATCGCTGTGGTCTGCAAAATGCCCAGTGAGGTCTCTACGATGCTTGGGTCACTCAATAAATATTTGTCCCCTGCCATCCTGACGTAGATCATGGTCAAGTGTGGAGACTGGGCTTCTGTTCTTTCTAGGCTCTTGCAGCACCTGACCCAGAGCAGAGGACAGGAGGAGGTAGTCAAGTGAAAGGGTTAAGGGGCTGCCCACTGTGTATCCTGAAACCTTTGGCAAGTTACTTAACCTCTCTTGTCTCAGGTTCTTATCAGTAACATAGACAATGGTAGAACTGACCTCTCCATGTTGTTGTGAGGATAAATGGGAATTATCTGGGGGAAAATAATTGGCATTGAACAAAGCACGTAGTAAATGCTCCATGGAAGATGGCCACGGCTGACCTTGGCTGGTCAGCTGATGAGAGTAGTGCGTATGCTGGGGCTTTGGGCTCTGTGGTATAAACTTTGTAGCACCTAGGGAAGGAGTCCAGTCTCCAAATTAGAGGAGGGTTGGATGAACACTGCACTTGGAGTGGGAAGACCTGAGTCGTCATGCTGGCTCTTCTACCTGTAAGCTGTGTGGCCCTGGGCATGTTACTTGGCCTCTCTGGGCTTCATCTAGAGAGGACAGGATGGAGCATGATCTTGCATGGCCTATGGGCTATTAATTTCTCCCTTTGCCATCCTCTTCCAGGTTTTTCTTTAACCTACTCATGGGAGAGACAATGAAAGATTTCTGGTTATTTAAAGGCTGACTGGTTAATATTGCCGGAAATTCTTTAGAAGGAGCAGAAGGCAAGATGCAGACAGTGATTAAAATCCTCTGCGTGGCTGGAAACAGTGGCTCATGCCTGTTATCTAAGCAGTTTGGGAGGCCAAGGCAGTCGGATTGCCTGAGCTCAGGAGTTCGAGACCAGCCTGGGCAACATGGTGAAACCCCACCTCTACCAAAAATACAAAAATATAGCTAGGCATGATGGCCTGCACCTGTGGTCCCAGCTACTTGGGAGGCTGAGGTGCGGGGATCGCTTGAGCCCTGGAGACGGAGGTTGCAGTGAGCTGAGATCACACCACTGCACTCCAGCTTGGGCGACAGAGTGAGACCCCATCTCAAACAAACAAAATACACCTTCTGTCTTTTACCAGATGTGAGAGCTTGCGGCAGGGCGGAGGGTGAGTGGTGAGGGACACATGGGTTCACAACTTTTTTTTTTTTTTAAGAATTTATCGTTGCAGCTGGGAGCGGTAGCTGACGCCTGTAATCCCAACACTTTGGGAAGCCGAGGCGGGCTGATCACTTGAAGCCAGGAGTTTGAGACAAGCCTGGCCAATGTGGTGAAACCCCGTCTCTACTAAAAATACAAAAATTAGCTGGGCGTGGTGGTGCATGCCTGTCATCCCAGCTATTCCGGAGACTGAGGCACAAAAATCACTGATCCCAGGAGGTGGAGGTGGCAGTTAGCCGAGATTGTGCCACGGCACTCTAGCTTGGATGGCAGAGCGAGACTGTCTCAAAAAAAAAAAAAAAGAAAGAAAGAAAGAAAAAGAAAAGAAAAAAAGTTTATCCTTGCCCTATAAGGATGAGCAGACCAAGGGGCTCCTTTTGGCCCACCTATCCCAGATTCAGGTTCAAATAGTGTGTTCCATATTTGGTAATGGTTTAAAACTTATAGCTGCTGCCGGCCGCGGTGGCTCACACCTGTAATCCCAGCACTTTGGAAGGCCAAGGTGGGCGGATGACGAGGTCAAGAGATAGAGACCATCCTGGCCAACATGGTGAAACCCTGTCTCTACTAAAAACACAAAAATTAGCAGGGTGTGGTGGTGCGTGCATGTAGTCCCAGCTACTCAGAGGCTGAGGCAGGAGAATCGCTTGAACCCAGGAGGCAGAGGTTGAAGTAAGCTGAGATCATGCCACTGCACTCCAGCCTGCTGACAAAGTGAGACTCCGTCTCAAAAAAAAAAAAAAAAAAAAACCTATAGCTGCATAAGCAGTTGTACTCACAGCCAGATGGAGGACTTATTTATTCTCCATTCAGTTATACGAGGTATTTGACAGCTTTAAAAAAAAAAAATGCCACTGAGGCTAAACCTGCTGTCATTCACTTGGGCAGTGGAGTTGCAAGTGACTTGGAAAGTTAATCCCCAGGCACCCGACAACTATATGCAATGTGGCCAACCAACTTAGCCCCAAGTCACTGGCGCTGTTATCATGGTATCATGGTGGAGCAGATTCCCCACCAAAAAGTTCAAGGCTGCTAGACTCCAGCTTCCAGGGAACTTGCTTCCCAGGGCTGAGTCCTCCTCTGAACTCTCATCTTGGCTAGTCTGCGCCGCCTCTTCATATTCACCATTTTCTGCTTTTATCACAGGTGTCGCGTATACATGCTCCAAGCCCACACAAATTGGGAGCTGCATTCAGAACCATTATCTCATGTTTCTTTGAGGCAGTCCAATATTAGAGCAAGGATCAGAAACTTGGGAACCAGACAGACCTGGGTTTGAATTCCACCTTCTGGTGACCCTGGGCAAGTGACCTCACCTTTTTCAGTCTTGTGTTGGTTAGCTACACAATAGGAATGCTAATCATAGCTCCTATAATAGCTTGCTCAGCTACCATCACAAAATACCACACACCGAGTGGCTTAAACTACAGAAATATATTTTCTCACAGTTCTGGAGGATAGAAGTCCAAGATCAAGATGCTGGCTGGATTAGTTCCTCCTGGTGCCTCTCTCCTTGGCTTGCAGATAGCCACCTTCCCTGCTGCCTCCTCACGTGGTTGTGCCTCTGTGGTAGCATAACCCTGGTGTCTCCTCCTCTTCTTATGGGGACACCAGTTATGTTGGATTAGGGATCCACCCTAATGGCCTCATTTTAACCTGATAGCCACTTTAACAACCTGATCTCCAATATGGTTATATTCTGAGGTATTGGGATTAGGGTTTCAACATAAGCATTTCGGGGAGGGAGGGTCAGGGGCATTTCAGCCTTAATCAGTTCCCAAATGTGTGTGGTGAATTTACTAGGGGCAGGTCCTCTGCAAAGTGCTTCACCTATATTCTGTCACTTCCTCTCAGATTTCAGAGGTAGATACAATATTATCCCCATTTTAGAGATACAGAAACAGAGGCCTAGAGATTTAGACAGCTTGCCCAAGGTCACAGAGCCAGTAACTGGCTGAGCCAAAGTTGAAACTCAAGCTTGCCTGACACCAGAGCCCACATTCCTAACCGTGATTCCTGTACTGTACTTTGGAGAAGTTACTAACTAAAGTGCCAGGCGCCTAGTTAGGAATTTAGTAAATGCTAGCTCCCTTATCTCTATGAAGCCCTAAAAGAGCTCAGAGTTGTTGAATGACTGGAGCCCTGTACCTCTAGGTAGTGCTTTCTGCTACTCACAGAGCCCTTTGCAGTCACCTTAGTCTTCCAATTCGGCACTAAACTTTAAAACATAACTACAAGCAAAATGTGTCCCTATAAAACTCTGCATTGATGTGAAACAGTGCTATAAAAGTGAAAAACCAGTGGAGAAAACAAAAACCATACTACCCAAATTTCCAGTGGAGTTATTGTCTGATGTGGTGAAATGATAATAGCACAACAGAAAAACCAATCCATCAGGCTGGTGTGGGGCTTCAGAGGCTGCCCCCCTGCCTGAAGCTGGATGCGGAGACCTGCTCCCTTGTGCGCTGGCATGGATTTCAGAGGCCGGGGGACGGCAAGACCAGCCTCACCATCTCATACATGGGGTCACGTTTTTTCAGGGACACAGCCACCCAAAGCTCATGGAAAATGTCCCTGCAAACTGAGTCCCGATTTCCTGATTTTTCTCCTTGTTCCCCCAAACGCTGAACACTGCAGTGAGGCCAGCCTTGTGTTTGCTTTATGGCACATGTCATCAATTCCAGAGTTTGTGATGCTTTTGAAGACAGGTTTTGCTTTAATCTGTGTGTGGACAGAGAATGGATTATGGTGGTTGCTGTGTCATTCTCTCTGTAGTACCTGAAGCCAGAGCCAGGGATGAAGGCCTGGGAGGTGTCGTCTCTCTCCTCCGATAGGATGTGTCCAGCTGAGCATAGAAGCCTGCGGACTTGCCACAGAGTTGATAACAAAGCCAACATTTAAATTGCCTTGTAGATTCTTGCATTACAGAATTTTTGAGCTAGGAATAGCAATCTAGACCAGTGCTTCTCAAACTTTAGTATGTATCTGAACACCTAAGGATCTTGTTAAAATGTGGATTCTGATTGTGTAAGTCTGGAACACGACCTAAGAATCTGCATGTCTAACATATTCCGAAGTGATTGTGCTGGCCTAGCACCACAGCAGAGCAAGGACCTAGGCTATGGTTGGTTTTCAAACTTAGCATATAGAAACAAATATCTTGAAAGGATGGTTAAAATGCTGCATCCCAGGCCACACAGCCGGGAAGTCTGGTTCATTAGATTTGGAATGGACCGGGGGATTTGACTTTGTAAATAGGCACCCTAGGTGATTTTGTTGTGTGTCACTTAGGGGCATACTTTAAGAAACATCGATCTCATATAGCCCCTGTTATTTTATATATTTTGAAGGAAGGAACCAAACATCTTTTGAGCACCTAATGTGTGCTAGGTACCTTATGTTGATGCCAACTCCTTCAGTCCTCCCAAGAATCCTGCATGAAAGGTGTTTTTATGCTTGCTACACTGATGAGGAAACTGGGCTTGAGTTTCACTCACTCACCAGAAATGAACCCAGGTCTCTCTGACTTTCTCACCCTCTTACTCCTGTGAGTTTTTTCCCTACCTTATGATGTGCTTTCTATGCAGAAACACATCTTGAATGGGAGAGGGATAACAATCATAAATTTATGAAGCTTTCATGGTTCAGTATTTTGAACTTATAAGCGCATATGAGTATATATAAGCACGTGCTCTTATCTGAGATCTAGGATATTAATACTTGAAACATTGAAAGAAAAAGATTTATAGACCTAAATACATGCTAGCAAGTAGACCTTTCTAAATTCCCTACAATTTATCAAAGGTAGAGTTGGGTTTTACATTTTAGTCTCTTCAGCCCTGTGGGCCAGCAGAAGAGTTTTCTAAAGTGATCGGGCAATACTTGTACTGAGAAGTACATTCTGCCAGCTTGGAAATTGTTTTTAAATTTTTTTTAAGAAGGAAAGAAAACCAAGCTGTGACTTTACAATGCTTTGGAATTACAGAATATGCTTGTAATTTTTACAATTCTGCACAGACTTCTTTGCCACATCTGGTTGATATTACTGGAAGGGATATATGGGGGAATAAACCATGGTCTGGAATGTGAAACATCCCACAAAATGAGTTTCTTATAGGTTGCTGCATAAAACATTTTGAATCTCCTTCTCTTTGGAAGGGTGGCTTAAGTGATTTCATGGATTTAGTATTTTCTTTGGTTTGAAGGTAAGGGCTTTTGCTGGTTTACTTGGTGGGCCTTCCAAGATGGTTTTCTGAAGATGTTTGTGTCATCCTAGAGTCATGTCATGGACCAGAGTGAGAAAAGCCATCCTTTAAGGAAATCAGACCAACCTTTGTTGAACAGCACTGGACCATTAGAGATAATGGTGAAATGTGGGACCAACTGAATCCCTCACTGCAAGAAAGGAGGCATGTAGGGAGAAAGGGTTGTATGTGTAAGGGCTTCAGAAAAACCTCCTAAATCTTGGCCATGGTGGTACATTGAACAGCTGATGGCAAGACAAGCTCACCTCCTCGCACATACAGCTGAAAGCCTTCATACATCAGTGTACTCTCTTTACTACGTATGAAAGTAGTGAGTGAGGAAAATGGAAAAATAAAACAAACACCCAGCTTATACTTGGGACTCAGTCAATTCCCTGTTGTTAACATTCCTGCCCCCTTTCTAGGAAGAGAAGTATGTGTCCAGGGACAACTAAAGTATTGTTGAACGCCTACTGTGTGTGTCACTCCAATGTGCTGGTGGTTGGGATGCTGAGTATAGAACCCAGAAATGTCTAACCTGAGCCCGGAGGGTATAAGTGTGGGCTTCTTGCCACCTCGCTCTTTCTCAGACTTCCTTGGCTGGGACCCACCTGTGGAGTTGAAACTGTGACAGCTGAGCCCTTTCTGCACAAAATCAGTGCTGCTCTCAGCACCCTGTGACCTGTGGTGGGGTTGGCCAGCCTAGGCAGGGTTTTGTGGCATCACCAAGGGTACTCAAATAGTCATCTCTTTGTTAAGAACGAGAACCAGAAGCCAGCCTTCACCCATACCATTCTTCATTCTCTTTATCTGGAGTTAGAAACTATCCATGGAATTAAATATTAGGGAAATACTGCATTGTATATAGAAAAATAACAACCTTTTGAGGTGAGCAGAACCCAAACACACATTCTTCAGTTGTCTGAAAGATGCAAATGTACCCACATCAATAATCTTGAAATATTTGTTCCTGAACCACATTCAGCATCAACAGAAACATTTCTAAAGAGCCTAATTATCTCTCATTTTCAACCAACATTTGGGAATCCCTCCAGGGGACAAATAGTATTTTAATTTGATGCCCCAAATTCTAGCATAATTTCAAATCACCAAAAACATCTGTAACTTTGTCTTTCTTCTGGCTTTCCTATGGACTCAGTATCTTGGATTTGAACATTAAATTCCATTTGTAAGGTTTGCAGTTCATTTACAAAGTCCAGGAGGTTGAGGTCTGTAATGAAAGTGTTGATACAATATTAACAACAGCAAAGCTATGATAACACAGCACTGTCCAAACCAAATAGAAATGGAGACGTTTAAGTCAATTTCATGCTCCTTGCCTAAATTTGGTGAGCTGGACCTGAGTTTTTGATTCATGGTTTAGAATAATATTCTGATGTTTTATTCATGATGTTTCTTTTTTCCCATCGTTCCTTTTCTAATTCTCCTCACCCTACTTATGGTGATGAAGCCTGCTTAGAAGTGTGGCCCGCCCGCCCCTTGATTAGCACTGCCTGTTGCGTAGCCAAAAACTCTCCCCACGGTTGGCCAAGTGGAATATCCTGCTGTTGAACTGATGGTTTGGCCTCTTGTTGGCGTGTCTGGGGCTCTGGACTTGAATTTTTAGTCAACGAGTCAGCTTTTGATTGAAATATATGTTGAATCATGCCAACGTTTCTCCAGATAAAGGGAACATCTTGACTTTTGGAGGTCAAAATGCTCTGTCTAAAGAAGAAAACTGGATTTTCAAGAGAGTACAAGGATAACCTATGACTAATCTCTTCTATCTCAGTCTCATTCAATTTGGGATTTGTGAAACTGTATTGTGGATCAAGATACTCAGATAAATCTAACTTCAATAATTTTTTTTTTTTTTTGAGATGAAGTCTCGCTCTGTCGCCAGGCTGGAGTGGCAGTGGCACGATCTTGGCTCACTGCAACCTCCACCTCCCAGGTTCATGCGATTGTCCTGCCTCAGCCTCCTGAGTAGCTGGGACTACAGGTACGCGCCACCACACCCAGCTAATTTTTTGTATTTTTAGTAGAGACAGGGTTTCACCATGTTGGCCAGGATGGTCTCGATCTCTTGACCTCGTGATCCGCCCACCTCAGCCTCCCAAAGTGTTGGGATTACAGGTGTGAGCCACTGCACCCGGCCAACTTTAATAATTTTTTAAAGATGAAAACCAGTGGTAGCAATCTAGAGAGAAATGAAAAATCATCAGTTTTACTGATATTGCTCTAATAGTCTTCTTCCTATATCTGTCTCCCACTCTGACTCCTTTTTGTTAAAAGCACAGGCACATACACCTAACGTACCACGCACACACACACAAAACCTCTCTATAGGAGAATCCCAGACAGATAAATGAAGATCCTTTTTGGGCTGCTGAATTAACTCACAGATATAATTTCACTTTAGTGCAAGACATTGACTATTAAATTAGCTCAAATTATTGGGCAATGCTATGGTGAGATATTAGGGATTAGAAAGGCAGCTGCAGTGATGGTTGGGGGAAGCTCTTTGACTTCTTGGCTCATAATTGGTGTTTTTGGTCCATAGAGATGATAGTGGCAGATCTGTGTCAGAGACAGTAAATTATTACTGTAAATGTTTTCTGGCCTCCAGGGAGAGCTCTCTTTTCCCTGGAAGAGATGTGCATGGGTCAGGCTTCCAACTGAGACCTTCAGGGACTTTCATTTCATGTTAGAACTCAGAACAGACCATTGCCAACCACCAGTTCTCAAGGGCGTAGCCATCAAACAACATTATCTTAGGAAATAATTGTTAGGGGTTCCATTGCTAATGGTATTCTCTGCAGATCCTTTTCCCTTATGTGTGACACTTCCTTTATTTAAATGAGAGTGAAAGGTGGGAGATCATTAGGTCTAATGGGGCTAGAAAAAGAAGCAGCAGGGAAAGACAGAGTTGCTCAGGGAATATTCTGTTCTCCAGTTCCTCCCTGAGTAGAGAGCTGTTGATGTGAGTGATGTGCATATTGGGTAGAATTTGCCATCTCTGTCTTCACCATGCATTACCAATATGTTCACCACCTTTTGTCTCTGTTGCCATCACCGTGGACCAGCAGTCCTTCTGGCTGGATTTCAAGGACCTCAGTAATCTTCCTGCTGTGTCTCCTATTCCTGTGTTGTTCATTGTCAATCTAACAGCCGCAATTATTGTTTTAAGGGAAATCAGATCTCCTCTTTTCCCCAGTTAAAAGTTCCAATGACTTTACATAGTCCTGAGAAGACATCCTAAGCTCCTGCACTACATCATCTGACCCCTGGTACTTGTCCTAGTGCCATCTCATGCCACTCTCCCCACATCCACTGCACTGAAGCATCATGAGCCTTCTTCCTGTTGCTCCAACAATTCTCTTCTTGGCTTTGCTGTTCCTTCTGCCTGGGATATGCTGACCTCAAATGTCAGTGTGGCCAGATCCTTCCTGAAATTCAAGTCCTGGCTCAGCCATCACTTCCTCAGAGAACTCTCTCATGACAACCCTGTCTGCAGTCATGGTCCCCTTCCTCATTGGTCACTGTCTACAAGATGATCCTGCTCTATTTTCTTCATAGCACTTATCACTACCTGAAATTCTTTTTGCTCATTTATTTGTTTACTTGTTTGTATTTTGCTCTTTCATCCCCCCATAGATTGTAAGCTTCTTGAATGCAGGGATTTTATCTGTTTTGTTGACTCTACAGTCAGTTACCTACCACTGCATCTAGCACATGGTGGGTACTAGCTACACACTCTGGAAATGAGCAAATGAGAGAAGGAACCTGGTCTCTCCAAAATCTGCTATTCCCTCTCACTATATGGTCAAAGGTGCCTTTTGTTCCAAACCAGAGCTCTCTCCTCATTGCCCTGCAAAAGCCCCGAATGACTAGTTAACAGCATGTGTGCACAGACACACACACACACATATGCTCATGCACACTCACACAAGCACACACAAATGAGAATAAAACTAACTCGGTGGCAGGAGGATTTCATACTCCAACAGTGGGTCTCCCACCAAAGAGAAAGAAACAGCCTATGCTAGAATCTCTTCAAGCAGATGTGAGCCAGTGCTTGAGACTGAGAGCTGGGGAGGGGAATGTTGTTTTTGATGCAGTTTCAAAGATCTGGGAATAATATTCTGTGATACAGTGAAATGGAAAGATAAGCTGTGTTGGCTTCATCTCTAGGCCTCATTGATTTTTTAACTTCTAATAGACATTGAAAGGGATTGTCTAGCTATTGGAGGCCTCACCTTAGTGAAGGCTTTACAAAAATAACCTGTGGAGACTCAAACAAAAACCAAGCCTTGGTCTGGAAAAAAAAAAAAAAAAAAAGAAAAAGGAATAGGTTTCACTAATTTATTGAACATTGACCTAAACTTCCAAATTATTTTTTTTTCTTGATCTGAGATCTAAACCAGAGGTTGTTTGAAAGACCTCTGGTGAATTAGTCCAGACCTGAAATGAACCATATCTTCTAAAATAATTGAACCAGAACCACACTGGTGCAACAAAATATTAATGTTTTCCAAACTAACTCTGAGACTCTGGCTTGGTGTTGTATAAAGCTGTACCACCAACCTACTGTTTGTTCTTCTCCTACATCCTGCCCCCGCACCCCTACCTGTCACTTCTCCTTTCTGCAAACCTACCATCATTCAATCATGGGCCCGTCACCCACATTGCACCGAAGAATGTGAGCTCTTGAGACTCTCTTTATTTGCTCAAGAGCAATAAAGTCAATGAGAGAGGCTGCTGTTAGGAACAACCTGACTTCATCACTATCTTTAATCCATGTCACAAAGAAATAGAAGAGGTGTCTTGTGAGTGAGGATATATTCATTAAATGAATTGGGTGGGGGAAGGATTATAGAATGGAAAGAAAGGAAGACAACCTGAAGAATGGAAGAAGGGGAGGAAGGAAGAAAGGATAACAGCAACAATAAAATTAAACAGGGAATAGGGGTGCTAAAGATAGAGATCTGGTAATAGAAAGGAAAGAAAGAAAATAAGAATCGTGTGTGTGTGGTGGGGTGCGGTATATCTCAGGTTTGTTTTAGTCTTTTTCTGGCTCCTCCCAAAGCAGCTGGAAGAATCTCTGATCGCACGTGTGACTCTCCATTCTGTGCCAAGCTCTGTGTAAGCTCTTGTCTCTACAGCAACCGTTCAGTGTGTAAGGAGCCACCTTCATAGAATGCCAGAGCTGAATGGCACCTTCTGGAATTTCTATATCAATGCCCTCATTTTACAATTGGAGAAACTGAGGCAGGGAGCAGTAGGGGACTCACAAACCTCAGCACTCAGATTTCTGGTTTGTTGCTGTGGGCACAGCCCAAAGGTACCTGCTTACCTTAGCCGTGATTTTTCATTAAGCGACAGGGGAATCACAGAAGACAGAATCTTAGCTTACAAGAAGTAAAGGATTGATGCTTCCCTGGTTTGGGCCAGCTGGGATAGCAGTTACTTTTTTAAGAAAAGGATGTTGATGATACTGGTGATAGATTTGCTGCAGAAACTAAGGATTAGCAATTCTCACCTGTAGAAAAATTGTGAGTGGTTCTACCAAAGCACTAGGACTGCCTCCACGTGGTTGCTGTCATGATGTACTTTTTTTCTCAAGGAAAGGAGCTGAAAGGACAAACCTCACGTGAGAGTGATTCCAAGGAAAGAACCAACAGAAGAGGCAATCAGAAGGAAAAATTGGAAGATGACTCCCTAAGGATTCCATCCTGCTGTTGGGAGAGTGGCAGTGCCATCCAAAGGAAGGGAAGAGAAAGGAAGTCTCCTTGAGGTGGGGGTGACAGTGACTGCTTCCCAGAGCTCACAGCAGTTCTAGGGAAGACAATCCATTAGGAGTCCAGTCTCCACCCTCTAGGCATTTCAGAAGTTAAAAAGCTAAAGTCAGCTTTGAATCGGCATCATTTTCTTTTCCATCCCAGATAGTTACTTCTCCTTTATAAGGAGCCTTTGTATTTAAGAAAAGACCCCAGCCTGGTACTTAGAATCCCACAGCCACTGAGGACCTGACCAGGCTTTCCTGGTGGGCAGGGTCACTGCACCCTGCTTACCTACTATATATAACTCATTTACCTGCAGCTACTTAGCCAGACTCCAGTGAGGAGTCCCAAATTGCTATGCTAATGATGGTAGCCCTCCCCTCCCAAGAAGTGCTGATTTCCCCGCTCAGCATGAGGGACTTCAATAATATCTCTTTCCAGTGATATAATTTGATTCCTCCATGGGATGCTGCTTTGGTCCTAGTTCACTTAGCACTAAATCTCTCGTTAGATACTCTCATGACTTAATCTTTTCAGGCCCCAGATCAGCCCAGGCCTCTTATTTATTTATCTGGGGCCCTGTTTACTTCCCTGTTGTAAATTACTTCTGGCTCCTGGCCGTCTGATTGCTGCAGTGATAGACTAATAGCTCAGAGCTACTGCATTTGCCTTGTGTGATGAGGCAAATAATATGCTTAACTTATGGGAGAGAAATGCACCCTCCATTTATTTCAGTGGGGGAAAATATTACTCAGGGGAAAGGGCCAAATCATTTACCTAATGGCTGCTGGTGGAAGTCGATGTAATTACTGACAGAATTATGTGAAACAAATTGTCATGCCTATAAATCTAAACCTCCAGTTCTCAAAGGCAGAGGGGGGATTTCAGTGGCTTTCATGGGCTCTGCCTCTGGAGCCCTCGAGGTGGATTTCTAAGAGGGTGCTGGCAGAAAGAGGGAGGTTGGCCCTCTAGTTTTCTTCACCAGGGGCATGTTCTTCACCAGCTCCAAACCCAAGCCTGGGCAGACTACAGCCTGTGAGCCAGTCCAGCCCACTGCCACCTGCTATTGTAAATAAAGTTTTATTGGAACACTGCCACACCTATTCATTTACATATGCTATATGGCCCCTTTGGTGCTACAGGGCAACGTTACATAGTTGTGGCTGAGACTATACTGGCCCTTTACAGAAAAATGTTACTGATCTCTGATCCTTATTCTACCAGAAGAAAAAATGTCAAATATTTTATATGGAAATGGAGGGATTAATTTAGGTCACTCCTCTTAACTTCTTTCAAACAATTCAATGCCATAGTAAGGAAATTCGAAGGATCTAGGATGGTTATCACTTACTCTGTATTGCTTCTGCCTCTATTCATTGCATCTTCTCTCCACAATCTGGTGGCTAGTAAGTATTAGAAACCCATTTGACGGAAGAGAAAATCGAGACTCTGAAAGGTGTTTTAGGCAAGCTCATTCAGCGAAGAAATCGCAGACCTGGCATTCATACCTTGCCCGTCAGGCTTTAAATTCTACCTTCTTTCAGGTAAACCTCACTGTTTCCTGAGAAAAAGAAGGAAGAAGGCATTGGCTTTCTTGGGGAGACTTATCCAGGCCTTCCCTCTCTCTGCAAAAGAGCTGCTGAGAGGAGACATGTGAGCAGTCAAGGCAGAGGCACAGAAAGCAAGAAGAGGAGTGGAGGACTTGGTTTCCTTCAATCTGCACTCACTGTGGGCTTGGTGGTGGAGCAGGCCCAGAAGTACTTTAGCTGTTGAGAAACATTACAAATGTTTATCAAACAACAACAGAAAAGCCAAAGAGAAGAAACCCTGGGTGATAAAGAGCTTACTTCATGGACTTTGTTGCCTGAGCGGTGCTGACTGCTGGAGAGAGAGCAAGGTCCATATGGCTTCCTTATGGGGGACGTGGAAGTCACCAGCCCTGCTGCAGCCAACATGGAGACATAGTCATGGCTCTCACCCTGCAGGAGCAGCTCTCTAGGCTTTGGGGTAGCCTGGGGCCAGATTCTGTTGCCCTGAGCTTCAGAAACAGGCGAAGGAAAGAAAGGTGGTGTGTAGGAAAGGCCTGCAGATATTACCAGCTTGTCTGTGGAAGCCACAGACATCTCAGGGTGAAAACAGAGACCAAAAGTACCTCTTGCAAAATAGTCATTAGGCTGTGAACATAGGAAGACGAGAAGATATAGTGGAAATAATAGTCAATAACACAACCACGAAGCAGCAACTATTATTTGTTGAACGCTTACAAAGCACCAGGGGCTCTAAATGCCATAATCTTCAGAATCTCCTTTAATCTTCATAATTATCCTGGGAAATGGGTATTACCATTTCATTTTATTATGGAGGAAATGGGGCTCAGAGATGATAAATAATTTGCTCAAGCTAAAATTTAGATGGTGGCGCTGATAACCCAAATTGCCTAACCCATTAACCTTTCTGTGTACTAGGAGTGGGAAGAGGGGAAACCGCAGATTTGAAGCCACACTACCATATCCCACCTCCACCACATAGGTCCATAATTTTGTTTTTCTAAGCCTCAGTATTCACTGTGTAAATGGATATAGCAACAGCCAGAGTTGTGGAGACAGTCAAGGATAATGGTGTATTGTAAGTATCAGTCTATTCTCTGACTCATATTAAGGGCTCATCTGGCCCTTCTTCATTTTGTTCCTTCTTCCCATGACTAAGACACAGACCCAAGCTTTCCATCATTGCCGTCATTGTTCATTGTCTATGGTATTCCTCAGAGCTCTGCAGGAAGTGGGATCCACAGACCCACCTTCTGCCTTTGAAGTATTTGCCATCTAAAATGAACATACATTTATGGAACACACAGTCAGGAGCCAAGAACAGCCCAAACAGTTGTGAAAAGAGCAAAGGGTATTTTCATCATATGCATGTCAAAGGGAGTTGCATTTTAGAGGAAGATTTTTTTTTTAATCATTCGTCTTTGTTGAGCTTCAGCTCCATGGGATAAAGAGCGGAGAGAGATCTGGAAATATGCAGGTGGGACAGGTGAGGACAGGCTGTCACTTTTTTTTTTCTTTTGATCACACTGGGAAAGCTCTTGGCTCAGATATCTCCTCTCCTGGATTTTTCATAGATTGTGACATACTCTTAGATGAGTTGGCCTTCAGTAGAACTTAAAATGAAAGAAAATTAGCAGTGTTTTGTACTGTACTATGTGCTGGGCAGGTTCTTTCTCCAGCATCCTCAATTTATCTTCCCAACCCTGTGAGGGAGGGTATTAGTGGTATCCCATTTGACGTCAAGGGAAAGAGTTTAAAGAACTTGTGATCTAAGAGTTAAGAGATGAAGACAAAACCAGAACAAGAGTCTTTCCAACTTGGAAGCTGATCATACATATCAGATGCTCTGTCTTCACTCTGAGAAGGAGAGATGCTCTCTTCACTTCCTCTACCTTTCTAATGTCACCCCAGCTGCTGGAAAGAAACTCTAGGAATTATCGCAGGGGCTGTGTGTGGTCTCATGGGGGTCTGACTACTTCCACCCTAGAGGAACTGGTTTTTTTAGGACTCTCAGGATTATCATTGACAGAAATTAAAGAAATGCAGGATAAGGGAAAATGAACCAACAAGCAACAACATTGGCAGTGCAGAGCCTTGAGGTAGGATGGCCCGAAAGACCCCAGGCTCAGAGCCCACTAGGTCTTGTCTTCATCCACATCTCACCTCTGCATCTTGCAGCTTCTTTCAGGTGTGCCCTTGTGATGGAGCCCTGGCAGATTGGCACCATATCCTTACTGGTTTGTAACCAGAGAAGGGTCTTCTGTACCGTTTGTACCAGAAAACCCTCAGGGAAGGACTTCTGTTGGGCCTGGCTTGAGCCACATGCCTTTCCCTAGACCCATCACTGTGGATGGGGCCTGGGGTCTTGGATGAGCTGAGTGTGCATCACATGTCCACCTTTGGTGACTAAAGAAAGGGAGATGGATTCTAGGCATACAGAGACTGGAGCAAACACACTTCAGCCAGCAGGAGCGCTGAGCAGGATGTATGCAAAAGATGACAGTCAGCCTTCTATCCAGAGTACCAGGCTTCTTCAAGCCCAAAGTCAGGCCTAGAGTGCCATGCAATTTAATTCCCTTGTCCTCTGAAAATAGGGAAAATACATCTGCAGCTATTCTCAAGAACGACCTAAGGGAGCTACAGAGGAGCATTTAATACAGTGGAGGAGACGTCAAGACTGCTGTGGTAACTGCCCAGATTAGAACATTTGCATTCCTAAGACTGGGAAAATAATGTGAGGAAGGAATGCACACTCAGGAAGGGTGTGCCCTTGTTTTCAGATCTAGGAGACAGCATCCTTGAAGCTTGGCAGAACTATAGGACAATGGAGGGACTCGATGGAATTCTAGATTTCACCTCTTCCTTCTCCTCCCGCTTTCACTCCTTACGTACTCCTTTCAGTCCTAGCCTTTTGCGGTTCAGTTACCATGTTTTCTCTTCTCTGCATCTTTATGCCTTCTAACTCATACCTGGAACCATCCTCTCACTTTCTGCTATCCAACTGAATCTCATTCTTTTTTGTTTTTGAGATGGCGTTTCACTCTTGTTGCCCATGCTGGAGTGCAAAGACGCGATCTTGGCTCACTGCAACCCTCGCCTCCCGGGTTCAAGCGATTATCCTGCCTCAACCTCCCAAGTAGCTGGGATTATAGGCATGTGCCACCACACCCAGCTAATTTTGTATTTTTAGTAGAGACGGGGTTTCATCATGTTAGTCAGCCTGGTCTCGAACTCCCGACCTCAAGGTATCCACCCCTCTGCGCCTTTCAAAGTGCTGGGATTACAGGCTGAATCTCGTTCTTTAAAATTCATTGCTCATCTCTCCACCTCTAGGAAGCCCTCCCTGACTATGCTGGTCTTATTTATTAGAAAGACTTCTTCTAGCTCTAGCTTCCCCAGCAAACTATTATTGAGCATCAGCCATACTCCAACTCCGAGACTGGTGCTTTAACTGCCTTCCCCACCATGCTATGAGCTACTTGTGAGCGGGGAATTGTATTTTTATTTTTTATTAGCAGGGTTTAGTACAGCGCTAAAATATTTTTTAATGGAAAAAATGCATGAATGGGAAGTTGTGCTGTAAGAGCAGATGTCAATTTTATGGAATTCATTACCTCAGAGGTATTTGAGGCGGAGGATGTGAACATCAGCTTCCCAAATGTCTAGATGTGCGTTTCCCAAATGCATTCATTTTAATGGGTGTTCAGCAACAAAAGGATCCTGGTCAAATAAATTCAGAAAGTGTTGTGCTAAAGGATGTATGGAAGGCTTCTTGATTGCAGGACTTCTCAGGGTATTTACCATGTTAATATGCACCGTGAATTTCCAAGATGTGAAAGTATATACGCAGCTAGTTCCCAAACACCTTTTGACTATAGACTGTGTTTTGGATGCATTTGGTGGGACTTGAGCTTTATAGGACTGGTGTTAAGAAAATGGGAAGTTACAACTTCTTAATATTAGGTTAATTCATAGGTTAAACTGACATAAAAGGACCCTGAAATAAGTATCTGAGGACAATCTGGTATTTCTCCTGGGAACCCAGTGGTGATCAAAATGAACCAAAGATTTGTCAATGCAGGTTGGCAATTCTGTGGTCCCATTTCATTTCAATCTCAACATGGCCTTTGAGAACCTTATTGTTATTATTAGTCCTTTTGTAGCACCCATTTTCCTCTCCAGGACCTTTTATCCACTAAAGTTGAAAAACATTTCCGAGGCTTTCTTATCCCCCTACCTCCTTCCCAAAGCTTCCTCTGATTTGCTAGAAGAAAGGTGGCATTTCCCCTCCATGCCTACACTGTCTAAACTTGCTGGACCTCTTTCCTTCACTCTTTGTACACCACCCTTCACACTTTCTCAACTCTATTTCTGGCAGATTCCTCTAGCCCCAAGGGGGCAGAGAATAGCCGTAGGCCCCTTAGGCATTCTGGGTGGGTTGTTGGAACTCAAATCTCTTTCTGAATCCAACATCCCCATTCTCCACCCCACCCCATTTTCCTCTAGGGATAGAGTGAATTTTTCCCAGCTGAGTCCTCCGAGGTAGATGTCTGCAAATGTTCAGCAACTTCTCCAAAGCAATGAATATTCATGTATTCACAGGGTGGGCTGCATTCCAGCCTCAGGGCAGGGACCTTGTTTGCTCTGCCATCCTGTTTCTCAGGACTGAGGTCTAATCTGTGTACCTCCAGTTGGGAGACCACATCTTTGGCTGAAACCTCTTTCCTGAGGCTTTCAATCTAGGGAGTGCTATACAATCCTTGGGGCTGCTACAACCTCTGGAATCTTGCTGTTGGATATTTGTGAAAAACACACAAGCACAAAGGAAACTTGCAACAGACACTTGTACTTTTTCCCTCCACCTCCCCACACACATTTATTTTGCCCATTGCTGCTCTACACTTTTGCTCAAGACCATTCTCCCTGCCTGGGATACCTTGCCTTTTTTTCCAAGGATCATCCAAGTCTAGAGACAGTGCCATATGGTTCTTAAGAGTGAGGGTTCTAAACTGGAAAGTCATTGCAAACATCACGTGAAATAATCCTTACAAAGTGTTGAGTACAATGCTTGGTGTTCAGTAAACACTAGCTATGTTATCTAACCCTCAAGATTCAAATCCTCCTCAATCAGTGAAAATGCTGCAGCCATCTCTCCTCACTGAAGTCTCTCTATTCATCTGTGCCCTGAATTCCTCAGCATGGTCAGCAGAACCACATCAGTCACACCTTTTATGATGTCTTTGGCATTGTTTTAATGGACTGCTTCTCATTTTGGTGTTATTAACCAAGATGTTCCCTCTGTTTCTGCCTTTTCTTCCCCAACTACATGGTTGGTAACCATGATGTCTGCCAGGTAGACTTTGCACAGAATAGATTGTTAATTTACTTGTTTTTTTAATTGGGCCACCTGATTGGTCAAAGTCAAGGATTTGGAAAAACCACCCTTGTTCTCCCTTTTTTGAAACTGTCCTTTCAATGAAAGAGATTACAAAATGGCAGTCCCACAGGTTGATTCCTGCCAATAGGAATGTTTGGCCCATACCATTTTTTAAAAATGAGCTGACTATATTTAAAACTGGAGAGATTTTATATAAAAATTCAGATTGTTTGTTCCTGTCCCCAAATTGGGCGCTCTGGTGGCAGCAGCAACACAGGGTTTGGTGTCCTCTAAGGTAGCAGCCTGCAGAGCCCGTTTAGAGGGGCGTGTTGTCTCCAGCTTGCTTCCATTCCCATCAGTCTCACTGTCCCGCATGGGCAGTCTTTTAAGCTTGGGGGACAAAACCGTCTTCATTCCCCAACAGTGCTTCACAGAAGAGGTGACTGAAGCCTGCAAGCCCAGGACCAACAATTGGCTGCTGAGGCAGGCTGGCTCTTAGGACTCTTCCTCGCTCCTCAGGAGGAAGAGCAGGCCCCTAGCAGGGCTCTCTCTTCCTTGGTTGCCTTTGGAAGTTATGACTCTTCCGGACTTCTGTTTGATATTTCCGCAGTCTTTTCACCCCTGAGAAGTAGATGGGACCAACATCATGGTCTTCATCCCAAAGAATAGGGTGCCTAGCAACATTGTGGTCCTCAGATGCTCTTCCCAGGATCTGAAAGCCAGTGGGTGTGGAGGCGGCATGAGGTGTTCAAATGTGGGTGTCAGTGTGATCAGTTGATCTTCATAGCACATTTGTTACCTCCCATCCAGCAAGGCCACATCCCTCATCCGAGTGCAGTCAGGAAGGGTCTGGAGGTTCCCTCCTTGGCTTCCCTCCAGGAAGCCTTTTGCCTGAAGGGACTATTCCCTCTGCGAGGAAGGGCATTCCTGAACTGCCTGCCCACATCACAGGCTTCCACCCCAGGGGAGGGCTGGACTTGCGCTCTGTGGCCAGTCCCTGCAGCCTCTGGCATCACACAGTCAAGATCAGGACTTGAAGTTTCTCTGCCTGGTGGGGCTTTGCAAATAGAGGGTTTGGAGCAATGGGTAGATGTGTTTTGAATTGAAGCAGTTACCTCATTTCATCTCCTCAGTCAGGTCGTGTTTCTGTGGTGATGCAGCTTCTCTCTCAAGTTTAGTCTTCTCTTGTCTCCAAGTCTTAGTTATACTGTTGCTGGCAAGTAATTTGGGGTGTGCTAATTACCATCTGAACTGAGCAGCAATTCTCTGATAGGGACCAATTTGTGGTAAGGAGACTTTCCTTGCCAGGGATCCCCTCTCTAATTTTCGGAACCATGAAAACTTCTACCATTCTCCCCAGTTTGACATCTCAAGGGCCCCTGGCCTCAGACCTTTTTGCATGGAAAGGCTGGGAGAAACCAGCTAATTTATTTTCCTGAGTTATGTTATTGAAACCTGATTCCATTATTTATTTCAGAAAAAAATGTGTGTTTTCATACACTTCATATGTAGACAAGCCATGTAATGATATATTACTCTGGAAGCAGCCTTTGAGAGCTTCTAGTTGAGGCATGGCAAAGAGATTATGTCCTGGATGCCCACTCGGATTAGATAAATGGTGCTCAGGGTAATATATTGAACATGACTCTGAGGTCAGAAAAGCTCAGAAAAGGCATCTGGGGATATATTAGGCCTGGATGCCGTGGACCCAGGACAGGGAACGGAGCACATTCCCTAGGTGCTGTCACTCCCATGGAACTCATGCTCTTCATCTAGCAGGTTAGGAGCCGGCACCTAGAGATTGGAGGCAACTAGGATGCTGCTGTTGCTTACAACACCTCTGTGCGAGTTAGAAAAAGGTGATCCCCCCCCCACTCTGGGCTGACCCTGCTCTGGGATCACAGGGCTTGGGATGAATCCTAAGTGAATGCCTCTTAAGCAGGCTCCCTAGTGCTTTGGTGGAGGGAGAGGAGCATAGAGCTGAGTGGTCCCCAGTCTGTTGTCCCAGCAGGGTCTCTGGCCACTGGCCAATGCCAGCAATCAAGGAACTTCTCCATAATTTGCCCCAATTTGCCCCCATTTCCCCTTGTTCCTCCTGAAGGATGCATGCAGCTCAGACTTCAGCCATCAGCCATCAGAGCATCCCTGACAGTTTGAGGCCTTGAAGGGGATCAGGTGTAACTGAGTGGTTTAAAAGTATGAAAACCAGACAGATCTGGGTCTGAATCTCGACTTTGTCACTTTGGGTCCTTGGCCAACTGCTTAATTTCCCAGAGATTCGGTTTGGTTTGGTTTTGAAGTAGTGACTCCTACTACTTTTTGATTTAGTGACACCTAAATCATAGAGCCGTTGTAAAGATTAAATGAGATGCTGCATGTAGAGCTCCCAGCACAGTGCACAGCATTTAATTAACACTGTCTCAGTAAACATTTGCTATTTTTATCATCTGACTAGTGGAGTGCATTTTCCCCTGTCAGAAAGGCTTCAAGGCAGGGGAGAACTTAAAGCCAGATTGTGCAGCAGCCCCAGAGAGCTGGTGTTCTGCAGTCGTAGAACAATAGAAGACAAGATTGTAGAATATTTATTATCTTTTAAAGTTATTTTTCACCTTATTAAGAATGATTTGAGTGAGCGGTTTTGGATATAATACTAAATCACAGTTTTGTAAGATGCATAGCCTACTTTCTGGAAACTGTTTTCATTACTGCTAGACTGTAGGAAGGGGCTGACCCGTGCTTAGAGTGAAGGGCCCAGGAGGATGTGAGGGATTTGGGTTCTGTTGACCTACGGTGTAGGAGAAATGCTTGAAGAGATGGGGAGGAGCTCCCACAGGAAATTCTCATGTTTGTGCCAGTCTTTGTTGCCAGAAATCTCAACAGAACATGAAAGTTCAGATCCCCAGAGTGGACAGGCTAGGAAATTCTCAGGTAGAGTTCCAAGAGAGATGTGTGTACCTTCCTTCAGGAGGAGTAAGGGGAAACGGGGGCAAACTGGGGCAAATTATGGAGAAGTTCCTTGATTGCTGGCATATGGCCAGTGGCCAGAGACCCTGCTGGGACAACAGACTGGGGACTAGGTAGTGCAGCCAGAGTGTCAGTGAGGGGTTGCTGGGTGGCAGGTGGGCGGGGCAGAGGGTGCTAGGAAGTGGGTAGAGGAAGCAGAAGTTCAGGTACCAGAAGCCAGCCTGCCTGGGTTGCCACCCTCTGCTCCTTACCAGTGCAGATTAGCCTCTCAGGGTCTCAGTTTTGTCATCTGTGAAATGGGCATGATCATAGTACTTCGCTCCCAGGATTGCTGTGAGGATTAGGTGAATTATTGCTTAAAAGTGCTTAGAGGCCGGGCGCGGTGGCTCAAGCCTGTAATCCCAGCACTTTGGGAGGCCGATGTAAGCGGATCACGAGGTCAGGAGATCGAGACCATCCTGGCTAACACGGTGAAACCCCGTCTCTACTAAAAAACAAAAAAAAGTTAGCCAGGTGTGGTGGTGGGCACCTGTAATCCCAGCTACTCGGGAGGCTGAGGCAGGAGAATGGCGCAAACTTGGGAGGCGGAGCTTGCAGTGAGCCAAGATCGCACCACTGCACTCCAGCCTGGGTGACAGAGTGAGACTCCATCTCAAAAAAAAAAAAAAAAAAAAAAAAGTGCTTAGAACAGGGCCTGGAACCAAGAAGTCATTCAGTTCATATTGGTCAATATCATCGGTTTTTTTTGTTTTGTTTTGTTTTTGTTTTTGTTTTTAAGAGACAGGGTCTCACTCTGTTGCCCAGGCTGGAGTGCAGTGGCACAACCATAGCTCACTGCAGCCTTGAACTCCTGGGTTCAAGCAATCCTCCCACCTCAGCCTCTAGAGTAGCTAGGACTATAGGTGTACATTATCATGTCTGGCTAATCTTAAAATGTTTTTCAGACATGGAGGGGTCTCGTTAGTTTGCTCAGGCTTTTCTCAAACTCCTGGCCTCAAGCATCCTCTCACCTCAGCCTCCCCGAGCACTGTGGGATTACAGGCGTGAGCCGCCGTGCA
This sequence comes from Homo sapiens, assembly GCF_000001405.40. Lineage (NCBI taxonomy): Eukaryota > Metazoa > Chordata > Mammalia > Primates > Hominidae > Homo > Homo sapiens. Next base: position 169,166,888 of record NC_000005.10, on the reverse strand, counting down.
TGGCCAGTCATTGTTATTAACAAAGGGATAGGGGAGGTACATGGGAAAGTCACTTTGGAGAATATTCTACATTCTCCAAGTGACATGGGATCATACACAAACCTATCTAGATAGGAGGCATCATTCTTTTCATTTCTTCCATTCTGGAGTTACTCTCACCTGTGCTTTTTGGGCAATGACTGAAGTAAACCAGAAACTGGAAACAATGAGGCCTGTAGCATTAGGAAGGTGATATTGGGGATGGACTGGGTGGGTTGAAGAGGGCATGGTAATAATACCATGGAGCACCTGTCGAGCTCCCACCCTTTTGTTATGTGCTGAATTTACCTAACCACAAACAGATGCCAGGAGAGGTGAAGTGACTTGATCAAGATCCCACAGCTGCATTATAATGAGGTCTCACTAGCATGCAGACCGAGATGTGTGTGACTCTGGGACTCTCGCTGTTTCTGCCACCTCAGCCCACTCCCCCATTGCTCAAGATGATCTCCACTGCCCTGCGAACTGTAATATGGCTCTCATGGGCCTTGATGTGCCCGCTGCTAAATGAAGCATCTGAGCATGAACACGTTGAGAGAATAATTCACCAGGCAGCCCTTTTCTCATTAAGAACATGTGTCAGCAAACGATTCTCTAGCCCAGCATGAACAAGAACTTTGGGGGGAGTCTTTGGTCTCCATGGCAAAGACGGCTAAAAAACAAAGGCAGTGACCCCAGAAGAGGAGGAGGAGAAAAAAATTAGTAGCGTTAGTCTTAGATGGAAAGGTGAAAGAATGTAGTGCTTGGTTTCTGGAGTCAAATCCTGGCTTTGATCTTTACTGTGTGACCTTGGGCAAGTTATTTAACCTCCCTGTTTCTGTTTCTTTATGTGTAAGATAGGCATGATGATATGAATAGTGCCTACCTCTTAGGTTTCATCCCATCAACAAATATCTGCTAAGCACTCATTCAGAGCTAGGCACTCAGAAACTATTTCATTCTAGGTGCTGGGGACATAGCTGGGAATGAAAGAGCAAAATGCCTCTCCTTAGAGGGCTCATATTCTAATGGGACTCCCATTCTAGTGGGGGTGCACTTGATAGACAAGGTAAACACATAAAGCAACTGGTATGTTGGACAGTGATACATGCTAAGGAGAAAAATTACACAAAGCAATTGTCTTTGGGGGTGGAAGGGTGGAGTGAATTTTAGATAAGGTAGCCAAGGAAGGCTTTAATAAGAAGGTGACACTTGAGTAAGGACTTGAAGAAGACTTGAAGAAGGTGAGGGAAGGAGCCATATGCATATTTGGGGAAATATTGAATGAACGAATTTGTCAAATGAATGAATCCGTGAAAAAATAGGGTTGTATGGATGAAATGTGATCACAATAAATGTAACGCACTTAGAATAGTGCAAGATGCATAGTATGTGCTCAATAAATATTAGCTATCTTCATATTTAGCAGATTAGGCAGTGAAGTTGTTGCTGTCACTCCCCCTACTTCTGGCTTTCTGAAAGCATTTTCAAGATACGCAGAAAGGAAGGATACAGAAGCCTCTTCTGATTCTATTAGCAGACTGCATACAATAGGATCTCTCTTTTAGGTTGGCCTAGGCACAAGTTAAGACTCATCACACACACCTGGATTATAAAAATTCTCTTATGCATGCAGCCCTTCTGAGGTTTCTCATACTTTTGTGTAAATTGCATCACTTGTTTCTTCCAACATCCCTGTTGGGTAGCAAGGCAGGTGCCTTTAGTTACCCCCTCCCCTAGCAAAGGCAAGGGATCTAGCATTTCCTGAGCACCTACTATGTGCCAGGCACTCTGCTAGTTGTTTTGCCTATATATGTTGGCTCCCTTATCCCTCCCTAGAGTCCGGGAGGTCATGCATTATCATTACTGTTTGAAAGATGAGGAAATCTAGGTCTGGCTCCCCAGATTGGCACAGCAATAAGCTGCTTGCTGGGCCTGAAGCCCAGGCATCCAACGGCAGGGTATCTTCTGTGGCTCACGCAGTGAGCCTGCCCCCATCTTTGTCCCGAAACCTTGGCATGCCACCCCAGCAGGGCAGCCTTGCCTGGGAAGCCTGGGAACAGGGCGTGTTGTTGGCTTGCAGTTTAATTGAAGTGGAAAGCAGCCCATTGAGACAGGCCCAGATCTGTTAATCCTGCTTGTAGGAATGCTGGAGATAAAAGCAGCCATGGACCTAGAGAACAATAGCTCCACATACCAGCAGGAAAGGGCACTGTCATTGCCCCAAACCAAACAACTGCCAGGGCCTGGAGGGTCTGGCGGGGAAGGCCCAGGATGAGGCTGACTCATAGAGATGACAGAACAGCCCGGAGAGAATGGGAAAATGTAGAAGGCCAAGTTTACCCCAGTGCATATATACTTTGGGGCTGAGTAATGTGGTAGACAAATCACTCCCTTCACCATCCCACCCAGAGTGGAAGCACACCCTGAAGCCTCAAGGATAATTTCTACTTAAAACAGTTGAGTAAAATGGAACCACAGACTCTGCTGCTTCTTCAGGAAAAGGGGCTGCGGTCCTGAGACTCCCAACCCGTTGTGCTAGAATGGGACCTTGGGAAGGAAAGCTTTCTCCGAGGGAATTGAATTAGCCGGAAATATTTAAGATCCCATTTTCCCTCCCATTGGCTTGTATTTACTGGTCTTGATGGGGAGTCCGAGGATGGTACTTAGAGGCCCTGCAATGGAAATTCTAAAACAATTGACCAGACTTTCGAATGTGTGGTTATGTTTAGATGTCTTGGGTTGCTTTCCCCTGACTTTGAAAAGGAGCAGACAAAACATGTTGATTTGCGAACATCCTTCCAGAACATAAATCACTGGGGTGAGTGTGGGGTTGGAGTCTGTCATAGCTCACTGGGAGATGGGCCCACTGCCTGTCTTTCATGGTCTCCCCTTTGCACTCTGCCCTCTGCCCCATGGACATTCTCACTGGGGGCCCGCAAGCATCACCTCTGCCCAGGCCCAAAGGAACGAATGGGGCAAAAGTTTGAGGAATTTGCCTTGGTGAGTTTTATAGAAAAACTAGCCTGAAAGTGGTAAGATTGGAAGAGCGCAGGAGTGGTCACGTCACCCTTCCTTCCGTTGTCCAGTAGAATGACACTAGATAGTTCCTGAACTTCCTTAGTATTTCCCGATATGCTCTCTGCAATGATAAAATATCCAGATTTTATCTGGGCTGATAGCTCATGCTATCTGTCTAATCGCTTTGGTGAGGTTGCCAGCCTCAAGGAGAAATCAGGGAGAATCAGAAATTAAACATTTTTCAGTCATTTTTTTCACACATATAAGTTGCATTTTGGTTGTTCCTCTAGAGAGACACTAGGGAAAAGGGAGCCGCTATGATGTCCACAGCCCTCATTCCAAACACCCATTGATTAAACAGAGCCTGGCTCAGAAAGCCTGTGTCGGGATTAAGGTACTCATGTATCTTAAGTGCAACTTGGATTTCCCAGTTCAACCTGGGCTTCATGCATTGGAGTCTGCACGTTCAAAGTGAAAGTCATGTAAATCAGATGAATTTGACTATCAGCCTGGCACACCTTTTCATTTCCTTTTTTTTCCTCGCACGGTGGCCTGGGCTGGAATGCAATGGCACAATCTTGGCTCACTGCAACCTCCGCCTCCCAGGTTCAAGCGATTCTCCTGCCTCAGCCTCCTGAGTAGCTGGGATTACAGGCACACACCACCATGCCCAGCTAATTTTTGTATTTTTAGTAGAGGCGGGGTTTCACTATGTTGGCCGGGCTGGTCTCGAACACCTGACCTCATGATCCACCCACCTCGACCTCCCAAAGTGCTGGGATTACAAGCGTGAGCCACCGTGCCCAGCCCCTTTTTTAATGATCATCAGAGCCATTTTCTTCTCCCTCCTGTCTGTTATTGAGATATTTACTCTGTGTTGGAATCAGGTTCAAGTTCCCCATTCTCTGCAGGTCTTTCTCCCTTAGAGCTATCTCCCTACTCCTACCTTACCTTCCTATTATGATTTGGCAGTGAATCCTGTATCACCTGGCTGACAGATCTTAATGATGACCCTGGCCATTTAGCAACTAAGCCTCCTACCATGTGCCAGGCATCATACAAGGTCATTGCCCTAACTTCATTTTATCCTTACAGCAGCCTGAAAAGGTAAGGGGAGCCAGGCCCAGTGAGATTAAGTGACTTCATTAAAGTCCCACTCATAACAATCGGGGTCAGGAATGGTGTGAGCTCTGTTTGACCCCAAACCTCTGAACACGGATGCTTTGACTCATGGTGTGGTCAGTGCTGTTGGATAACTTTGCGCACATGCTTGTCTGGTTTTGATAATTAGGGAATATGCTTTGCAGGGCAGGAAGCTCACATTTCTTTGTGTCCCCATGGCATCTGGCACAGCACTTTTCACTCCAAAGACCTGCATGACTGTGTGTTGCTTGAGAGGTCTGAGCAGCTCATGTTCACTTTGTGCTGATAACCTGGAGACAGGAAGGAAAGGAACTTCTTCTCCTGCTGTAAGGGCAACATGGCGATACACAGCACATCTCAAACTCTGTGCATCCCAGTCTCCTGGAGGACTTGTTAAAACAAATCGCTGAACCTACCCACCAGTTTCTGAGCCAGTGGTTCTGCATGGGGCTGGATAATTTGCACATCTACCAAGATCCCAGCTGGTCTTGGACCCCACTTTGAGGATGACTGTCATACTGGGAAGTACAACCCAAATTCGAATCCCATCTCTGTGGCTTACTAACCACGGGCAAGTTTCTAGAACTCTCAAGGATCCAGTAGCACCCTCTGTAATGAAAGCATAATAACATCAACAAGTTGTTGTGAAAATTAACTGAATATCCCATATATACATAGTATTTCTTTAGCAAATACAGATACAGCACTTTATATGTGCTAAACACGTGTTGGCACCCTTTACAAACATGAACTTAATTCTCATAACAAGGCTAGGTAGTAGTCCCTCTGTTTTCTTCCTTGTACAGAGAAGGATACTGAAGCCCAGAGATGGTCTATGACTTGCCCAGGGTCACCCAGCTAGTAAGTGTGCAGAGCTGGGCTATAATCCAGACAGCCTGGCTCCTGAGGCCCCACCCTCAGCTACCACAGTGGACAGTACCTGGCCTGTCTCTTCCCCATTCCCAGGTTACACTAAGAATGGGCCCTACAAAAGGGCAGAGATTATTTTTCTAGTTCATAGGCAGATTAACCATACATGAAAAAAAAAAAAAAAAGACTGTTTTATGACCACAGCTTTGAAACCACATGGTTGGCCTCCCTTCTGATATCAGTATGGTCAGCCGGGAGTGACTGTTTCTCTTTAAACATCTCTGGCACCGAGGTTTATCATTGCTCAAGAGGACGGTGCTTTAAAGAGGCCTTCAGGCTGAAGGAGTGGAGGCGGCAGGATGCGGGTCAGTAATAAAAGTGAAGAGAGATTTGCAGCTCCCCCATGGAGGGCCTCAGGAGTCTAGCCAGTGGGCGGGTACAGAGGCTCGGCCCAAGGAAGGGGCAGTGATGGACAGGGTGGGAGGGGAGCAAATAGTTTCAGCATGGCAGAGTAACTGAAGCTGAGAGGGCAGGCAGTGGGAGAATTCCAGCTATGTCATGGGAAATGGCTATGGCCAGGGCTCTGAATTAGCGGCCGACCACAAATCCCCTGGGACCCTGCCAGGGGTCAGGAGACTGGGGCACCGCTGGGATGCCAAATGGTATGCCATATTTCATTGTCAGAGGAGGAGGAGGCGATTTTAACTGTTATCCCTAGATGTGAGTGCTGGCACTGCCAGGAGCTGAGAGCTGGGTGGGGACGTATGTAGGAGTGAGAGAGAAGCTAGAAAAATCCGCTTTTCATTCCAAGGAACAACATAGAGGAAAGACCAAGCCATGCCGCTGGGGATTCGCATGATCTCAAAGCTTTTTTGGCCACCATCTCTGAAGGCTTTCTGCCCTTTTTTCTTTTCTCTGCAAGGTGAGACATCAAAGTCTCCCATTGCCATGTTAGAGAGCTAAAAGGGAAATGCTGACCTGGATCCCTCAAAGTGTAGGTGGATGGAACAATGGGGCTTCTGGGAGAATGGGCTTCACGTGGTTGGCCTGTTTGACATCTTTGGCTTGGAGCTGAGCAATGAAATGTGGAAAAAAATCAGCTTTGAAAGTAAACGAGCTCAGTGCCCAGCCCACGCTGGGGATGCTGGGAGGGATAGGGTTGTATCACTTGATTCATTCCTCCAGCTTATCTCAAGTCCTGGCACCATGAGGCCTTTATAAATGTTTGTTGAGTGAATGAGGGGACTGATTGATTAATTGCTTAATTATGTCCAAACGGATGATAAATTCAAAAAGAATCTTGGCTAACTCTTTAGAAATGCTTGATGAATTAAAGGTTTTTCTGAACTCATCATCGCCCCCTGTGACTGTGAAAGGAAGCCTTTCACCCAGGCTAAGAGGAATGGACACGTCTCTTTTTTCTTAGGTATTTCACTGGATTTCATTTACACTGTAAATAAAGGTTAATAGCCTAGGCCTTAAAGTTAGACAAGTGAGGTTCACACTGGGCAGGTGAGATGTGTGCCCTTAGGCAAGTCACTTAACTTCTCTGAGCAGTAATTTTCTCATTATAAAAGGAAGATAATAGTAGTGTCTTCCTCCTCAGACCATTAAAATAATCTCTCTGAATGGCATGGCACAGTGATAGACATGTAATAGCCTTCAGTAAGTACAACTCTTTGGGATCAGTGAGGATTAAGTTCAACTAAAGGAACATAAAACCCCTTAGTAATGGCTTAAACAAGGTAGAGATTTGTTTTTCTTTATGAATCTACAATTAGGAAATCTATAGTTGGTATGGTAGTTCTGCTCTACCAAGTGCTCAGAGACCCAGGTTGATTTGGCTTTGTTCTATTATCCCTATGTTGTGGCCTTATCCCAGTAGTCTAAGTTGGAGTGGCAGCCATTATATACATTTTCTAAGAGGCAGAATGAAGGAAAAACAAAAAATGGGAAAGGGCATGTGCTGGTTGCATTTTAAGGGAAGTAGCCATGTAGCACTTTTGCTTATATCACGTTAGCGTATAGTTGGGTCATGCTTTTTTTTGTTTGTTTGTTTAAGAGACGGAGTCTTGCTCTGTCACCCAGGCTGGAGTGCAGTGGTGCAATCTGGGCTCACTGCAAGCTCTGCCTCCCAGGTTCACGCCATTCTTCTGCCTCAGCCTCCCGAGTAGCTGGGCCTACAGGTGCCTGCCACCACGCCCAACTAATTTTTGTGTATTTTTAGTAGAGACGGGGTTTCACCATGTTAGCCAGGGTGGTCTCGATGTGCTGACCTTGTGATCCGCCCACCTCAGCCTCCCAAAGTGCTGGGATTACAGGCGTGAGCTACCGCGCCTGGCCTGGGTCATGCTTTTTAAAAAAATCTACCAGTCTCTGTTTTTTGCTGCTGTTGTTGTTTTGTTTTTTTGAGATGGAGTTTCGCTCTTGTTGCCCAAGCTGGAGTGCAATGGCACGATCTCAGCTCACTGCAATCTCTACCTCCCGGGTTCAAGCCATTCTCTTGCCTCAGCCTCCTGTGTATTTGGGATTACAGGCATGTGCCACCATGCATGGCTAATTTTTGTATTATTAGTAGAGACAGGGTTTCTCCATGGCTAATTTTTGTATTATTAGTAGAGACAGGGTTTCTCCATGTTGGTCAGGCTGGTCTCGAACTCTTGACCTCAGGTGATCTGCCCACCTCGGCCTCCCAAAACGCTGGGATTACAGGCATGAGCCACCATGCCCAGCCTCAGTCTCTGTTTTTTAATTGGTATATTTAGACCTCAGGTGATCTGCCCGCCTCAGCCTCCCAAAGCACTGGGATTACAGGCATGAGCCACCATGCCCGGCCTCAGTCTCTGTTTTTTAATTGGCATATTTAGACCATTTACATTTAATGTAATTATTGGTGTGCCAAGTCTGCCATTTTATTTTTTGTTTTCTGTTTGTTCTGTTTTTAGTTTCCTTGTTTTCTTGTGGGTTACAAGAACATTTTTTAGAATTCCATTTTGATTTATTTATAGGTTTTTGATTCTTTTTCTGTATAGCATTTTTAGTAGTGCCTCTAGGTATTATATGTGCATAACTTATCACATTCTACTGGTGTTGACAATTTACTAGTTAAACTGAAGTGTAGAAACCTCACTTCCCTTTATGTTCCTTTGCCCTCCCCTATTACAATATAATTGTCTTAAATATTTCTACATAAACTGGAAAACCACACCAGACAGTAGTTATAATTTTTGCTTTAATCACCAAACATAATTTAGGAAATTTAAGAAGGAAATATATTTTCCCATATTTTTACTCTTTCCATTGTTCTTCCTTTTTCTGAATATTCTAATAGTCATTTTCTTTTTGTTTAGAGGATTTTTTTTTAGCCATCTTTTAGGGGCCATCTGCTAGTGACAAATTTTCTTAGTTTCCTTTCATCTGAGAATTTCTTGATTTTCCCTTCATTCCAAAGGATATTTTTGGCTGGATATAGAATTCTGGGTTGACAGATCTTTTCTTTCAGCCCTTGAAAAAAAATTGTGTCACTTCCTTCTGGACTTCATGGTTTCTGATGAGAAATATGCAGTCATTTGAATTCTTTTTCCCCTGTAGGTAAGTCAGTAAAGTATTGTTTCTCTCTTGCTGGTTTCAAGATTTTGTTATTTCCAGAAATTTTTCTATGGTGCGTCTTGGCATAGATTTCTTTGGATTTATCCAGTTTGGGATCTTCTCACCTTATTTAATCTGTAGGTTTCTGTCTTTTTCCAAATTTAGAAATGTCTCAACCATTATTTCTTCATGTATTTTTTAAGCCCCATCCTTTCTCTCCCTCTTCTTTTTGATATCTGATTATACAAGTGTTTGATCCCTGGGGCTCTGTTCATTTTTTTTTTTTAATTCTGTTTTCTCTCTGTTGTTCAGATTGTGTAATTTTTATTGTTCTACACTCAATTTTACGGTGGAACCCATTCATTGAATTTTTTATTTTGGCTATTTTTTCCTGAAATTTTCATTTGGTTCTTTTTTCTTTGTTTTTTGCTGAGACATTCTAGTGTTTCATTTCTATCAAACATGTTCCTTATTGTTCATAAAAACATTTCTAGCATGGCTGTTTTAAAATCCAAATCAGTGGTGGCATCTTTTGATTGTCATTTCTCATATAAGTTGGTTTTTTCTTATTCACTGCATGATGAGTGGTTTTCTATTGAAACTGGACATTTTGAGTATTATGTTGTGCGACTCTGGATCTTATTGAATCTTCTGTTTTAGCTGGCTTTTGATACTGCTCTGACATGGGAAGGGGAGGCATTGCATTGTTATGGCCAGATAGGGGTGGAAATCCAAATTCTCTACTTGGCCTCCACTGATACCTGGGGGGAGGGGATCTTTGTTACTGCTAAGTAGGTGTGGGAATTTCAGCTCTTCACTTGGTGTCTGTTGATACCACCTGGCTGGGAGGGCAAGCATGCCTTATTACTGTTTCCCACATGGCCTCCCAACACCTCAGGGTAGAAGGGGCAGGGGTGGCTTCTTTACTGCTGGGTGCTGGTGAAAGTACTGACATTCCATAGAACTCCTCTGACATCACTCCCACAATTATGTCACAGGGGAGGGGTACCTTTTATCTGTTGCCAAGTGGGCGTGGAAGACCAGCCACTCCTTACAGTCTCTGCTGACATTGTATGGAGGGACTTCATCACTACTCAGCAAAGTTCAGAGTCCTAGCTCCCTACTTGGCCTTCTCTGATACTACTCCAGCAGGGACTTGGGGTACTTTGTCTAGGCTCCCTATTCAGCCAGTGCTGGTGGAGGTGGGGGGGGCCAGATTTTTTTGTGTGTGGTATCTCGTTAGAGTCAAGTGATTATTGTCTTCAAGTTTTCTGTTTACTAAGCTGCCAGGTTGGAGATATATGAAGCAAAAGGAAAACCCAGAGAACTCACCACCATCTGTGTCATTCCTGAGGTCCCAAGTCCCTTGCCAGCCTGCCTTCTGCTCTCCTGCCTCTGAGAGTCTTCTGGTGTTTGTTTTGTATAATGCTCAAGGCTTTAAATTCAACTCAGTGTGATGAATAAGCAAAAGCACATCTACGCCATCTTTCCATAAGTAGAAGTCCTCTAGATAGCTTTTTATGTATATCATCAGGTACCTCAATGGTTCTGACAGAGCGACTTGAGCCACCTGGTGGTTTGCACCATCGTTTGCTCATGTATGATTACCTTTCAATCTCTTAGTGAGTATTTTTAGTGATACTGCCTGGTGCCCATCAGTAATGTTGTAGAAGATGCTCTCCACCAAGGGGAAAAAACAGCCCAGACAGGGCAGGAAATGGGCACAGATGTGCCTTCCCATCTCCACAGCCAGGGAATACGTCTGCAGATCCTAGAACCAGGCTTCTCGAACACGAGGACTATTGACAGGCTGAGAGTTCACTTGTCAAATTAGCCATTGGGGGTGAGAGATCAATTAGGGAATGCTTCATTAGGGTGATAAAGGGCATTAAAGAGGATGTTACTTGGCCCTGTACACGTGTGCATGTACACTGTGGCTTTCTGGGAGGCATTTATCTTAGAGGAAAAGGTATTTTCAGAGGCTTCCCTTTACTCCACTGTATTGATTTCTCACTCTTTGTCAGAAGGGAATGAGATAGGAAGAAAGTTGTTCGTTTTCTCTTTACCAGTTAGGAGAATGACCTGGGCATCTCATAGTAGTGAGCCTGACATTCTGCAGAATGTTTCCTGAGGCTTCTATGGGGTGAGAAGTTAATAAGTTTTCATGATCAAACACATTTGAGAAATATTAGGTTAAAATAAGTAAAATAACTTTCTGTGGAACCTTTGAAGAACCTTTAATATGCTGATGTACATTGCAAATCTTCAGTGTTTTTCAACTTTACCCCGTCACGGATCCATTTTGTTATGGAGCACTGCTCTCTGGACTGGTGTCCTGAAGAGGCAGCTTATGGGATGTGCTACTGTAGGCGAGGTGGAGCAGTTCATACGTTGAACAGAAGGAGTAGTGGTGGTCCTTCTAACCAGGGTGCACAGGCAACTTTTCTTACTATCTGTGGCCACTTCTGTCCCTTTAGAAAAGATAAAGCCAATTTACATTTGTCACTTGGAGAATTGGAGGGCTATGCCTTAGTCAGATCCATGTCCCCTGCAAACTCTTACTTCAAAGGAAAGGAAAAACCTCAGAATTCTGCCTTGGGTTTCCTCCAAAGAGCCAAGTCCCCCAGGTTACCCAGAAGCATAGACTCACTGCAGTGAGCAAAGACTCAGGCTCATATTTTCTCTCTACCTTCTCCCAGTCCCAGCCTTGTATCTACGTTAGAATTGAGATCTCTTTATATTTGGGGATCTTTTGCTCCAAGTGCTTTGATTTTTACCTAGGACAAAAGGTTTATACCTTTAGCAGCTTGTGGGGCAGTGGGGTTTTCAATAAATTAATTTCAGATCCAAATTATGCATGATGTTGCATTATGTAAATGTGACTTAGGCCAGGAAAAAGGTTTGGATCACTATTAGCTGCAGACACCGAGGTGTTGACGGTGGTTGGAACAGTCTTGCTTTGTCTGAGTAGGAATGCAGCCTCCAAAAGCTGACTGTTGATAGGGAAGACTTCAGTGTATTGTCCTTTTGTTAAGGAAAATATGTGGATGTGCTTGGCAAATTGGTCCCTATCTGACTCGCAGACACAGGGTTGATTGGCTCAAACACTAGCTGCTGACGCTAGGTTACCAAAAACTGCAACTTATTGTGCACACTGTCATTACTTTAACCAGGTCTTGGTGAAGCTGGTAAGCCAAACTGACTGTCTTCAACTTTGTCATCCTATCTGATTCTTAGAGCTGATTTTTAGATGATTCCTTCTGTTGATGTTCCTGAGGAAAGCATTCTTTTTACCATGAGATGTAGTCCAAAGATGGCTTGGTCTGAGATTGCTTTGAAGGTTAATTTGGAAAAGCCTCGATGAGCTTATAACATTCAAGAAGAACGTTCTGCTGATCATGCTTATTTTCTTTGATCCTTGTTCTCAGTTTGCTACATATTTCAAACTAAGTTTTAGAATTCCTGAATGTCCACACCACCCAAGGTAATAACTAACATTTATAGTGCATTTTAAAAGTACCAAGCATTGTGCTAGCCTTTATATTCATTACAAATTTACATTCATCACAAATTTAATTCCCTCAATAATTCCATGAAGCTGTCTTGACTTTATTAATGAGGAATAAAGTGATTGAGGAACATGTTCGAGTTTGCACAGCCAATGGAGCTCTGGGGCTGGGATTTGACCCAGAGCCTATGCTGTTAACTCAACAGTCCCTCTCTCAGGATGCACCTGAGCATGGCCTTGTTCTCAGCAATGAGATGTGTCTGCCAGGCAGGAGCTGGACCTAGAACCCTAGGACTAGGCAGAAGGGGTAGAGAGTCATGCCCACCTATAGGATGGCAGCAGGCAGAACTCAGGAAGTGCAGGGTATGGCCAAGGAGCCAGCAGCATAGGGAAGTACAATTAGAAGTAATAGAAGCAGAACAAAATGATGGAAACATTAAGAGTCTATGTTACCCAGAGCTCTGAAAAGGCTGGCAGCATCGGCCAGGCACGGTGGCTCACGCCTGTAATCCCAGAACTTTGGGAGGCCGAGGTGGGTGGATCACGAGGTCAGGAGATCGAGACCACGGTGAAACCCCGTCTCTACTAAAAATACAAAAAATTAGCCAGGCTTGGTGGTGGGTGCCTGTAGTCCCAGCTACTCAGGAGGCTGAGGCAGGAGAATGGCGTGAACCCAGGAGGTGGAGCTTGCAGTGAGCTGAGATGACACCACTGCACTTCAGCCTGGGTGACAGAGCAAGACTCTGTCTCACAAAAAAAAAAAAAAAAAGGCTGGGAGCATCAAGGGAGTCTGTCAAGGTTACAGCTGGGTGGCTGGGGTTCAGAGTAGGACCCCATGCATGAACTTGAACTAAGGGGCCAAGTAGTTCACCTTGATGGAGTCTGGCCGAAGGAAGACATCTGCAGCCAATAACCAGAACTAGAGTTCAAGGAGAGACTCCACACTGAAGGCAAAAGTTGAGCTAAAAGGAAAGGGTTAGAATCAGAGTCAAAGCAACATTCATGTTGGGGAGTCCTGGCCTGCAAGGCAGAAATCCCAACATCCCCTCTGCCCAAGAGATAATTAACTTCTTGTGCTGATTTAGGACAAGCCCTTCAGGCAGACTACTAGCAGCCTGTGCCTGACGTTCAGCCTGTCCTAGAGCCAAAGATAAAACGCAGGCCTGCATATTTAAGAAAAGCCAAGGATCTGAGTATTGTCTGACAGTCTGTTTGTAGAGAGAGTAAGACAGCAAACTTGGGTTTTGCAATACCACTTTGCTGCTCAAATAAAATACAGTCCACTGCCACAGTTTACAGGTTGTAATATTTGTTAAAAGAATTTGAATTCTGCAAAAGCACCTGAAAGCTGCCCAATATGCTTTCCATTGCTGTGTGAAGCCTGAAGAGTGCACATGGCAGTTGTGAATTTCAAGGGTTGTTCAGGGAGAGAAAATCGTTACTTGTCCATTTGCCAAATAATTGGGAATTTAGCTAAGTCAAAGTAGCGGGTGGGGGTGGGGTGGGGCTGAGGATTCCTCCTCCCCTCCCCATTGGCCCAAATGGAGTGAGGGGTGGGCGACATAGCTTGATTTGAGGCGACTTGTCAGTATCCTGCTGTGCATTCTGAACCTGGCCCACGTCAGCCGAAGTGATGTCTTATCCAGACACACACTATGGGAAATGTGAACTGGATTGAAATCAGAGCAGGGATGACTATGGGGACATTCAGAGCCTTCTGAAGGTATTTTTAGAATGCTTTTAACCTGAAAAAGGGAAAGTGCCACCTTTCTGGAGACCGTAGAGCTGAGAATGACTCACAGCGAAACCAGGCTATACCTAATTTGGGGGAAGCCCCCTTTGGCTGCTTCCTTGGGTCCAGGTGGGAGTGCCTGTTCTTAAGCTCTGGGAATGTGACATACCGGGGTAGGTGTCATTACAGCCCCTCACACTCTGAGTCTGAAACTAGGACACTCACAGTGTCAGGGAAGGAAATAATTATTCCCTATATTTCTGAGTATGGTTTACAAAACACATGGATAGATTTTCTATCACTGATGGTATTGGATACACTGGGCAGGCCTGCTGTCTTCCACTTTTCTGATAAGGATCTTGACGTTCACCATGTGCCACGCCCACACAGCTCTAGAGTAGACTCTCAGCCCATATACTCACCTGTAAGCCAAAAAAGGTACACGTGGTCAAAATTACCCCGCAAAATGCTGCAAGTCATCCCCACGAGGCGGTGCCCAGACACTTTGCCCCCGAAGAGCTGGAAGAGATTAGTTCCTTCAGTGGACTACCAGCCAAATTCAGGTGACTTACATTTAGAGGTCAAGTTTCTTAATACTCAGCCTGCTGAGATGCATGCACGCGGGACACCTGCAGAAGCTGAGGGATCAGCAGGTTCGAGTCTCCCCTTCCACGCTCACTGCAGGTATTTGCTTTCTGAGTGATGTGGCAGGTGACCATTTCAGTTGTTGACTTTCTCTTTCTTCTTTGTGAGAAATGCACATAGTTGAATTTGCTCAATTTAAATTTGTGTGTGCTGTGGTTTTCCTGGAAGTTACAGAGCAAGCATTTGAGCCAAGGCCCCCTGACTTCAAACCTGGGGCTCTTTGTACCATAATCACATGACCTCTCTGGGTCCAGTGTTGCCTGGTCAAGGAAACATTCATCTACTAACCTTTCAGCCATAATAACAAAACTAATAATGATGAGGATGTCAACAGCAAGTATTGAGATCTCATTTTGTGCTAAGTGTTGCACAAGCTTTATTCTATTTGCTTTTCAAACAACACCTTGAGACAGGTGCTCTGATCATCCTCATTTCATAGGTGGGAAACTAAGGCAGAATGATTGAATAGGGTTGCTCAGCTTGTAAGAGGCAGGGGCAGGATTTGAAGTCAGATCTAGCATCTCCAAAGCCTTCACCAGTTTGCTCTTCTGCCTCTTTCTCTATCTTTTCCTGACCACTGAGGGATGTGCCCACTTACTCGATGAGGAAGGCAGGCCTTTCAGAGGCTAAAAGGAGCCGACCCTAGTACTTTACAGGGCTGGGCTCTCTGGCTTGCTCTCATCACAAGCCTGGGAAGTTAGTAGCAAATGGCCAAGTCATCTCACTAAATAAAGTTTCCAAGAAAGATGACATTGATGCCAAGTGAACAGGCAGCCAGCATGTCTTCTCCCAGGGCTGACAAAGTACTCAAATTCTTTCTTGTGTACTCTCAAGGAAGCTCATTTTGGTCCCTTACAGGAGGGCTGTCCCAGCATTGGTTTTTCTCCCTGCCAAAGCTGTTATTCCAGGCTGGCTTTTAAAGTGAGTGAGCTCTTTGGAGTATTCTGCTTTCAGTGTGATAGGCCATTAGAACCCAGTCGCAGTGGTACTATGGATGGAGCTCAGGGAAGTCTCAGAAATGAGGGCAGGAGGTTTGATCCCTATAAAAGGGGAAGCAGGACCACTCAGGGTAGAGGGAAATACACTCCCAGGCGGCAATGGGCTGCAAATGATGCATTTAATGAAAGGGCCACCTGCTGTGCTGAGAGAGAGATGGTCAAGGCAAGGCAAGGAATCACTTGCTCAGTGGGAAGCAGGGGGTGGTCACTGCTTCTGTTTCAAACGTCGATCCTGGTGTCCCTTTCACTTCTCTTCTGTGTTCCAGCCCTGATTCCTGAACTGCCACCTGGGTCCCAAGTCCCAAATTGTATTTTTAGAGTTTTTTTTTCCTCACTACTAGATCCTTCTTATCTGGAAGTCCAGCTGTAGGGAGCTTAGGACCCTCTTTCTTAGGGTCAGAAAAGGTTTGAGTTTTGATCTTTCCAAATTACTGGAGAATTAATTTCAGCAGATGTTTCCAGCATCTCCCGCATGAAATCAGATTGCTGATTCCCAAGCTACGTGTAAGGGTGGGTTTTTAAGAATGGCAGGTAATTTACAGGGTGATGGCTGGATCCTGCTCCATATCCCCAGATCCTTTGGAGACCAGTAGATAAGACCTCTCTTATGCAGATGTGAACTCTTGTTCAAGTTCTTGTTCAAGGTCACAATGCATTAGTATTAAAACACAGCAGGAGGTAGTTTACCTGACTCTTAAGTCAGCCTTTCACCTCCTTCATCCTGGTGCCTCCATAAGGCAAAGAGGGGCCAGGGCGATTAAAACAGACATTACTGCTCCATTACTCCATTCAAAGTTTGTACATCCCTATGTGAGGTAAGGGTGTGTGTGTGTGTGTGTGTGTGTGTGTATGTGAGTGAAATAGAATGGGATGGGAAATTGTTCCTCGATCCCAGTCTGGGACAGAGACCATTTTTTCTTCCTTAGTTAGACCTTTGTTTAGGCCCAAGTGTTCTGCATGTCTCAGAGAACCTGCACAGCCTCACAGCTTTATCCTTATCTTATTTTGTATTTAACCTCATTAGCCATTTGTGGTCCTGGCCTAGACCAGATCATGGCAAGCACACAAGGCATCTGTGATGTTTTTCTCTGCCGTGAAGTGCCTGGTATAGTAATTAACTTAGAGATCTGGACTACAACAGGATATTAGGGGTTGGAGCGGGGAGCAGATTCAGAAAAACTCTTGCTAATTTGCAGAGGTCTTCATAAAACAGAAACTAATTATTTGTTGATTTGTTGCTCATATAAGGCATATTTATAATATCCAATTGCCCATCAAAATGTAATGGTGTGAAGAGCCTGGTTTTGGCATCTAACTTCCAGGGTTGAAATCCCACACACTGGCCACGTGATGGTGGGCAAGTTATTTTATCTTCCAGAACCTCGATGTCTTCATCTGTAAAACAGGAATGATCAAATGAGAATTAAAGGAGATACGCAGTGATAGTACTTGGCATAGTTCCTGGCATAGAGGGAAGTCAACAAAAGTAGAGGGTCTCATCTAGCCTGCTGCAGCCATCTCATGCCATCACATCCACTGTGGCTAGAGCTTAGATTCTGCTGAAGTAAGGACCAGCTAACATTGACCATCTCACCTGACTCGGGAGAGAAGAATCTGTTGGAATTTGATCACAAGTGTGTGCTGTCAGATCGTCCTAGTTCGGGACACTTTTGTGTAACCAGATTTTAAAAACCATTTTACGTTATTCATGCCCTTGATCTTTCAAGCTGTGGAACATCAATTTCCTCCTCTTCACTTTCACCACTGTTCACAAAAGTAGGTAAACGGTGGCCCCTTTTCCCCTCCCAGTTTCTTTGATTCTGTGGACTTGTGCTGATAGCCACTAGAGGGTGTACCAGGGGTCTCTGGAGTCTGGGTCTCTTACAGATGGATTTGAAAAGTCAAAAGTCAATCATTGCAGAGCCCTCAGAGGTGAAGAGCCAGACTGCAGTGCAGATGCAGGAACAGAATTTTAGAGCTGGAATTAATCAAGGAGAATTACCACAAGTTGAAAAAAAAAAAAAAGCCCATGTTGTATTCTCTCATAAGTTTAGGCTGTATCTTTTTTTCTAACAAGACCATTTACAATAATTTTACCGCCAAACAATCATTGACTACAAAATGCCTTTCTATAAGCAATCAAATAAAATCTGTTAGCGTCATTTCCTCTTAATTTGTCATGCAATTAGTGTGTGATTAGAATTTCCCAGGCTGTGTTTCTTCTGTTTTAGGAGATCGGACTAGCTTGTGGCCATGGAATTTAGAGTTAAGGAGATCTGGCTTTCAAATCTCAGTTTCCTCCACTTAATAGCTCTGTAGCTTTTGGCGGGTCATGCAGGCTTTCTGTCTCTGTTTTCTCCTCTATAAAATGGGAATAACGATACTGCTTTAAAGGACTTCTGTGAATAGTAGATGTACACTGAGCACAGCGTCTGGGATAAGGTTTTCCAATAAATGGCAGGTATTGTGATTTTTTTTTTTTTAAGTAACACTGTTAGTCACAAACATCACCGATTTGTCTTGGAGAGCAGTTTATGACTTCTAGGATATAATTAAATGTGTCAGCTCCACTACTGTTTAAATTTTATCCACTCCGTTTCCTTGTTAAACATTTATTACATTATTTAAGGAATATACATTTTATACTGAGCACCAATGCCAAATCACAATTAGTAACAATTTTTATACAACACATAACCGAGGTCAGGGATTGTTTATGCGAGATGACGACAGCCACAGAACAACGTGCAAAGAAAATATTATGCCTGCTTGGCCATTCCTAACATTTCAAGTCAAGGTGTTGCATTTAATTACTCTCTAGAAGGTTTAATCTCAGACTTATTAAGAGCATGATTTTGTGAAGGCAAACAAACACCTCTGCTAGCAGCACCAAACATGTTTATTCCAAATAGTTAATTAAATTGTGTCAGTTCCTGCCCTGGAGCTTTCAGGCTATTCTGTTTTTTCTGCCCGTGTGGACGTTTTGTCATCATCATTCATTTTTATTTCCTCTTCGGCCTTTTAAAAAGAGCTCTGAGCAGCAGCCCAAGCATGTGTATAGTTGGAGCATTTTGCAAAGTTAAATTGGTTAAATACGGGCCCGGCATTGGCTGCTGGGACCATCTACATTTTTCAAAATCCACTGAGGTTTTTCAGTGGCATCAAAACAAACGTGAACAATTCTGACCCTGAACATAAGCAGCAATAGTGACTGAGGCCTGGATTACTCTGGAAGGACTTGGAGCTGCATGGAAGGAGGACCTGAGATTGGAACCTGGTACGTGGAGATATGATGGCTGACTTCCAAAGCTGGCTAACCCACACCTCATCTTCTTTCCCTGACCTGCAAAAACAGACAGGAACGAATCTTCTTGGAATCTTTCTCTAAGAAAAAAAGGGGGCTTCCTTTTTGGCTTCAGGCGTACAGGGCACCAGCCAAGGAGGGGGCAGAGAGAAGACGGAGGAAAAGGGAAAGGCACACAGCTCTGTTTTCATGGCAGTAGGTGGGGTACTGAGAGAGTCAACATCAGGAGGGTTTTACTTCTTAGACATCTAAGGCCCAGGGATACTTGACAGCTGGCGCAGGTTGCACCAGACACCCTCTACTGAAAAGCAGGAGGCCCCTGGTATCTCTATACTCTCATCCTGGCCCTCTTCAGCTGGATTAGAGAGAAAGGGGCAGAGGGCCAAGAACTCTCAGATCAGTCCATAGAAAGATAAATACTTGCAAGTCAATACTAAGGATAAAACCACCTAACCTCGTGGATAGTGCTGTAATGTACAAAGCACCATCAAATATTGATTTATGGCCAGGCGTGGTGGCTCATGACTGTAATCCCAGCACTTTGGGGGTTGCAGATGGGCAGATCATGAGGTCAGGAGATTGAGACCATCCTGGCTAACACGATCAAACCCTGTCTGTAGTAAAAATTAGCCAAGCATGGTGGCACGTGCCCATAGTCACAGCTGCTCAGGAGGCTGAGGCAGGAGAATCGCTTGAACCCGGGAGGTGGAGGTTGCAGTGAGCTGATATCGTGCCATTGCACTCCAGCCTGGGCAAGAGAGTGAGACTCCATCTCCAAAAATTTTTAAAAATATTTTAAAAGATGGATTTATGTGTTTGTCAAAGTCCTGCTATGTGCCAGACCCTCTGACATTTTTTTCTGATGTGTGGCTGGAACAAATTTGGTGAAAGGTGTATCTACCCAAAGATGTATCTAGCCTCAGAAATAGCCCTGTGCTGGACCCACTGTGGGGGCTGCATAGGAGTATCAGATATGGTTGCATCTTCAAGGAGCTATCAATCCAGTATGACAGACAATAACAATTGACATTTAGCAAGCACTTACTATGAGCCAGACACTAGGCTAAGTAGTTTTCTTGTATTAACTGCAGACCACACTGTGAGATAGGCACAATCACTATCTCCATGCTACAGATGAGGAAACTTAAGGCACATAGAAGCTAAGCAACTTGTCCAAGTTCACACAGCTAGTAAGTGGCAGCTCCAGCATTCTGCTGCATAAAAAGATAATGGGTTGGTACCCTGCATTTAAAAATGTACTTGTAAATATCAGCTAGGCAAATATATGTGCAAGGTGAGGCCTAAAAGCCCTCAGGATTATATTGGTTTGAAGGAAGAAGGGGGGCTCTGTGAGCTGGGTGTTTGGCACAGGTGTCAACTGGGGGTGTGACTTGGGTTTGGAAGAGCTTAGAGAAGCAGGGAGAGCATCCTGGTGGGTGAGAGGTGTGCAGGTAGCAGTGGAGGCAGGAGGAGCCGGGTGATCTGAGCAGGTGGATAACAGAGAAGGGGGTGTGGAGGTCAGAAGGGATGGCTAGAGCCAGCTGGCTTGTGAAGGGCCTTGAACTTCAAGCCATTGTCATCAAACCAGAACCAGGGGAAATGAAGTGATGAAAGCCCTGCAGCTGATGGAATCCCGGGAGGCATCAGGCTCCGTCAGGGCAGTAGATTCCCTCGTTTGAAAGAGAAAACCGCCATTGGTTAGCAGGAACATGGGCCAAACACTGCGTCATGTATTATTTTGCAACATCACCAGCCTGTGCTTAAGAGGGAATACGTTTTGCGGTTAAGAACAAATACCTTGCAGCCTGGCTGCCTGGGTTTGAATTCTTGTTTTGCCACTTATTAATTGCATATCCTTAGAGAAGTGACTCAACCTATCCGTGCCTCAGTTTCTTCTCAGTACTGTAAAATGGAGAGATATTCGTAATACATTCCTCATGAGGTTCTTGTAAGAATCAAAAGTGCCTCACATGTGATAGGATCTCAGTATGTGTTAGCTATTATTTTTTTTGAGACAGAGTATTGCTCTGTTGCCCAGGCTGGAGTGGAGTGGTGCGATCTCGGCTCACTGCAGCCTCCACCTCCTGGGTTTAAGTGATTCTCCTGCCTCAACCTCCAGAGTAGCTGGGACTACAGGTTGTGTGTGCCACCACACCTGGCTAATTTTTGTATTTTTAGTAGAGATGGGGTTTCACCATGTTGGCCAGGCTGGCCTCGAGCTCCTGACCTCAGGCAATCTGTCCGCCTTGGCCTCCCAAAGTGCTGGGTTTATGGGTGTGAGCCACTGTGCCTGGCCAGTGTGTGTTAGCTGTTATTGTTGTTGTTGATATGTTATCATCTTCAGCTTTGAGACTTGAGCATTATTCCAGAGCCCAGAAGCTGGCAGGAATAGGTTATTACTCTGCATGTATGAGTATGCAGTTTTATCCATACAGAGCATCCCTCTCTGTTTCTTAGCCATCTGAGGTCATTAGCTCTGTTAACGGGTGACAAGGAGCCCAATGTATGTGGCTGGGCCCCTTAGCTATAAAGAAGTTAATTGTAGCTGATTTACTAGAAGGCTAATAACATAGGTGTGCTTCCTTTTACATGGAGAGCCTCATTAAGTGGAGGTCTGTGGGCTTTGCCTGCAGCTTTGGGCATCTCTAGCATCTGCACATGTATACCTTAGAAGCAACATTGACCTGGGAAGAAACTGACACGCCCTGCAATGTCTCTACCGGAAAGGCCCCTGTCCTCAGCAGACCTAGTGGGCATCGAGCAATAATAAATTGTGTTTCCTCTGTAGTCCAGGAGACAGGAAGCTCCAAATTGGACTCTAATTAACTCTGAAGAAACAATGGGTTTCTCCAGAGCCCGGCAATTCTGGTCAGGTCTAAGGAGGTGTCACGCAGCCTTGGAAAATAATTACAACCATAATGACGATGCCTCCAAAGTCGGGCTTCTGATGATGCACCTTGAACAAATGTGTGTTTCTCCTTCCTCACAAGGTTCGCTGCCCTTAATTGCTACCCTCCTTCATTAAGGGGCAATTAATTTTGTGCCTTGGTTTAAAACGGCGGTAATTATAAGGTGAAGACAAAAAGCCCATGGTTAAACATAATCAGGCTGGATGTAAAAGGTGCTCCCTGGCAGATTAAGGAAGGTGGGAGGGAAGGAGCATGCATCGTCCCAGGCAGGCAACATTTTCCGTCTTGCTACTTCTTTTCTCAATTCGTAACTGCTGTTGCAGGGTAGGGCTTAGGACAAAGCCCGTCTTTTTCTGCCCAGGTTGCAGGACTTTGCGTCTTGCGGGTCTTGGGTTTTGAGGTCTTGGCCATTGGGCATTCTCCTGCCATAGAAGTCAGCCCGAAGGCCTGGACTGAGCTCAGTGGCCCAGGGCCTTGGGTGGTGGACATGGCTTCCCAAAGAGACCAGACCCTTCCTGAGGATTCACATGTTAGGGGCACTTTTTATTTCAGTGTCATTCTAAACACACCTTCCATCATTCACTTACTTGTCAAACATTTATTGAGAGCATCTAGACGCTGTGCTAGATACTTGGGATGAAATGGTGAGGATGACAAGCATGTTCCATGCCTTTAAGAGTTTATACTCAGGTGGGAGAGCCGGATGTTAATGAAGCAATAACCCAAATAAATAATTAGAAGCAGTGAAACATTTGCAAAAGGAAAAGTACAGAGACTATGGGAACGTAAAGCAGGGGCCATGACAGTAATGAGGAAAGATGGCCCCGACAAAGGGACTTGGGGGCCGAGATCGGGAGTGGAACTCAGCAAGGTAAACATGGGAGGGAAGGAGCATTCTGCTCCTAGGGAAGAACATGTACAAGGACCCCAAGACAGGAACGAGTGTGACCTTCAAAGAATGGAAAATAAAGGGCACAGAGCTGGGCGAGGTGAGTGTCACAAGACAATGGGAAGAAGCAGAGATACCATAATGGCCCTCATTTTTCCCATCCATAAAATAAAAATGGTATTCCCTTGTCTCATCTACACCATGGAGATTCTACTATGCACCTTGCTTTTCTCTTACAGTGGAGAGTCAAAGCTGGAATCATAGTCCTTAACTCACACTACTTACTGTTGGCAGCTGAGAGAATAGGACATTCTACTTTGATATTTCTGTATTTTCTCTCCACTTTTTGCCATGGAGCCATGTGACTCTGCCCATTGTGAGTGCTCTCTCACTTTCTCTCTCCCTGATATATATTAATGCATGCATCACACACACATGTGCATACATACTGTTTTTGTTGTTTTTTTTCGTTTTCTGGCTCTGTCACCCAGGCTGGAGTGCAATGGCACGATCTCGGCTCACTGCAGTTCCACCTCCCAGGTTCAAGTGATTCTCGGGCCTCAGCCTCCTGAGTAGATGGGATTACAGGCATGCACCACAATGCCCGACTAATTTTTTGTATTTTTTAGTAGAGACGGGTTTTCGCCATGTTGGCTGGGCTGGTCTTGAACTCCTGACCTCAGGTCATCCACCCACCTCGGCCTCCCGAAGTGCTGGGATTACAGGTATGAGCCACTGCACCCGGCCAATGCATACATACTATTTATGCAAACAAAGTTGAAATCATACTGCAGCAATGTAGTGTGAGGGTTAGGGCATCGACTTTGGTGTCAGATTGAGTTTATATCCTAGCTGTACTAACCTTTAGCCACATAACTTGATGATGGTATTTAACCTCTTTAAGAATCAGTTTCTACATCTTCAAAAGGAAGGTGAGACTGTCTATCTATTGGTGGTGTTTGGATTAAATGACATTCCATGGAATGCCCTTAGCAAACTGTAAATCCAGAATAAATAGTAACAACAATTACATTGTTATTACTGAATGGCATGGTACAGTATCTGGCACCTAGTAGGTGCTCAGTTAATGATGATATACTTGCTAAATGTTTCATAATCTGCTTTTCAGCTGAAGATAGTATTAATAAGGTTTATTTGGGTTAAAGTGGCAGAGACACAACTTACATTAAAAATAGGGACTTACTGGCTATTAGGATCCACCCTCCTTTCCTATCTGCTTCCTTTTGCATCTCAGCATCATTCTCCCTGGGGCAGATGGGCTCCCTTCACATAGCAAGAAAGGTGGCCTCTGGCAGCTCCAAAGATATATTCTTTTATTACTGACCAACCTGGAAAGAAACATTCTCTTCCAGCTCCAATTTGAACAATCTCCATCACAGATTATTGACTCAGCTTGGAGTACATGCCTATCACGTGGACCAATTACTGTGGCCAAGACCTGAGTTGGAGCTATTGACAGTCTCCACCTCATGGTTGGAGTGAGGAGTAGGTGTGGGGGTAGGAGCAGGTTTTCCCATAGAGGGTGGCAAAGTTTAGCAGAGACATGAACATTAGTGAAATCCCCCAGTTAGGGCTTATGTCCAGAGTGTAGCACAGGCTCACCCTATGGGTTCTGTTGACCCAGCTTGGCCAGCCATGCAAGTGCCAGGGGTGGCGCACCATAGTTTGACTTGGAACCTAGTCATTCCAGGAGTCCCAGTTTATACTCTCAGTCTTAGAGCTAATGAACTGCTTTGCTATTTCACTGTGTCTCTGGGCTGAATCCAGTGGGCAGTGACCCAACACCTGAGTGATTTGTGGGCCTGAAGGAAGACGAGAGAAGCTGATTATGGAGTCAGCAATTACTCTGCCCAAGTCCCTGCTTGGCAGGGCCTTATCTTTATTTATAGCTGGCTGAGCTACCCAGAGCCCTGTTTTTACCCTTGAGTGACTAGTGCACTGCAGTTTTAGTTCATAAAACACTGTTTGTTTATAATCCTTAACGGATTCTGTTTTATTAAAAGAGAAGGCTCCATCCAGAGTATAAATAAAGTTAACTGGTTAAGTTTTAGCTTCTATTCACAGTGAATGTGCAATGGATGGGAAATCACCGTGGAATTATGCACCCTCATGACCTGACTTTATTTATTTATTTATTTATTTATTTATTTATTTATTTATTTTTATTTTTATTTTTATTTTTATTTTTTTTTTGAGTAGGAGTCTCGCTCTGCCGCCCAGGCTGGAGTGCACTGGTGCGATCTTGGCTCACTGCAAGCTCTGCCTCCCAGGTTCACGCTATTCTCCTGCCTCAGCCTCCCGAGTAGCTGGGATTACAGGCATGCGCTACCACGCCCAGCTAATTTTTGTATTTTTAGTAGAGATGGGTTTTCACCATGTAGGTCAGGATGGTCTCGATCTCCTGACCTTGTGATCCATCTGCCTCGGCCTCTCAAAGTGCTGGGATTACAGGCATGAGCCACCGCTCTGGGCTGAGATGTTAACTTTTTTTTTTTTCTTTTTTTGAGACAGAGTCTCACTCTGCCACCCAGGCTGGAGTGCAATGGCGCGATCTCGGCTTACTGCAAGCTCCGCCTCCCGGGTTCAAGCCATTACCCTGCCTCAGCCTCCAGAGTAGCTGGGACTACAGGCACCCGCCACCACGCCTGGCTAATTTTTTGTATTTTTAGTAGACACAGGGTTTCACCGTGTTAGCCAGGATGGTCTCGATCTCCTGAACTCGTGATCTGCCCACCTTGGCCTCCCAAAGTACTGGGATTACAGGCATGAGCCACCACACCCAGCCTGACCTGACTTTATCAAAAAACAAAAAAAAAAACAAAACAAACAACAAAAAAAAATCTTACAGTCTCTGAGGTCTCAGGCCTGGACAAAACCTTTTCAAAGATGGGGAGGTGGCAAGGAAAGAGGCAGAATTAAGATCCTAAAATCAGCTTTGTTGCAGTGGATTTGCTTTAAGTTTCCTTTTGTTTTTGTTTATTTGTGGGGTGATGTCGTAGTCAGTATGTCTTTGTGTATAGTTCCATGATTTGGGGGTCATGTCGGGGTAGACCTAATTCTATTTCTATTCTATTTTGAGGGAGAAAGGATCCCCAAAGCAAAGGGAATAGTGAAATCTTCTTGGAACAGGTAGCATCGAGCTGAGTCTTGAAGGATAGGTCAGATTCTGATCAATATGGGAGCAAAAAGAAAGGAAAAAACGTAAGTTGAGTTTATCGCATTGTGAAAAGGAATTGTTTTGGATATGACAAGAGGATTAGTTTGCATAGGGCATGAAGATGACAAGATGGAGATTGGATTCAAGGGTAGGGTTCTACTGTAGGGTGATGGCCAGATTTAAAGAGTTTTATATTTAATTTAGAAGGCAGTGAGGAACCACTGAGGTTTTGAATGGGAGAGGGGTATGGTTGGTCTAAACTTTGGCCTGCATTATTCTTTTTTGAGAGAGGGTCTCTCACTCTGTGACCCACATTGGAATGCGACGGCGTGATCATGGCTCACTGCAGCCTAGACCTTCTGGACTCAAGAGATTCTCCCCTCAGCCTCCTGAGAGGTTGGGGCTACAGGCACACAGCCATGCCCAGCTACTTTTTTCTCTCTTTGTAGACACAGGGTCTCACTATGTAGTCCAGGCTGGTCTCAGACTCCTGGCCTCAAGTGATCCTCTGCCTCAGGCTCCCAAAGTTTAAGGATTACAGGTGGATGTGAGCCACCGTGCCTGACCGCCTGCGTCTTTTTTTTTTTTTTTTTTTTTTTTTTTTTGAGTTAGAGTTTCACTCTTGTTGCCCAGGCCAGAGTGCAATGGCGCAATCTCTGCTCACTGCAACCTCCGCCTCCCAGGTACAAGCAATTCTGCTGTCTCAGCCTCCGAGTAGCTGGGACTACAGGCACACACCACCATGCCTGGCTTTTTTTTTTTTTTTTTTTTTTTTTTGCATTTTTAGTAGAGGCGGGGTTTTACCATGTTGGCCAGGCTGGTCTCGAAATCCTGACCTCGTGATCTGCCCACTTTGGTCTCCCAAAGTGCTGGGATTACAGGCGTGAGCCACCGCACCTGGCCCCGGAGCTCTTTGTGAGCACACCTTCGCCCCATCTCCAGCTGCCTGTGCCACTTGCCCACCGTCAGGACTTTATTTTAGTATTCCCTGGACTCTTGCTCCCCAGTCAGCCTTGGTTCTAGGGCCCTGCAGAGATTCCTCCACCAGGAAGAAGGACCCATTTCTGGCTGTGATGAAGGCCTTGGAGAGGTGGCAGCAGGCCAGCCCGCCCCTCCCTACTGAGGCATGTTAGCTGCACTTACAGTGTCTGAGCTGCGGTTAATATATCAATATTTGCTCGCGAGGGTATCTGGCACAGAACAGGTTCCTGGGATGCTGGCAGATAGATTGCTTTCTCTTGTAGCATTCTTCAGCGGCATTCTGTTTTGGCAGGGATGGAAGGGGTTACTAGCTGCTGGCAAGAGTGGAAAAGGAGTCCCCATTCTTCCCAGAAGTGCCTCAGTCTCACAATTTGGCCCTGTATGATATTGTCAGCACCTCGTGTTCCCTCCATCACTAACTATTTCCTGGTGTATTTTGCTCATTGCAGTTTTTCTGGAATTCTGTTCCTTATACCCATGTTTTGTTTTGATTGCTCAACTAGGAGCCCCTGGGGGGGTGGGCTAGTGCTGGAAGGAGTAGAGCTTAGTAGCTGAGTGTGGGGCTGGGATCAGATGGCCTGGGATGAATCCTGCTGTTGCTGGCTAGCTGTGTAACCCAGGCATGCTCCCTGACCTCTTGATATTTCAGAGGTCTGAGAAACTAGGATGATGATGATGCTGGAAGAGCTGTAAGGATTAGATAACATCACACATAAAAAGTAGTTTGCAAAAACTTGATGCGTAGTAAATTCTCAATAAATATTCCATTTTGTTAATCACCATTCTTCTCATTCAATAAATAGTGCTTCTTGGATCCTTTGGCCTACCCTAAGTTTCTTGAGGACAAGGACCAAACCTTGTATTTTTCTGTAGTTCTGTTTCTAAGAGCACAGTGCTAGGTACACAAGAAAGTCTTCCTTCAACTTTAGGGCTTTGAGAAAACAATCTTACCCCCAAGGCTGGTGCTCATGGCACTGGGCAGTAGTACCCAGGGAGAAATCACCAGTGACAGAGGACTTGTCTCCAGTCTTGAGACATGCTGGTGAAAAGTGAGGGAAGGAACTGTGATCTCTTCAGGAAGCTGAGAAAAGAGGGTCTGGGCCTGGAGAAGGTCTCCAAGAAAGGCTGGAGCAGTGGGGCTGGATGTGGACATCAGTTGTCCACTGCCATCAGTCATGAGCAACCTCTTAGGATAGTCCTGGAGCTTTCAAGTGATCACTTTAAGACTTCGAACAATTTCCCCATGATAATATCACTTAGGGCATTTTCATTGCGAAGCACTTGCTTGACTCGCAAGTCAGAGATTGTGGGATACCCAGAATGTGTTGCTGGATATGCCATGCAAGTGTGCCATGCGTGGGGGCATGAGATAGCACGAGTGGAACCACAGAGGGGAGAACACGCAAGGCTCGCAGTGCCATCGGACAAGCTCTATCCCAGACGTCAGGACAGAGCAGTTGCAACGTGGGAACTTAACATGTGCCAGGCTCTGACATAAGCATTTTCTGGACATTATCTCATTTAATCTTCCCAGCAGTTCTATAAGGCAGTTGTCTTAGATCACTTTCCCAGAGGCAGAACCTGAACCAGGGATTCTTGTGCAAGGGATTTGTGTAGGAAGTGCTCTAGGGGGGAAGGGGTTAAAGAAATGGGGGCAGCAGGAGAAGACAGGGGAGGAAGCCAGGCAGATATGTGGCTGCAGGAAAAGTCTAGCCTTAGCCTGACACCACAGGAGGACCCATGCGAATGGCACCACAGATCTGTTCTCACTTGAGGCAAGGGGGCAGGGCTTCCGCTCTTTTCCGTCCACCAGTCATTGGCTGTAGGTCACATCGCCCAGGACAGGGTGGGGTATAAGTCCCATGCGTTTACGGGAGAGCTCCCATATTGCAAGGGCTATATTGAGCTGTTAGCAGCCAAACTTCACAGCAGCCAGGGTCAAATGCACCAACACAGAAAAGGGGAATTGGGTGGTGTACCAACAGCATCTGCTGCTATTGCCCCATTTTCCAGATGAGAAAACTGAGGCCTAGAGTGTTTATGTAATTGGCCCACAGATGTGCTGAGCCAGGATCCAAACCCAGGCATCTATCTTGATAGTTTTTGGTTTTGCATGACTCCCTTCTCTGTTAAATCACATGTCCCACTCAGGGGCCAGGTGAGATCTAGTAAATGAGAGAGAGGTGAGACAAGGGCCCAGGAGTCCTGGAGATGAGGAAAAGGTCATAAAAGGAGCCCACAGGTCAAGACCAGACTCTAGGCTGCTGTGGTGTGACCAACTCATCTTGCTTTGTGAGGGACTGCGTGTTTGGCTCTGAAAGTCTCACATCGTGGGAACCCCATCAGTCCTTGGCAAATGGGGATAGTTGGTCACCCTAGGTTTCTGGGTGGGAGCAAGGCAAGGATGTGAGGGTCTCTGTGGCGCTATGTGGCACCGTATGAGGCAGTTTAAAGGTAATCACAGTTGTCATTCCCCAGGGCACCAAAGTCAGAGCCACCTAAGCAAGTGGCCATTTGGGGGATGTGGATGAAGGGACGTAAGCCAGGAAAAACCCCTGTCAGGAGGGTATCCTGGCCAGGAGCTGAGCAGAGAAGGTGGTCTAAGATCCAGGGTGGGCTAATGAGAGGAGAGATTTGCATTGATAGGAGAAGACGAGGGGAATAAGTTACCAGCCCCCTGAGGCCTCCTCAGGGATCTTGCCGGAAATAGATACCCTTCCCCTGCTTCCCGCTGTGAAGCAAACTGTTTCTCTCTCTCTCTCTCTCTCTGTGTGTGTGTGTGTGTGTGTGTGTGTGTGTATGTAGATAGAAAGAGAAGAGGGGGAGATTAATTGAGAGAGAGAAGGGGAGAATGAACATTGGAATCCAATGAGGAAATGTCCTTGTAAGTTCCTATCCCATCCGTAGAGTTGGGCGAGGTAAAGTAGGTTCCTGTGCTTTTGAAAGGCCTGATGGTCTGAATCTAAGGAGTCTTCCACAGAAGACCTGTCATGAGAAGCTGTCGGGAAGTCCAGATTTAAGAAGCTCATGCATAATCATGCTCGCCCCTTGGTGAAGCTTTCTGGGTAAGAGACAAAGAAACTGGCCAGGTGTGGTGGCTCACTCCTGTAATCCTAACATTTTGGGGGACCAAGGCAGGAGGATCACTTGAGTCCAGGAATTCAAGGCCAGCCTGGGCAAAATAGGGAGACCCCATCTCTATTTTTAAAAATTAACATATAAAAGAAACACATAGGGTGGCTAGGATCTAAAGTCCAGAGGCCTAAAAGCAGAAGTGGGTCCCAGATCCCCAGTCTTGCTCCTTGCGTTATAATGGTTCAACTCATACACACTCCCCACCCCCAAACACACACAACCTCCTCCTAGCCAGAAGAATACCCTGGCCCATTCTCCAATGGGAAAGCAAATCCAGGCCCATAATGAGGCATTGAGGCATTGGGCTTGTTTTTAGGCGTTGAAAGATGGGGCCAGAGGTCACCAAGTTTAACATCCATGATGGTCAGGTTAGCAGTTTCCACCATAGCCTTGTTGACATGTGATCCAGACTGACCCACGACGGGACTATTGTTTCCTGCCATTTCTGGAGCAAGGTTGGTCAAGGGACCGTTCACAGTCATAGGAGCGGTAACAGCAAAGTTCTGGCCACCACCTCCACCCTGTCCAGAATAGAGGAGCTGCTGTGCTTAGTGGCAGGAGTCCTTTGTGAGGGAGTGGCTGGGGCTCAGCTGTGTGGGTCTGTGGGAGATGTTGGGAAACACCTGCCCTTTAATGGGCAGGGTAGCAGGCACTTCAAAAAGGCAATGCCCTGACTCCCTTTTATTTGAGTCTTTAGAATCACCACTGCTGTTTCAGTCTCGTAGTTCATGCTACTTTTTCTTAAGTTTCCCATGTTGACGGAAACTACCCACGATTTCTGAGGCCTGATCTGGAGAGGCGATTGTCCCCCTCCCCTCAAGCTGGCTTCTGACTGTGATGTCCAGTCTAGCTCCTATTTGGTAGGAAAAGAGAGAAACAACTTTATTTCTAGTTCTCCCCTTCTGGTTTTCTGACCTATTTCCTTATGTTCAAGAGACTGTCCCAGGAGGGAGCAGGGTTGGAAAAGAAAGGAGTTTGTGTATCCGTGTCCGTGATATAGAGAAGTGATCTGTAATGTGAGGGGTGGTAGAGACAGGACGAGATGGTGACACTTTCTTCTGTGTACCAAGGCTGTGGCCTAAAGTTTCTTCTCAGGTTCCTTGGGGCAAAGTGATTCTATCCTACTTAGAAAAACCTTCCTGGCCTGCCATTGGTGGTGAAGGGGTTGTGGGGAGAAGGATCTTAGAAGGACAAGGCTGGAAGCAAGTTTAGAGCTCATGGAGATTGCCTAGTTCT
Source organism: Homo sapiens (assembly GCF_000001405.40). Lineage (NCBI taxonomy): Eukaryota > Metazoa > Chordata > Mammalia > Primates > Hominidae > Homo > Homo sapiens. Next base: position 169,135,733 of record NC_000005.10, on the reverse strand, counting down.
GTCATTTTCCAGCTTCCAGTATTTTGCGACTTCCTGATGTTTTTTGTGTGCATCCCACAGAAAGAGATATGTATAATTTATATCATGACTCAGGAAACAGAAGCATATATAAATATTGGAAGAAGAGTGTCATGAAACAATACTTGTCCTCACTACCACTGATAAAAGGCATGACTGATGGTGAGGGTAAGTATTGTTTCTGTGTTCCTGCTAGTTTCTGTGCTATTTCATGTTTTGAAAGTATTTGTGCTAACAGCTGCTAAATTGGTCTTATGAACCCAGGAAAAGAGAACAACTCATGGATTAAAAAAAAACACTGATCTGCCGGGTGTGGTGGCTCACGTATGTAATCCCAGCACTTTGGGAGGCCGAGGCAGGCAGATCACCTGAGGGCAGGAGTTCAAGACCAGCCTGGCCAACATGCTGAAACCCCATCTCTACTAAAGATACAAAAATTAGCCAGGCATGGTGGCGGGCACCTGTAATCCCATCCCATTGACTCAGGAGGCTGAGACAGGAGAATTGCTTGAATTCAGGAGGTGGAGATTGCAATGAGCTGAGATTGTATCACTGGACTCCCACCCTGGGCAACAGAGTGAGACTCCGTCTCCAAAAAACAAACAAACAAAACACACTGATCAAGTCCACCCTCTCATTTGTTAGAGGGGAAAACAGATGCGTGGTGAAGGGAAGTGATTTACCCAGTGTCACAACACATAGTCCATGTATATTTATAGAGCAGCTACTATATGTCAGAAACTGTTTGGACACTGGATATATAGTGGTGAGCAAGACAGCTGTGCTCTGCCCTGAAGATGCTTAGTCTTGTGGAGGAGGTAGGCCTTATGAAAATAAAACATAACAAAAACCTACATATAAAATTCTAGTCCAAGCTGCAATAAATGCCACGGAGGGGCCTAGCCAAGAGCTCTAGTGGACCAGCTGGGGCATGAAGGGTCAGGGCCTACTTTTTTTATTATTAGTATTATACTTTAAGTTCTAGGGTACATGTGCACAACGTGCAGGTTTGTTACATGGGTATACATGTGCCATGTTGGTTTGCTGCACCCATCAACTCGACATTTTCATTAGGTATTTCTCCTAATGCTATCCCTCCCCCAGCCCCCAGCCCTCCGACAGGCCCCAGTGTGTGATGTTCCCTGCCATCAGGGCCTACTTTTTATAGGGTGGTCAAGAAAGGTGTCCCTGAGGATGCACAGTTTAAGTTAAGTCCTATGGAAAAGAATGAGGCAGCTATGGGGGAGTGGGAGAAAGGGAGGACAGAAGGCAAAGGAGTAGGGGAGGAGTGTTTTGGGCAAAGGGAGCAGCAAGCATGAAGACCTTGGGTCCAAGAAGACTTGAACTTAAGCTGAAAGAAAGCCAGTCTGGCTGCAGCATGTGAGAGGGACAGAGGCCCCAGGTGGTTGCAAAGAGACCGAGGGGCCCACTCCTGTTAGACCTTATTGGACTTGATTCTAAGCTCAGTGAGTAGCCATTGAGAAGTCTTAAAGCAGGGACGTAACATGATCTAATTTATGACTTTAAAATATCCTGTTGGCTACCATGTTGAGAGAAGATTTGAGCAGATAAGCGTGGAATAGGGGAATCAGTTGCTTTTTATCTATAGTCTCTAGAGGAAGGCCAGTGGATCTGCCTTTGCAATGGCCCAAAGCTTTGCACATTTAGAAAACCTGCATTATTAATGAAACATTTGCATCTTAGGAAATGATAAAACAGGCTGCTACATGTAAAAATTAAGTAACTCAATTTGTTTTAACAGCTTGTGCTCTAGTACAGCAATTTGTTTGGCATATACACAAGACTCCATCGGAACAGTAATTATGCCATGCTAATTATTTTACTGCATTGTGTACATCTGACGTTTAATTATGGGAAAGTATGTGAGGGTAGATTTTCTTCCTCCCTTTGCCTGCCTGACAGGTAGTTTTGTTTCCCATACCTCTTTTGCACCTACATTGTCTTTATGCCAACTTGTCATCTGCAGTGAAATTGTGTTTCCATGACAGCTTTGCTCAGCCATGTTGCCTGCAAGTTGCAGACAATCACCAAAATAAACAGTTGACACAGATGTCATTCTCACCCTCTCATTCTGCCTCTCCCTCCCCCTTAATCTAGCTCCTACTATAAAGATTTTATTTTTCTCCCACCTCGAGAAGGAAAGTGATCCCTGACAACCTTGAGCATCCTTTGATACGTCAGCATGTCGCTCAGTGACTTCTCTTGTAACCAGTGCCCTTCTCCATGGAGACTGTTGGCAAGCCAATTCCCATGGCTCTATGCATAGATGACACAGCTCAACGGCTATGGGCTGTAGACCAGCAGGCTCTAGGCTTTACATTCATGGGGAGGTGGCAAAGGTGGGCTCTCACCACTCAAGATTCCAAGAAGTTGAACCACAGCTGTGGCATGTCCTTCACAGAGTGCATTGACAAACACTGTAAAGTGAAGCAGGCTTGTGCCTGGGCCGTGCCCACAGAGATAATGGGCTTGAGGGATGCAGGTGGGGAAAGGGAATGGAGAAAGAGGAAGTTCCTGCCTACAGGTAGAAATATAATATCTCGACTTGGATAAAAGAAGGAAAAGAAGGATAAGGTGCAGATCATAAACTACAGGCACCTCTTGCTAGCCATCATCACAGCTAATGCACCTGTAACCGCCTCCCCACACACAGGAAACAGTTGTCTATGTCTCTCTACTGAAGAGGTAGTTGCAAAGAGAAAAGACATTGTGAGAGTAGAATAGGAACAAAAGCAATGGCTTGAAAATAAAAATAATACCAAAAGTCATCTTTTCAAAAAAATAAATGCCTGGCAACAAGACTGTACACCTCAAAATATAGCAAATGCCCATTAAAATATTTGCACAACCCTGTTATGAGTATAAAATAAATGTCCAGAGGGATTACAGATCACGGGAATCTTCCCAGAGCTAGACAGGAGTCATTCTTTCTTCTTGGTGTGCACCGTATTTCCTTGTATACTTGGGGTTAGCCAAGAAATTTAGTGCATCTCAGGAAAATAGAATAGACATACAGACCTTCAGCTTGATACGGAACATGCTTTTTGAGAAGTCCTGGTTCCTGCTTAGTTCATGCAAACTTAGATTTGGATCATTCCAGCTTATGTTTTGCTATTTCAGATCTACTGAAACTGCAAACCCTCTGGCCCAGGAATTTGCATAAGTCAGCCTTTCCCTTGAGTGCCAGGCAAATCTCTGTTGGTTCACAAGATGATTTTTGGTGGCACGTGGACCATGTTTAAAAAAATTTTAATAGTTGTATGTTCATTTTAATATGTATCAAAATATGTCTAACTGGCACCTCAACCCTGTGTTTTAATGGATATAACACAGTTTCTTGTGTAAATACAGACTTGGCATGCCTTCTTTTTCCTCTCTTTCAGGCCCTTATTCCCTTTACAAACTTGCTGAGAACTTACTACTTTGAGGTTCCTGTCTTCTGGAATTTCACTTGGCTCTCTTCAGCCCTCTGTCATACCTCTCTATTTCTTCCTCCGCCTTTTCCCCCTTCCTTTTTCTTTACCCCGTTATCGTCCACAGGCATTCCTTAGAGCATAGTGTGTGCTGGACATGTGGGGTACTTCAAACAGGAATGTGTACAACTATAGTGGCTTAAAGAAACAGGACTCTGAGTCCTGAGGAAGGCAGAATAGAGCTGATGTGGCTCTTCTAGGATGGTGTGGAAGACCCAGGCTCCTTCTGTCTGCCTGGGCTACCATCTTTACCATGTGGCTTCATCTTTAGGTTTGCAAGACAGCTGCTACACAAAAGTGATACTTGTGAAGTGCCCTCTCTCTAGACTTTGTTTGATATTTAAGAAGCTAAACCCTTTCCTTCAGATCTCCAAGGCCAGTATTGCTTCACATGTTCTGCAAGGGAAGTACAGGGAGTTCATGCTTTTGCTTTACAGCCTCAATTGTAGAGGAAGGCAAGGAAGAATCGGGTTATGAATGGTTTAGGCATAGCTAAGCCACAGAGTCAGCCAAGGAGGAGGATAGTAAGAAGTACAGATAATGATCTCTGGCCTTCCTTTTCCAAGCTGAAAAAGTAGGTGTTAAAAGTTAACAGCTTTCTAAGTTGGTGCATGATCGTAAACCTGCAGAATCAGGAAAGAATTTAGAAGTCGTTTGGATGAGATTTATATTTTAAAAGATAAAGAAACTAATTCAGAGATAAAAGGGACTTAGGGCTCAGTGGGACAAGAGCCCTTCTCAGAAGACCCTGCTAATTTAGTGGTTCTCATCTGGAAGTAAGCATCAGAATAACCGGCAGTACTTGTTAGAATACCTATTGCTGGGTCCCACTCCCAGAGTTCAGAATTCAGTAGGTGGTCTGGCTGGGGCCTGAGAACCTGCATTTCTAGCAAGTTCCCAGATGATATTGATGCTGCTCCAGGTACTGCGCTCGGAGAACCACTGTGCTAACCTATTCCAAGCATGTAATTTACAATCAGTAATCCCCAAACAGATTTTCGTATGTTTTACTATTTTAACTTGTGCATTGTTGTGTGTTCGTTAACAGCTAAGTAATGTAGTTGCAGATAATTAATGCAGCCAATGGGTGAGCTAACTTAATCTTAGACCTGTCTATAGCTATGTTATTTGAAACCCAGAGGGTCTTTGCTCCTATGACCTGGCTGTGCCTCAAAGGGCACTCTGCCCTTTTCCGGAGATGACCACTACTGTGTATTTAGTGAACCTCTGTGGTCCATGTTTCTTGATTTTTTTTCACCACTTAAATACGTATCTATATGTGGCACATATTGCAACATTTTGTATATTTTCAAACATTATACATAAATAGTATACTCTATCATTCTGTAGCATGCATTTTTCATTCAACATTATGTTGAGCTCCTCATGCTGACACATGATCAGTCTAGTTTAACTAACTGCTTTGTAGTATTCCATATTCATATACTAGAATGTATTTTTCCTTCCCTCATGTTTCAGATTATTTTTAAGCAGATTAATGAGGCTTCGATATTATTATTAACAGCAACAATATATTGAAGTGGATGACATATTGAACTATTTCCATATATTTGCTCATGTAACAAATATTTATCAGGTGCCTACTTTGGGCTAGGCACTGTTTTAGGCAGGGAGGATACAGCAGTAAATGAACAACCTCACGACCCTGATGATGCTTATTCATATGACACCTGCAACAGCTCTGTCAACCAGGTGTTATTATTTTCATTTTTACATATGAGGAAATGGACATTCTGTGAATTTAAGTGACTTACCTGGGTCCCACCAAAGAGAACAAGGGAGTTTTGAATCAGATCATCTCACTGTTATCTCAGCTCTTTCTACAGTTCCACCAGGATGTCTGCTGAGCCTAATAACAAACACCATTCCTTATCTTCCTAATTTTCTTTGGAGGTCATGACTTTTGTTTAAATATGCTTTTTATTTTGGAATAATTTTAGATTTACAGAAAAGTTTTAGAGATAGTACAGAGAGTACTCCTAAACCTCTAGTCTGGTTTCCTTCATTAATAGCATCTTACATTACTATGGTACATTTGTCAAAACTAAGAAACTGGCTGGGCACGGTGGCTCATGCCTGTAATCCCAACACCTGGGGAGGCCGAGATGGGTGGATCATGAGGTCAGGAGTTCAAGACCAGCCTCGCCAAAATGGTGAAATCCTGTCTCCACTAAAAATACAAAAATTAGCCCGGCGCAGTTGTGGGCACCTGTAATCCCAGCTGCTCAGGTGGCTGAGGCAGGAGAATCGCTCGAACCCAGGAGGTGGAGGTTGCAGTGAGCCGAGATTGTGCCATTGCACTCCAGCCTGTGTGACAGAGCAAGACTTCATCTCAGGAAAAACAAACAAACAAACAAACAAACAAACAAACAAAAAAAACCACCAAAGAAACTGGCATTTGTATATTACTATTAACAGAACTCCAAACTATATTTTGGTGTCACTGGTTTTCCCATTAATATCCTCTTCTCTTTTCCAGGATTTACTCCGCAGTGCCATGTTGCATTCAGTTGTTATGTCTCCTCAGTCTCTTTACTGTGACAGTTTTTTCAGTTTTTTTCCTGGTTTTCATGACCTTGACCTTATTTTTAGTTTATCCCAAATGTCCAAATGAGGCAGTGTCAAGAATTTAGAGAACTTTTTTTTGGGGGGACTGAGTCTCGCTCTATTGCCCAGGCTGGAGTGCAATGGCGCAATCTCGTCTCACTGCAATCTCTGCCTCCCGGGTTCAAGAGATTCTCCTGCCTCAGCCTCCTGAGTGGCTGGTATTACAGGCGCCCACCACCACATCCGGCTTATTTTTGTATTTTTAGTAGAGACAGGGTTTCACCATGTTGGCCAGGCTGGTCTTGAACTCCTGACCTCAAATGATCCTCCCCACTTGGCCTCCCAAAGTGCTGGGATTACAGGCATGAGCCACCACACCCAGCCTAGAGAACTATCAATATAAGTATCTCTTAAGAGAGTTTGGATTTGATTGCCATTTCAGCACATTAGAGAGGGGCATCTTACTCACACGTGCTCTCCTGGTGCAAAAACACAGGGAAACAATGGAGTGACGCATGGCCTTTCGGGCCAGGTGCTTGCAGAGTATGGCAAATTGTAGGTTTCGATGAACAAGCAGCTTACCAAGGAATTATAACCCCCGCTCCCCTGCCGTGTCCAAGTCCAATTCCAAGTGTCTTATAACCACAGTTTGATGCTGCTGGCTCCTCCCCCAGCTCCACCTTTGCCTGTGAGTATATGTATCTTTCAAAAGTCATCTCTTATTTCCAGTAACTCCAAATACAAGCCGCCTTTTAGTGACAAGCAGATGAGCGTGAGCTGCAGTCGCCTGGAGTGTGCAATGCTGTCACCAGAGAGAACTTAGTAATTACATTTGCCAGGCTCACCGTCCATGTTGGCTGGCAACATGAAGGGATCAGAGAATTCTTTGAAACAATATCCAAGTTCTTGGTTAAAAGAGATACAGGCTGGGCGCGGTGGCTCACACCTGTAATCCCAACACTTTGGGAGGCCGAGACAGGTGGATCACTTGAGGTCTGGAGTTCAAACCAGCCTGGCCAAGATGGTGAAACCTCGTCTCTACTAAAAATACAAAAACATTAGCCAGGCGTGGTGTTGGGAGCCTGTAATCCCAACTACTCGGGAAGCTGAGGCAGGAGAATAGCTTGAACCCAGGAGGCGCAGGTTGTGGTGAGCCAAGATTGTGCCACTGCACTCCAGCCTGGGCAAAACAGGGTGTCTCCACCTTAAAAAAGATAAATAAATAAAGATATATAGCATTACACTACAGGATGGAAGAGCCCAGAAAAAGGATTCCTTCTTAGAAGCTACTGAAGAGCGAAGTGATTTCTTAGGGCAGTGTTTCAGACAAATTTAAAAAATTTATATATGCACACATATAAATTATATATATATATATAAATATATATATGTATATATATATAAATGTGTGTGTGTGTATATATATAATCCATGACCCGTGTCCCAAAGAAAATTATTGACATTTTGCCTATTTTCTTCTATTTATGCTTTTTAAAGAACATTATATAACATGCTTTTTAATATGCTTTCATTCAACATCATAAGCATTTTACCTGTTTCTTTTAAATAATTATTAAATAAATAACAGTTTTTCATTTAAATAATCTTTAGTTCACCTAATCATTCTATGGTACATTTGGTAAGTTTTTAATGCCTTGAGAAATAATTTTTAAAATAGGATGCTTCCCTCCTTATTTATTAGATTATTTCTGTAAGTTAGATTCCCAAAGTGGGATTACTGGGTCAAATGTTATAAACATTTTTAAGGCTTTTGAGCCATTTTGGGGTTGAGGAAAAACCCTTCTTGTTAGAGCTCTACAGAAGCCAAGTAATGATGCTAAATTTCCTAATTTGCCGTATGTCACTGTTTGCTCTCTGAACTTAAGTGAACTTTGACTTGGCCACAAAACTACAGTTCTGATTTAATTCATTCATTCACTCACACAGGTTTAGGTGTCAGGTACAGTGCCAGATGCTAAAGATAAGAGACCAAGCGAAACCAGAGCCCCTGCTCTCATGTCCAGAATAGCATCTGACCCAGAAAGACCCTGATTTGCTTGACAATAGAGTTAGATAAACCCATTTGAAAGCATCTATTTTTACCAGAGACTTGATGCTTGAATGCTGACTATCTTCTTCCGGTTTTGTTCTTCTAAGTTGCTCCGATTTTAGACAAAGATGACCACTCCACATTCTATTTGAAAACCATTCAACTTGAGTTCAGGGCACAAAACTAAAATATTTTGTCTGTGCCTGGGCAAACCATTTTGTGTGGAGCCTCATGGGCCTAGCAGCTGCTGCTTCCTTTTAGTAATTGGGAAGCACTGGGATTTCTGATAAATAATTGAAAGTGTACTCTGGCAAGTTGCTACAGCAGTTTTAAGGGCAGTGCCTATTTTACCATTCTCTGCATTGGAGAGTAAAGCCCTTGATTTTATGACTCGACTTTTCTGATTGTCCTCATTGGTACTCTTAGCCTCATATAAAACATTTTCTTTTTCCTTTTTTTGTGATGATGACTGAGTGTGAGAGGTACCATCTTGAAATGGCTTCCTTGTAGGGATGGAAGAAGAAATTGTCTGATCAACAGGAGTAACTATCAGACCAACTCTCTGATGATGAAACCATGGTAAGTCATCTGGGGAATCTTTTGGATAAATTACTTGAGGCCTTGAAGTCAGTGCAGACTTTTCATTGTAATTATGTGGATCGTGAAGTCCTGATGACTCCCAGTGGATCTCAGTAAAGAGTGACTAATGGATCATGGGGTCATTTGGTTAAGTGGGAGAGAAAAATCTGGGCAACCAAGGATCAGGTTTGAAGTGATCCCCATCTGTGGCCTAACCTCTGGCAAATGCTGTCTCCTCCTGTCACCTCTGGGCTCTGACTCAGCAGGGCCTGCCTCTCCAGCCTGATTAGAAGAAAGATCCAGACAATTTGGCAGACTCGGGCATCTCCAGCATTGCCCCTTGCACCCTGGTGCCTCCACTGGTTAATGTTGTCGTGTCAAGGGAGCAGAGCCTGTGTCTGAGCAAAGCAGATGATGTAGTGCTTGTGAGAGGCAGTGCTCTGTGTCAACCATGATGTCATTTGAGAGGGCCACCCAGTCCAGGTCTAAGTTGTGCTTTTCATGATGTCACCACTAAAGTCCCTTGACTATGAATCAAAGACATTTCTCTTATGCTGACTTCTTTTGTTAATTGGTAGTAAGAGAGGAAAGAGGCTCTGAGGATTACAAAATATCTTACCCTTTAGCAACATCATGGTGTTGCCTGCGTGAGGTCTCACATCTCTCTCTGTCTCTCTTTCTCCTTTCCCTCTTCCTCTCTCTCTCCTGCTTTCCTTCTCTCTGTCTCTTCTTTATTTAAATACATTTGCTTTTTAAATTTTTCCAGAGCACTTGTCACTTCAGAACATAAATAGGATGTCTAAAATACATGATTTTTAAAATAAAAATTTATCAAAGGATCCTGCAAAGGAAGATAGTCCTACAAGGTCCTTTGATGTCTAACGATGTGCCATTGGAGAGCTAGAAGGCAGCAAAGCCCGACTTTCTAAGATAAATGTAGCATCTCTTGCAATAATTCCATGGGCCGCTTCTGTCTGTGGGTCTCAGTGCAAACCTGCCACCATGAGATGAGCTAAAAAGCAAGCTTGCAAAATGAAGTTCCTGAGGAGTGTGATCTCTAGGGCCCTAGTTGAGGTACTCTTACTACAGCCAGGCTGAAAGCATATTTCAGCTTGTAGCAAGCTGGTTTCGTCTCTACCTGAGGAAAGATAAAGAACTTTGCTCAGGAAATGTGAGCCCCTGTTCCCAGGCTTCATTCCTCTCAAGCTGATGGACAGGTATGGAAGGAATGCGTTCGTTGGCAGGAATTAGATAATGCCCAGGCACAAATGGCAGTCACGTTCTTTTCCTCCCTCTCTCTGCTTTGGGGGAAAAATGTGGTAGGAGGGGATGCTCTGCAGGGAGAGGGGTGCAGAACAAGCTGTCTCAGCTTCAGCCAGCTGCCGTTTGTCACTGGATTCTGACAATGGCATCTGGCTCCGTGAGTGTGGAAGCCAGGGACCTCCCTCACGGTGAAGGCCGAGTGACCAGTGGGAGTCAGGGTAAACCTTCACTGTGAGTCAGGAACAAGCTCCCCTGGATATATTTTCCCAAAGAAGGGCATTTCTCCACCTTTTTGTTAATAGGTTATATCTTCATCCTAACTACAAGACTTGGTGATTCCTTTGCTTTTGTTTCCAGCGAGAAGGCTTTCCATGGCATGCAGGTGGCTAAGACAGGAATTAAGAAACCTAATTGCGGCCGGGTGCAGTGATTCATGCCTATAATCCCAAGCACTTTGGGAGGCCAAGGCAGGTGGATCACCACGTCAGAAGATCGAGACCATCCTGGTCAACATGGTGAAACCCCATCTCTACTAAAAATACAAAAATTAGCTGGGCATGGTGGCGTGTGCCAGTAATCCAAGCTACTCAGGAGGCTGAGGCAAGAGAATCACTTGAACCAGGCAGTCGGAGGTTGCAGTGAGCCGAGATTGCGCCACTGCACTGTAGCCTGGCGACAGAGTGAAACTCCATCTCAAAAAACAAAAAACAAAAAACAAAAACAAAACAAAACAAAAAAATAAAAACAGAAAAACAAAAAATAAAAACAGAAAGAAAGAAACCTAGTTAGCCTGAAGTTCCAACCATAGGATTGGCCAAATGTGTAATAGGTCAAGAGAATGCTACATTTCTGTTACAAGGGGATGCTTGAAATATATGTTAGCTCATATGTGAAGAGGGCAGGATATAATAGGCTAAAAACAAAGGCCATGAAGTAGAAGGTACAGCACAATACCACATCGGTATTCTCCATATGTATTCATTTTAAAAAGAAGAATAGAAAGCATCACAACCAACATTTAAATAGGGATGATCTCTCGGTGATATTATTGGTAATTACTTTTCCTTTGAGGTTTCTCTGTTTTCCAACTTATTTCCTTGAAACGATAAACATTTAACTTCTTTCTTTAGATGGCTTTTAATCACTCTATTTCTCACAATCTTGACCTATATCCATATCTACATCTATACTTCTCTCTAGAGTTGCTGTGTAGAGCACTGCACCAGCACCTAGTTTAGAAGGGGTGAAGTGGTATCTGGAATCAATCCCTTCTTTGATCAGCTTGTTAAGTCATCCCTGACATGGGTCAGTGTCTGCCCAGAGGAAAGGGAGCTCTTTTCCAATTTTCCCCAAAGGAATGTCTTGTTCTAGTCCACACAGTGATACTGGATTTGCTCACAGCAACCCTGCTTGTCTATGTGTGTGTGTATGTGTATTTAAGGGGACTTCAAAAAGTTCATAGGAAGATGGAGTTAAAAGATACAAAATAAAGTTTATTTCCCAGTACAACTCCATCAAGGTCAAGATACTTTTGTAAGCAATGATACCTGCCATTCAGTCTATTCCTAAAGAACTGAGGGTCCTGGGAATTTAACCATATCAATGCCATCTTTTTTACATTAACTGAAGAAAAAAGGGGGCCCTTTACAGATTTTAAGACTAGGAAGTAAAAAGAAGTCAGAAGGAGCCAAATCAGGACTGTTAAGTGGATGCCTAATGATTTCCGTCTGAAACCCTTGAAAAATTGCCCTTGCTTGATGAGAGGAATGAGCAGGAGCATGGTTGTGGTGGAGAAGGGCTCTCTGGCGAAGCTTTCCTGGGTGTATTTCAGCTAAAACTTTGGCTAACTTTCTCATAACACTGCCATATTAAGCACACTTTATGGTTTTTTGGCCCCCTAGAACATCAGCAAGCAAATTGCCTGGAACATCCCAAAACACTGTCACCATGACTTTTGCTGTTGACCAGTCTGCCTTTGCTCTGACTGGACCCCTTCCACCTCTTGGTAGCCATTGCTTTGATTGTGCCTTGTCTTCAGGATCATACTGGTAAAACCATGTGCCTCCTCATTTCAATTCTTAGAAGAAATCCTTCAGGATCTAGATCTCATTTGTTTAAGATTTCCACTGAAATCTCTGCTCTTGTCTGCAGCCTGTTTGGGTACAACAGTTTTGGCACCTATCAAGTAAAGGCCTCGTTCAACTTTATTTTTGCAGTCAGAATTGTGTGAGCTGAACCAGTTGAGATGTCTGTGGCATTGGCTATGGTTTGCGCTTTTAATTATCAGTCCTTTTCAATTAGAGCACAAACAAGTTGAATTTTTTTTTTTGGAAAATTGATCTAGCTGGTTTATTGTGGGCTTCATATTCAACATCATCTCATTCCTTCTTGAAATGAGTTACCCATGTGTAAACTACTGACTGGGAGGTGGGCTTTGTCCCCATCAACTTTTCATAAAGCATCAATGATTTCACCATTCTTCTACTCAAGCTTTGTTATAAATTTGATGTTTGTTCCTGTTTCAATTTTAGCAGAGTTCATGTTGCTCTGATAGAGATTCTTTACAAACTGAAGTCTTACCTTTCTTAGTACCTCAAACTAGATCCTGTTCAGACATGTCATAACAAGCTAGTATAAGTTGATTTTGGTGCAGTTTTTTTTTTAATCCATGCATGGTTTTTTCATAGTAAACGTTTTCCATTAAGTTTTTGAAGATCCCTCATATGTATTTTTCCCATTAATCATTTTGGTCATTTCATAATCACCATATTGTATTATAAAGAGTAATTATTTCTCAGTCTACATGTATCAGGATTCTTTTTACTCAGGCCTAGATTTTAGAACTAGCTTTCTGTAGGGGTAGGTAAAGTTCAAGGATTTTGTAGAAGAATGAGCTTCTTTGGACCTTTCTACTATCCTATTATGTGCCTAAATCCATATTTCCTAGGGATGGGGATGGGCTGGGAGAGAAGCAAGAATATTTGATGTTGAAAGGTCGGTCATAGACATTGACCAATGGGAGACCCAAATAACCCTGTGGTGCCAATAGAATGCAGGGAGCTTCATTGTTCTAGGAGGTGGTGATGGTGTTACCGGTAACCTAAAATAAAGGGACACTGTGACCATGTGGCTATGCTCTGGGGTGAAAGATGGTGTCATCCTCTTTTCAATCTGTATCCCTTTGTTGTGTGGGGGGAAACTGATATAGCTTTACAGAGAGAACTGCCTGTAAGCCAGAAACACCTGGTAAACAAAAAGTGATGGAACCAAATGGCTCCCAGGGTTCTTGCCTCAAGTCAGAGAAAAGCTGTGATGAGCCAAAAAATACTCCAGGTACCAGAGCTCAGGGCCTTGATGCACATGTGAAAGGCAGGCACCTTCCAGAAATAGCATCCCTGACCCCAGAGACTTGGATGGCCTTGTTTTAATTTCAGGGTTAGAATAATGACCATTTTATGAGCAACCAAATAGTTATTCTTGGTTCTCCTCTCGAGAGTGTGGTCTGAGACCTTGGCTTGTATAGTCTAAGTATGTAATAACTGAGTGTGTTTCCCATGATCCTGTGACAGCCTTCACTTTGAGTTCTATTTCAGAACATCCTCTTTCTGGAGACACCTAAACATAGGCCCTAGTGAAATGGAATTTAGAAGCAGCATTATCTGCAGGGCAGTCTGGGGCCAAGCTGGCCAACTCCTCACCCTCAGTTCAATGGAAAGCAACCGGAAGTTGCCCCTACATTTGGGGGATGGTAAAAGGAGCTACCATTTGGTAAACCGAGTGAGTGTCCCAGGGCAGCTTATGAACAACTGGAATTCTCTGAGAAATCAGTCAAATTGGAGTGTTGGGCGGTGACTTGGAGTTGAGAAAGGAGCACTAAACTGGAATTCACAGCAGCTCCTGCATAACCACATGTGCGTCATTATCCTGGATACTGTCATCTCTGGGTCATGGCCAGGGCCCTTCCTGCTCTTAAACCCTATGCATGGTTTTATGCACAAGAACCACTAGCTCAGGATGCCTTACAGAAAACTTTTTTGCAAGAGGAAAAGCCTTCAAACCAGGAAGAAGTGTTGATTGTCCTCTCTCTGTCATAAATGCCTCCATTTTTTATGATAATGGCATTTTTTAAATGTTAATGATGAGATTGTTTTCACCTCATAGAATGGCTTCCAAAACTAAATACAGAGCAACCAGGAATATCGGAATGAATGATCCCTTGAACACTGGTTAACTATGGAAGTGAAACCCTTCTGAGTTTTGACAGGACGCAGCAGCCTCAGTGTCAGTAAATACTTAGGACAGGCAGGATATTGGGTTCAGGGGAACCTTTTGGAAGAGTCAGGTGATGGCTGGTTGCAGGGGCGGGTTCTTTTTGGAACCCCAGTGGCCGATGGGTCTAAAGCCACACAAACTATGCCACATGAGAATGTGACTTTAATCTAGCCCTCTCTTGAATGAAATCAAGTAGAGATTAAGTCAGTTTTGACTCTCATCAGAAAGGTTTAAGGTATTGGAGTTCCTAAATTTCATCCTATGTCTTTGGGGTTAAGAGGTGAGGCTCTGGGCCACAGCTCCTGATGTCTCCTGGAGGGGTGGTTCATGAGAATGACCATATCGAAGAGTCCTTGAGAACATAGACTTTGGAATTATGCAGATCTAGGTTATAATCCTGGCCCTACCATGTACTAGGTGTGTAAATTTGGCCATTTAATACCTCTCTAACTTTAGCCTCTGTATTGCTAAATGGGAAAAATATAGTATGTTCCATGTAGTGAGTAGTTAGGAGAAAGGAAAGAGATTTCATGATAAATTACCAAGGAATGGGGGCTGGGCTTATAAGAAAGGGTCTGGCATCAATCCTGTGAACAAAACACTAGGATTAGACCCATCACCTCTAAAGCAGGAAGAAGGAAGTTAGCTGGGATATGGGTGGTGGGCCAGTGATTGCAGAGGCCCATCAAGTAAACCAAGACTATAATAGGGAAAATAGAAGACCTACTGGGGGCTGAGCACAGGTAGGATGCAGCTCTCAAGGTGGGCACAGAACAGGCACGTGTGCAAGGTGCAAGTCCTTAGATCACTTGGTGTATTCGTTTCCTACTGCTGTCTTAACAAATTACCACAGATTTAGTGGCATAAAGCGACACAAACTGAGTCTCTTACAGTTCCATAGGTCTGAAGTCCAAAATGGATTTCACTGGGCTGAAATCAAGATGTTGGCAGGGTCACATTCACTCTTAAAATCCTAGGAGAGAATTCATTTCTTTGCCTTTTTCCTGATTCTAGAGTCCACCTACATTCCTTGGCTCAAGGCTCCTTCCTCTGTCTTCAAAGCAGCAGTGAAGCATCTTCAAGCCTCTCTCTCTGCTGTGTCATCACATCCCCTCTTTCTCCTCCCAGGCCCAGTGTGGAACTCTGTTGGATGGCACTAGACAGAAATCACATCCCTCCTACAGGATTTCTACAAAGCACGTGTTCCTGGAGCAACTATTATGAGGAAGATAGAGAAGGCCTAGAAAATTTGGTCCCTGTTGCCTTTGAGACTTGCACCATCACCCTGCAACTGAGCACTCTGACCAAATATCAAGATCAACTGTGCTTTCTGAAAGATCAAATTAAGTCTAATTTTAAATGGGACAAAAGGTAGCACTCTTTTTATATTCCTACTTAAGAAGATATCCTTCTTGGTTCTGTTCCATTTTGCACATGGAGTAGTTTTAAAGAGCCACATCCAAGGCTGGATTTGAAAGCTGATGAACGTAGCTATGAAGAGCTTTATGATGAAAAGGGTTATTACTGGCCTCCCATCTACTGGCTTATCTTTTTTTATTCTTTAAGTCATGTGACAAATGAGGGTTCTGATAGGATTGTCTTTGGTGTGGTTTCATGAGTTGACATAATTAAGAGCCATTTCCATTTGGCAATGCTGCAAGAAAAACATTTCCAGTCAGAAGAACAAGGAAATAACTTAATTAGCAACTCAGGTGAGCGCTGGCTCTTTAGAAAGATGTTAAGATTGGAGGGAAGACAGGAGACCCACAGAGGCAGCGTGCCACAGTTGGGTGTTTAGCCAAAGACACGTTCT
Organism: Homo sapiens; assembly: GCF_000001405.40. NCBI lineage: Eukaryota > Metazoa > Chordata > Mammalia > Primates > Hominidae > Homo > Homo sapiens. Next base: position 169,119,676 of record NC_000005.10, on the reverse strand, counting down.
TCTGTCTCTTTCCTCCTGCATGAGTCTTTTCTGACTGTTCACCTGAAATTGGATATGGAAGGGCTCTGCTGCTGCTGCTGCCAGCCTGGTAGACAGAAAACGTCAGTGTCAAAGAAAAATGATTGTGTGTTTGGTTCCCTCCAGTTTTCACGAAATAAACATCACTTGGCAATTCCTTGGAGATGAATTAGCCACTATTTCATTCCTGTTAGTCCTTCCTGCTGGGTTAATTATTGCTGTGAACAATGGCAGCATTAATCAGCATGATAACAGTTTCTAGTCATTAACAGTGTAACCAGCTTTTATGCATATGGAAGTCCCTCTATCAAACCATCATGAAGATCAGAAACTCATTCTAGGGGGTGCTCCTTCCTAGGAGACCCACAAGTGTCCAGGCTGGGAATTGTTCCTTTGGGTGATTTAATTTTGAATAGGTTCCAGGTGTCATCTGCGTAACAAGGCTGAAGAAGTCTGTTTTGGTGGAACTCCAAGACTTTTGCTCTGGGTCAGAGTCTTTGACTTCCATATGTATCAGCTTTGATGCTTTTAAAAGCTGCAGAAGCAGTCCAAGTATCATGGTTTAGTAGACAGATTTTGGATCCAGACAGGCATGGATTCAAACATGAGCTTCTGGACTAAGCGGTCGTGGGACTTTGGGAAAAATTTAACACTTAGGGATAAATATAATCTATGTAGAACACTTTCACATAGTGTCTGGCACACAATAAGTGGTCATAAATGGTAGTTTATAAAATGAGAATACCACTAAAACTGTAAAAAAAAAATTAAAAATTATGTGACTGCAGCCTGTTTTCTGGGGCTTTACCAGCAAGGGGTATATCCTCAGGGAAAGAATACCATCAGTGCCACTCCAGGTGAAAAGGTGGCTAGAGTGTTCCCTACTCTTAAAGCAAGTCACTATCAGAGTGGCAGGTTTTTACATGAACAGGTTCCTGAAAATGCCAAATGGCAGTACCACTCCTTGTAACAACTGCTGGTTTCATCTAGTGATGGCCAAGGTCCTAAATCCTCCAGACCTATGTATCCTACAAATTCCTGGGTCATTTCTTCTTTACAGAACCAGAACAGACTGCCTTGCCCGCTTTCTCCTGGGTTAACAATGGGTCTTGACTCGGTCCTGCCTAGGACCTCAAGAGCAGCAGAACAAAACCAGTAACTCAAAATTTTCTTTCGCTTTCTTGGTCTCACCTGGCCTTTCAAAAGTCCAAGAACCCTCAAAGACTAAAAGGAGCATTTGGGCCAGAGGCACCTTCAGCCAGTGTCACTAGGGAGACCAGTTCAAGAAGATGACCAACCAATGCATGGTCTTAGCTCCACCCCCAGCACACACATGTCCTCCATATATGACTCCACAGAATGCAACATACAACATATCTAATAAAAATCCTAATACAAATTATTGAGGAAATACAGATTCTTTTATATGTAGGCATTGCAAATGTGCACATTTCAAAAAATCATTTAAACAAATTTCTTTAGAGACAAGGTCTTACTCTGTCGCCTAGGCTAGAGTGAATTAATGTGATCATAGCTCAGTGCAGCCTTGAACTCCTGGGCTCAAGTGATCCTCCCGCCTTGGCCTCCCAAAGCACTGGGATTAATAGGTGTGAACCACCACCCCCAGCCACATTTCAAAAATATTCAAGTGGGAAGGCAAAAGGCACACATCATAGAATGTGACAACCATAACATTGTCCTAGTGTGTGATGCTGGGCCTGTATGAGAGCGTCTTTTCTTAGTTATGCTAGTTCGTGCTTAGGAAGCGCTGTGGCCTGTTCTTGGGTGTCACGTAAAGGGCCAAGGAGAGAACCTAGAGTTTTCAAATTTCTTCAATCTACTTCTGACTTCATTGGCAATATTTGGCACTCACCTTGTATAGGAGAAACAGAGTTCTCCTTTTGAGAATAGAGACCCCTTTGGGTCGCAGGGAATAGAGTTTGTTAGATATCTCCAAAGAACGGGAACCCTGGTACAGCTTGGGTGAGACTTTTTAAACAAACAGAATTCTGGCTAACACCTTCTCTTAGTCCCTAGAAATCCTCCATTCCTCTTCCCCACATCAAACTTTGAGGTAGAGCTGGGATTGGCAGCAGCTTGGCTCTGCCATCGTGTCCAAATTCCACTATTTCTGTCCTGAATTTGCATTTCCTGGCAGACTTGAGCCAAGTCCCAATGAAACAGCCATAGCTTTTCAAAATTACAGGCAAAATCAGGCTGGGAAGAGGTGAGGGGGGCAGGGAGGGGACGGGGGAGAACATGCACAGTAATTGTCACGAAGGGCCCAGTGATGTGGATCTGGACTGAGGAAGTCATTTCACATGATCTTTGCTCACTCACTTCCAGTTTGGCTCTTCCAGCTCCTCAATCCGGGCATGGAGCCGTGCTTTTTATAGATTGTAAGTCCATTGTGGAGTTATGTATCCTGGCAGTTTGTAAAGTGGTGTTTTCTCTATTTTTATGGGTGCCCTAGGACAGTGCAGGCACACACACCTTTCTTGGTACCTTCTCATTCCACGCTACTTGTGATTAATGAAGAAGGACTGCCACCTCCAGTCGCTTCACAGGATAGACTTGGGGCAGCCTCTGACTTGCTGTGTGTCCCTGGTGGAGCCAACCCTTTCAAGCCCCCTGCTCCCTGCCCCCTGCTGGATATTGTGGGAGTGAATGAGGGATGAGGATGACAGTAAACCCTCCCTGAAGGGTTATGTAAATCTGAAAGGCTCTGTGGACTTTGAGGCTGGCCTAGGGAAACCTCAACAAATCAGCTACTCCTTGCTTCCTTGCTTTTTATTAGATTCCCTATAAACAAGTAGGACATGATTGTGGGGGAATCAGAGGACATGGGGCTCCTTCATGCTTGAGGACTTTTCCCCAGCACTGGTGCCAAGTAGTTAGGGCCTCTTCTCCTGATGCAGCCCTGATTAGCCTGTTTCTCCCTCAGACCTCAACCTTTTGTTGAGGGGAAGAAACACTTGTGGTAGAAGGAAACATAATTAATGGAAGGATCATGTGCATGGACTATCATCTTATCAGTGATGATAATAGGCCTGGTTGCCTAGATCTTTCCAGTCAGCCGCCATGTTCTGTCAGCATAGCTTTCATAATGTCCTCTTCCTGTCATTAACAATGTCTTTGGGTTTCTGGGTTTTCTGTCCTCAAATTCATCCTGAACACCATAACTAGGTCGTTCATCCTGGAGAGATATCTTGGTACTTTGCCTCCCAATGTTTAAAGGCTCCCTATTGCCAATGATGAAGTCCTAACATTGTATCCTGACATCTGCATCCCTACACAGTATGATCTCCGCTCATGTTTATGATCTTCTGTCCCACTCTTCTTCCGTGGGAACCAGACCATTGAGCTCTTGGGCCTTCAGACACCTGTCTGCTCACCTCTCTGCTCAGAGTTCTTTGCCCGGACTGCCCTGCAGTAATGATTTTTTTGCCCTGCAATAATTATTGCAATAATAAATACAATAATAAATGCAAAAATAATAAAAATAATCCAAACAATAATTATTGCCCTGCAATAATTATCTCTCCATATCCTCATCTCTCACAGAGAAGCCCTGACAGCCTCAGCCCCAGGGAGTCTCTCTCTTTCTCTTTCTCTGAGCTCCATCAGCATTGGCTAGCTGGGAACTTGTCACTGGTTTATGTTATTATCTAATTGGTTTAGGTGCTTTATAGAGTATCTACCCTAAGGGCAAGGACTGTTGTCCACCTCTTTGCAGGGCGCACTGTGCCTGATATGCTGGGTGGCCCTTGTCCAAAGTGGGGGTGGCCTTCCATGGCTGTCAGGAGCACCGGCTCAAGTGTGAGGATCGGATCCCACCACAGGATCCAACCACAGGCGAGCTCCTTCATCTCTCTAGTCCAGAGTTTCCTCATTTGCAATGTGAGGAGTGATGACTCTCATTTTATACAAATACTTGTAAGGATTAAATTAGATATTCTGGTTTCTACACTTGGCATAGTGCTCAGTGTATGATTATCATTATCATCATCATTAAATCAATGTGTGTTGACGACCAGGAATTCTGGTAACAGGATCCTGGGCCTTTCTGAGGGGCTGGACATTGCCTTGGTCTGCCTGTGGAATCCCTCCCTGGCCTGGCTTCCATACATGTGCCTGTGTCTCAGTTTCCTCGTGTGCATATTGGGACAACAGGAATACCTACTGCCCAGGGTTATCATAAGAATTAAATATGACAATGGCTGGAAAATGCCTACATTTAGGAAAGAAAGGCTTGGTAAATGAGAAAACCATGGAACTCTGCTAATTGCTGTGAGTAAATGGTCAGGAATTATGGCCTGTGTCACAGCTTGAGCTTTCCTTGATGGACCTGTTTCCCAATCCCTGTGTTGAGTCTAGGTGGGATGGGGAAGAAAAGCTTCCAAGCTTCCTTCTGGCTCTGACTTTATAAATTCTGCTCATATGCCTCCCTTTACCCACTTAGTCTAGACCAGAGATGAGAAAGTTTTGGGATTTTGGAGAACGATTTGTATTCCTTGCTTAGAAGGATGAGACCCTTCAAGTGGCTGAGTTGGATGGGATCACCTGTTTGCCCCCAGGCAGCTCATGAGACCCCTGCAAACTTCTCCAGGGACACAGAGCACCCCTGGAAATATGTACATTCTCTAAACCATAGGATCCAATGCAGGCAGATTAGCACACCTCCTTCCGCCCTCCCCCTCCATTTCATCAGCTTTATGCTGAGGTGGATAATGTTTCTCTAACTGCCTAATTGGGAGAATTTAGCTGGAAAATTGCCATCGTGTTCTTTTAAAGGGTGCCAACAGCCCACGGCTGCCAGCTATAATGTCAGTGGGTAATCCCGGCTCTGCCGCCACGGAGCCAGGGAGGACCCGTCTTTCTCCAGACTCCTTCCCAGGTGGTGAGAGCAGGCCTCCAGCCCTAAGAGGAAAGAACACCAAGGAGGAGGACAGAGGTGGCCAAGAAAGCAGCTGCAGGCACAGGTCTGTTTCCCTCCCTCCTCATGGCCCTCCCAGCCTGCACCACTGGGAATTGAAATGTACTGAAATTGCAATGTCACACCAGGACACCCTGGCCCTATGGTGTACTGCTCAGCTTCATGGACTCCCACTGCAGCAATCTTGAGTTTAGACTGAGTCTGGGGGTTGTTCAAGAAAAGGGAAATCTAATTGCTAAGGCTTGTTCCTAAGTCTGCGAGAGACAGTGTAGAATAGTGTTGAGGCGTACAGACCTTTGAGCCAGGCTGCTTGCTTATGTTCTAATCCAGGCTCTGCTACTCGCTGGGCAAGTTACCACATCTTCTAGCTTCATCATCTGTAAAACAGAGGTGATAATACGAGCACTTTCCTCTGTTCACATATCAGGAGGCCCAGGCAGATGGAGGCTCTGCTATCTTTAACACGTGGCATCCGGGACCTTCTTGCCAGGTAGGCATCTAGCCCACAGAAAAAGAGAAGGCATAAAGGATTAGGTAGGGAGGTTTTTGTCCTACTCTGGTCACACTCCACTCTCTAGACTGCAGTCACATGGTCCCAGCCCAGCTAGGTGGGGGAGGGTAGTTGAGCTGCTGCTAGGGATGAAGAGTCTCTGCCACACTCAGAAAACCTCCCTAATCGTAACAGTAGCTGACGCTTATTGAGTGCTTTCTGTGTGCCATGCACTCACACATTCACTTGATTGATTCAGTTATTAAAAATGGCATGATGAGCCATGCACAGTGGCTTATGCTTGTAATCCCAGCACTTTGGGAGGCTGAGACGGGCAGATGACGAGGCCAACAGATTGAGACCATCCTGGCCAACATGGTGAAACCCCGCCTCTACTAAAAATACAAAAATTAGCTGGGCATGATGGCACATGTCAGTAATCCCAGCTACTTGGGAAGCTGAGGCAGGAGAATCGGTTGAACCAGGGAGTCAGATGTTGCAGTGAGCCGTGATCGAGCCACTGCACTCCAACCTGGAGACAGAGCAAGACTCCATCTCAAAAAAAAAAAAAAAAGAAAAAGAAAAAAAAGGCATGATGATATGAGATATACATTATATATCAGTGAGGGTCATGGTAGGAACCCAGATGGAACCCTCAAAAGGACAGTTAAAGAGGATCGAATGGTATTTGTACACCCATATTCATCATTTGTACAGCCATCATTAATTACGTAGCCAAAAGGTAGAAGCAACTCAAGTGTCCATCAGTGGATGGATGGATAAACCGAATGTAATATAGACAATGAGATATTATTCAGTCATAGAAAGGAAGAATTCGGACACAGGCAACAACATGGATAGACCTTGAAGACATTATGCTGAGTGAAATAAGCTAGTCACAAAAATACAAATACTATATGATTCCGTTTATGTGAGGTACCTAGAGTAGAAAATTCATAGGAGCAGAAAGTGGAATAATGGTTGCTAGAGGGGAAGGTAGGGAAGGGCAAATGAGGAGCTGCTATTGAATGGGTCCAGAGTCTCAGTTTTTCAGGATGAGAAGGGTTCTAGGGACGGCTGATAGTGATGGCTGCACAACAAGGCGAATGTACTTAACGCCACAGAGCTGTACACTTGAACGCCATTAAGATGTTAAATTTGATGCTATGTACACTTCACCACAATGAAAAATAATTTTAAAAGAGGGTTTCAGGAAGGAAATTTTTACAAATAGATGGGTGATAGGTGCTGATGAGTGATGGTTAAACATGAGGAAGTAGCAACTGTAGGAAGCTGCATCTACCCCTAGGCCTGAGGGGTGCATGGAAGGAGAGTTACTGGGACAAGTCGAGAGCAGTAGCCATGGGAGAAGGGCCGCCCAACAGAAGCTGTGGCTTTTGGGAACTAAGCACTTCCAAACCACAGCCCAGCAGAGAGGATCCAGGAGATAGATACCTGACTTCTGTCCTCTTGCCCTCTGATCTCCTGCTCATGACTCCCATTGGGTGCCCCTCTCTGGAAGTCAGCAGCCAAGGGAAGCTGGTGATGTAGTCCATGAGAATCAGCCTCCCCAGGGCTCAGAGAAGGGTAGAGGGTGAAGAGCAGACTTTGAGGTCCGCTAGAAAGTATGCCTTGCAGCTACCACCATGGGGCAAAAATGAGGTAAAGTCACTCGCCCAAGCTCACACTATTAGTGACCTGGGTTGGCTTTGAACCTGGAATGCTGACCCCAGAGCCTCCAGATGGAAGAAGGAGAAACTAAAATGTTATGAGGGTCTACCTTGTGCCTGGCACTGTGCTTTCTCCTCTCTGATGAGTGAGAAAAGAATCAGAGAACTTAATTAAGGAACGTACCCAAGATCAAGCAGCCAAGAGGTGGCAGATCCAGGATTTTACTCCAAAGCTGCTGTCTCTCCACCAACTGCATGACCTTCAGGCTGAGAGCCCCTCACTGTCAGCGCTGTTATCACCAGCATCAGGAGCAGGCACTGAGCAAGGGCCGCTTTGTGCTGTGTCAGAACAAAGGGAGCTACTGTGCATAGCCCCGGTGCCTCTCCTGCCCCCATTGAGCCTTCAGGCTGGGGCATCTACTTTGTAACAAGCCACACTAAACATGGACACAAAAATACTGTTCGTTCCCCATCAGCAGTCACCAGAATACTAGTCCTGAAAGGGACATTTGAAACCATCTTTCAAACTCCCTCATTTGCTCTGGACCCAAAGGACCCATTCATCCAGTGTGAGTTTAGATCCAGAGTTCCACATGGACTGAGCCCCTGGCTGAAGTCTACTCTAAACTAGACATAGGGAAGACCCAAGATGCAGAGGACACCCCCAGATATCTAGTACAGTATCCTCTCCTTTTCATTTGCATCACCGTCCCCTAGACCCAGAGTCCGAAACTGCAGTACACACTGGTCACATCAACCTTCTGCCTGTTCTAGTGAATAAAGTCTTTTATTTATTTATTATTTATTTTTTGACAGAGTTTTTGCTCTTGTTGTCCAGGCTGAAATGCAATGGTGCAGTCTTGGCCCACTGCCACCTCCACTTCCTGGGTTCAAGCAATTCTCCTGCCTCAGCCTCCCGAGTAGCTGGGATTACAGGCGTTTGCCACCATGCCCTGCTAATTTTTGTATTTTTTGTACAGATGGGGTTTCATCATGTTGGCCAGGCTTGTCTTGAACTCCTGACCTCAGGTGATCTGCCTGCCTCAGCTTCCCAAAGTGCTGGGATTACAGGTGTGAGCCACCACGCCTAGCCATGAGTAAAGTCTTAATGGTGCACAGACACACTCATGCTTACCTATCTTCTATGGCTACTTTCATGTTATAACTGCATGGTTGAGTATGGCCCCAAAGCCAAAAATACTTATCATCTGACACAGCTTATCATTTACAGAAAAAGCTTGCTGACCTGACCTAAGCCAACTGTATGAGTTCCCTAAAGCTGCTGTAACAAAGTAGGTGCAATTTATAGTCTCACAGTTCTGGAGGCTGGAGGTCCATATGGCCAATCACAGTGCCTGTGACCTAGTGAGCCAGGGCAGGGAAGGCTCCCTGAGAAAGGATGCTCAGGATAGAGTGTGAAAGGTAGAGAGGACATGAACAGGTAGAGACGAGGTGAAAAATGGCCTAGGCATGGGGCAGTTTACAGCAAGGCCCTGCGAGGAAGGATGCACGGGCAGTTTGAAAAACTGAAAGTCAGTAAGGCCGTTGCAGAGAGGGCAAAGGCTTGTGGGGTAGTAGTAGGTGGTCAGGGCAGTCAGAACAGACTGTGCGGCACCACAGCCCATGTTACAGAGCTCGGTCTTCACCCACTGGATGTGCACTGGAAGGTTTCCATTAAGAGGGTGACACAATCCCATCTGAACTATGAAATAATTATTCTGGGAAGTGGACAGTTGGCTGTAGAATAAGGGTTTGAGGGTGGGGTGAGCTACGCTGCAAAAATGGGAGACCCGTTAGGAAGCTATTACAATAGTCCAGGTGAGAAATAACGTAGCCCGGTGTTATGCATTGAATTGTGTCCCCTAAAAAGACACTGAAGTCCTAACCTCCAATATCTGTGAATGTTACCTCATTTGGAAATAGGGTCTTTACAGATGATCAAGTTTAGATGAGGTCTTTCGGATGGGCCCTAATCCAATATGACTGTGTCAGAGAAGGGGAAATTTGGGCACAGAGACAGACATGCATAAATGAAAAATGATGTAGGGTACAGAGAGAATGCCTTCTACAAGACAACGAACACCTAAAGTTACCAGCGCTAGGAGAGAGGCCTGCAACAGACCCTCCCTCACAGCCCTCAGAAGGAGCCAACCCTGCCAACACCTTGATTTTGGACCTCCAGCCTCCAGAACTGTGAGACTATAAATTGCACCTACTTTGTTACAGCAGCTTTAGGGAACTCATACAGTTGGCTTAGGTCAGGTCAGCAAGCTTTTTCTGTAAATGATAAGCTGTGTCAGATGATAAGTATTTTTGGCTTTGGGGCCATACTCAACCATGCAGTTATAACATGAAAGTAGCCACAGAAGATAGGTAAGCATGAGTGTGTCTGTGCACCATTAAGACTTTACTCATGGCTAGGCGTGGTGGCTCACACCTGTAATCCCAGCACTTTGGGAGGCTGAGGCAGGCAGATCACCTGAGGTCAGGAGTTCAAGACAAGCCTGGCCAACATGATCTATCTACAAGTGTAATGCTCCAGGGGTGTAGTGATTCTGGGATTACTATGTCTCCTTGTTATTAGACGCTCCATGAGGATGAAAAGAGGATCTTGATATTCCTGCTGTTGTTTGACTTCATATCTCAGCAACTGGCACACGGTAAGCCCTCCAAAACCATGTGACAAAGGTAGGAGAAGGGAGGAAAGAAAACAGAAGGCAGCCAGGGCCCCTTGAAGAGCTCAGAGCCTCATGAGTGAAGTCAATATGGAAACAGAAAGGGACAACATAGCATCAAAAGTATTATAGAGAAAACATAGGGAGCTTTGCAGGAACACACACCAGAGACTCCTAAGATGAGAGCAGAGTGAAATAGGGAGATGGTAGTGCCTAAACTTAGTCTCATGAGAGTCCCTTAGTTTTGTTCTTCCAGAGAGAGGGAAAAGTGTGATTAAAAGCCTAGAGGCTGTATTCATTTTCAATTGCCCTATAATAAGTTGCTACCAGCTTAGAAGCTTAAAACAACACACATTTACTATCTCACATTTCTATGTGTCAGGAGTCTGGGCACAGTGTAGTTGGATCTTCTGCTCAGGGTCTCTCAGGACTGTAAACGAGGTGTTGGTTGGACTGCATTTTCATCTGGAGGCTTGACTGGGGAAGAATCTTCTTCCAAGCTCATTCAGTTGTTGGCAGAATTCATTTCTTTCTGGCTGTATGACTAAGGGTCCCACTTTTTGCTGGCTGTTGGTGAGAAACCATCCTCATGTCCTAGCAGTAGCCTGCTGTTCCTTGCCAAGTGAGCTTCATGCCTTACTTCATCACATTAACAAAGAGAATCTCTCCAGTCCTCTGAGACAGAGTCTCATGCAACCTAATCTAATCACAGGAGTGACATTCTATCCCTGTTGCCATATAACATAATGTAATCCTGGGAGTGACCTCCTACTGCCTTTGCTATATAACTTAGCCTCATCAAAAGAGTGACATCCCATCCCCTTTTCCATATGCTGTCAGTGAGAAGCAAGTCTTAGGTCTTACCCACACTCAAGTGGGGGGCATCACAAAAAGACATGGACACAAGTTGGCAGAAAATCATCAAGAGACCCCCCAAGGGCCTGTCCACCACAGACAGAGGCCTGAAAGAGCATGTGGATGAGGATACTGACAGTCTTTTCTTCACTCAGCCAGGATTCGTAGAGTACCCACTCTGTGCTAGGCAATGTTTTAGTGCTGAGAACACAGTGGAGAACAAGGCAGACAGAGCATCCACCCTCTTGGAGCTTCTCCATTGCAGAGTAGTGAGAGTGTGCAATGAGGGGGAGGTGGCTCTTACGAAGGTGGCCTTTGGACATCTTCCTTCTGAAGTATGGCATGTGGAGGGACTTCCTTCTCAAAGCTACCCCATCCACCAAGAGCATTAAAAGGAGTCCTTCACCAAGCCATGGCTTCAACCATTCCTCAAGACCTCAAGGGTTACAGATACCTCCAGTCATCTCTAGCTGCCAAAGCTGCCATGGTTCACCCTTACAACAATTGAGCCAATCTCTCCTTTGTGCCCTTCATCTGCCTCTACCTTTCCTCCAACCCAGCTTCTTCCCTAGCCTGGAGGAACATCTCTCTGAAAGATTCCTCTGGACTTTGGATCCATGGTAGAATACATGCCTGTGATCCATTGTGCTGGTGGTCTTTGGAGTATGCTGTGCCAGCTCTGTCTATATCTGCCAGAAATCCATTCTCAAATGTGGTGACTCCAGCATCCAAATGTCAGGGCCAGGACTTGAACCCAGGTTGCTTGACCCTGAAGACTCTTCTCTTCCACTGTCTCCCACTGTCTGAAAATAATTGGTCCTTGCCTTCCATCTGGAGAACTTTTGACTTTTTGTTTACTCTGCATGTTCATTGAGTAGCTACTGGGTGCTACTTTTGAGTAGCTACATTAAACCTGTATCAGATGCCTTGGGGCAAAAACAAGCAGGGCTCCTACTTTTGATGAGGAACTATGGTCTGGTCTGCTGGGGGAAAGAGGTATGGATTGAAGCATTACATGTCTAAGGGGAAGTAACAGTCAAAATGAGTGTGAAGAATGAGCAGAACATCCTGCTTGGTGATAGGAGAGCCTGGGAGGCATCTCAGCCCGATCATCGAGGTCAAGAAGGCTTCTCTGAAGGAGTTCTCAAGCTGCAATTAAAAGGAAGAAGAAAGTTAGCCAAGCCTAGGGCATGAGGGGAGGCAGTTAGAACAGTAGTCTAGGCAGAGGACACAGCACAGGCCAAGGCCTTTATGTGGGAGAGACATTGGAAGAACTGAAAGAAGGCAAATTGGGCTGGAGCAAGAGAGCCAGGTGGCTGTTCTTACTGAAGCTGAAGTCGGGCAGCCAGACCCAAACAAGGAGAATTGAAAGGCTCCAAGCCTTCTGCACATTCCCAGGCTCCCTGTGATCCCAGCATGGCCGGGGCCTCCCATTTGTCATTCTAAAAAGCCCCGCCATGCCTCCTCCCTGGGGCTGTCACCCCTTGGGAGAGGTTATCACCACGCAGAAATCTAACCAATTGGCTCACCATGTTCAAAGCACAAAGCTTAGAATAATAATTTTTTTCAAGCCTTCAGGAATGTCAAACCCACATCTACTTGCAATGAAAGACCAGTGATATACAGCTCTTAGCTCCAGGGAGCTATGCAGACCACAGCTCTTACGAAATTAAATAAAGCTGAGAAATGCATCAGGGTCTATAAAATCAAGAGGGACGCTTGATTTTCCACCCTGTCCACCTCCCCAACACCTTCACACTTGGGAATACAAGCTTGAGCTAGGAGAAGTGTGAGCCACAGGGATCTATGAAAAAGAGAGAGGGAGACAGACAGCCTCACTCATCTTTTCTGCTAGCAGCCAGGAGCAGGGTCCAGCCATATGGGCAGCCATGAGGAGGCAAGGACTGTGGAGCCTGCTCAGTGTTAATTAGAAGCAAAGGAAGGCCTGGCTGAAGTGGCTGCAAGGACGCCCAGCAGCGACCATTTCCTGCACAGGGCAGGCGGCCTTGGATTAGGGGCTGCCAGGTGCTGCCTCCTCTGACACGTTTGGCAGCATCTCACCTGCTCCTGCAGCTTGTCCCTAGATGCAGGTGACCTTGGAATGCTAAGCAAAGCTGCATTTGGCTAAAGATTCTACAGGGTACTACTGTCTCCCCAGCTCTCTCTCTTTTGCAGGTTTGTCTGCAAAAACTGAAGGACTTTTGCTTTTTTGAAGTTCAACATAAGGATGGGTGATATTTGGCCCACTGCTTTGACACAGGGTCATTTTGATGTGACCTAGAAATGAAGTTAGTAAATTATCAGTATCTGTTGTGATGCCTAGCAAGATGGGATGCCTTTGCATGCTACAGGGAGACAGGGAGGGGATGCAGTATGTACAGTAGCATCAGGGATGGGGAAGCTCAGAACTGAGACAAAGATTGAGGAGGATGTCGGAGATGGTGAAGCATCAGGGATGATGAGGGTTAGACTCAATACTGGTGATTTTTTTAAAGAGTGTTTTGCATGTTGATACAATTTTGGCACTGGAATGATTATAGCAAGATGGCCACATCAAAATGACTCACTTTGCATTGGAGATACTAAGGAAGGGTTCACTTGACAGAAATGTCCATTGAGTTCCCTCATCTCTCCTCCCCTTTCATGCCTTTGGTACAGACCCTCATCACAAGCCACTCATACTATTTAACAGTCCCAGCACTAGTCGCTCTGTGGTCTCCCCTCCAAACTGCAGCCAGAGGGATTTTTCTCAAACACACCTGTTTGAAAGAGGACCCTTGGCTTCTGCATTCTGATCTCTGAATCCTGTTTTTGTTTTTCTTCAACTTTGAAGTTCCCGGGTTCAGGTGCAGGATGTGCAGGTTTGTTACACAGGTAAACATGTGCCATGGTGGTTTTCTGCACACATCAACCCATCACCTAGGTATTAAGCCAGGCATTCATTAGCTATTCTTCCTGATGCTCTCATTCCCCCTGCCCCCCCAACAGGCTCCAGCATGTGTTGTTTCCCCCCATGTGTCTATGTGCAGAAATACCATTTGACCCAGCCATCCCATTACTGGTTATATACCCAAAGAAATATAAATCATTCTATTATAAAGATACATGCACATGTATGTTCACTGCAGCACTATTCACAATAGCAAAGACATGGAATCAACCTAAGTGCCCATCAATGGTAGACTGGATACAGAAATTGTGGCACATATACACCGTGGAATACTATGCAGCCATAAAAAATGAATAAGATGATGTCCTTTGCAGGAACATGGATGGAACAGGAAGCCATATCCTCAGCAAACTAATGCAGGAACAGAAAACCAAACACTGCATGTTCTCACTTACAAGTGAGAGCTGAACAATGAGAACAGATGAATCTTGATCTTTCTACTTGCTCCTGCTCTGGAACATGTTGGTTTATCCAGGGATGGCCTCGGGATATTGTCTGGTGGGTGTGTCTAATCTGCACAGGCCTGATGCCCTTGAAGCTGCCTGCTACCCCAAAGACAACTCCAACCTTGGTAACGCTTGGCGTGACTTTGGACGAGTGTGTTCTCACCACAGTCATCATGGCGTGTCTGCATTTCTTTGCCTGAAAACTGCTTTTTCCATGAGGATAAAGATGGGGCGAGAAGTCGTACCTTGGGTATTTCGTTGGTTTAAAAGGAAAAAGAAAAGCCTCCTCGATCTGTGCAAGCATGTACATATATGTGCATTAGAATCATTAATAGTTCTTTGGAGAGAGGTTAAATTTATGTGCGGTTTAACCAAATGATGTGTCTCCAGGGGAAGGAGAGGGAAGCCGTCCCCCACCCACATTAAACAGTATTTGTGACGCATGGAAAAAATAAAAGAAACCCTGAACCCACGAGCCATGAGAAAACAAAGGGGAAATCGAAATTGTGGATCTGCCAGAAACCTGCCGTTCACAGAGCCCACAAATCACAGGCAAACAAAGGGAAATGGAAAGATTTGGTATTAAAAACCCATTCTTCCCTGAACCTGTGCCAGCATCTATAAAACAATTACATGTGATCGTACTTGAGGCTTTTCTGAGACACTAATTCTTTTCTTGACATGAAAATGGCGCGCATGTTTCTTTCAAAATGCCATACCCTGGAAAGAAGGGGAAACAATTGGAAGGGCAGACCCAGAATGTGGGGCAGGTTAGCCCAGCTCCTAAAAACTGATAAATCTCTGTGGTTTTCTTTCTTTTCTCCCCCTGAGAGTTTTCTTTTGAGCTGCTGATTCTTGAATGGGGTATGACAACCTTGTCTGGTTCCCAGATGGTTCCTTGGTTGCCAGGAGACCAGACATGGGGGTGAGTGGATCCACGAAGCGCCCCTCTCCAAAATACGAGAAAAAATCACCAAAGCTCATGACCAGGAGAAGATGATAAGGCTGGAGGCTTGGCCCAAGGTGGAATGAACGCCTGTGCTCAGTTTCCAAGGAGAAAGCTGACCTGCCAATCCATTTGTTGACCCAAAGTTCATCAATGCATTCAATGGTTCTTTGACTTAAGATTAAATAGGACCCCTGTGTGAAATTGGCTGTTAGTTTTTAAAGCCTTTTCATTTTGACAGGTGAAAACCTCATCAGAATTACCCTATGCAAAGATGTCAGGAAAAATATACAAGAGGAAATTGGAAAATGTGATTGAGCTGAGCGTACGCTTCCTCTGCCCTGGAGTTCTGCGTGGGCTTATTTATTTCTTGCCCCTTTGCTCTTCAGGCATTTTCCATCACTGAGGCCTAGATGTAAACATGCACAAAAGGCAGGTGATTCCACGGATGCTGGCTGCTTCCCGGCGCGGCTTCATGGGTGCACCTCTTGGCAAGGGACCCACCTTCAGATCAAATATGGGGGTATTTCCAAATTGAGCTTTGAGGGGTGGAGCCCAGAGAAGGAGAGGTAAGAAGAAAAATAGGAGAATTAAGTGAGAAGCATGTTGTGGGCCAATTAATCAGGGCTAATGCATCAGGCCCAGTATTGTTTTTGGAACTGGATTCGGGAGTAACAGGATCCCTGACAAGTTGTAGCCAGCCCTGGGAACGAGTGTCTCTGGAGTTCACAGACGGGTCTGGAGGAAACTCCAGCACAGAGCAGCAAGTGGCAGGGCCACTCGGCCCTGCATCCTGCCCCTGCCACCCATCAAGGGCTCGTTCTTTCCCTGGCCTTGCTGCCCTTCCCACTGGTGAGAGACGAGGTCGGGAGCTGAAGCTTCTGAGCAGGGTGGCGAGCCCCAGCCTGAGCAGGCCTGCCCTGGCCCGAGGAGTGAGCACACATGGGGATGGGTGGGAGGGGGATGCCAGGCCATGTTTTCAGAAAGTTCCTGTGTTGCAGGCTGCAAGCAGTTCCACCCTGGACCTAGGAACGTGGCAGACCCACCCACCTCCCGGTAACAGCATGCCCACCCTGGGGAAGGGGACTTTGAGACAGGGAACTTAATCCCTGCATTTTGCAAAGAGAAATAAAATATACCCAGAAGGAGAAAAGCCTCAGCCCAAGGGATAACTGGGGGACCTGACAGCCACTTGCTTTCAAAACTCACCAGGCAGAGTTGACTTTTCATTGCAACCAGGAGCACAGCATATCCTCGTCTTAGTTTTTCTCAGACTCTGAGGATCACCTGGGCCAGGGCTTTTCAAACCCTTTCTCAGAGGCTGTAACTCCAGAGGCTATAACATTGCCTGGAAGAAGGAGCCTGAACCTCCACTTCAAATAAAACAGGCTTGACTTGTCTATTTTACACAATGTGATGGGTAAATAAAAATCCCACTGCTTGGATCCAAAAGCAGTTTTCACTATTTCCGAGCTATTTTGTGTTGAATATATTATCTAGCCATTCTTTTTGTGTGCTCTGGTTTCCACCTCTGTAAAATGGGAAGAATAATTAAGAGTGCCTATCTCATAGGATTCCTGTGGAGTTTAAATGGGTTAATGCATGTACAATACCATGAGTAGGGCGTGGATGAAGTAATCACTCAAAAAATGTCACCATGACTATTTATTAGTATTATAACTTTTATTATCATAGTCAAGTTTTAGCGAAGATTCAGTTTGAGGAAAAAATGGGGTTTCTGAAGGTTAAAACAAGTTTAAAATCCAATGATTTAGAAGAGAGGTGACTTGTGATTTGTATGTCAGCTCAACTCAGCTACAGGGTGCTCAGGTATTTCGTCAGATATCATTCGAGTGCTTCTGTGAGGATGTTTCGGGATGAGATTAACATTTAAACCTGTAGACTGAGTAAAACATCTTGCTCTCCCTAATGTAGGAGATTTGGATATTCCAGCCTTGAAAATCATGTGAGCCAATTCCTAATGATAAATCTCCCCCTTTCTCTCTTTTTCTAGCTACACACACAAACACACACACACTTGTCCTCTGTATCCATGGGTTCCATATCCATGGTTTCAACCAACTGCAGATCAAAAGTATTTGGGAAAAATAATACGATAATAAAAATAATACAAATTTTAAAATACATCTAATAAATATTTACATAGCCTTTACATTGCATTAGGTATTATAAGTAATCTAGAGATGATTTAATATATGTGAGAGGATGTGCAGTGGTTATATGCAAATACTATACCATTTTATATGAAGGGCTTCATGGATTTTGGTGTCCTAGGGATAGGTTCTGAAACCAATCCCCCACAGGTACTGAGGGACAACTGTATATATATTCATGAATATGGATATATATAATCCAAAAATGTCTATGTTCTTTGAAAAATCAGGAGATTTGGCTGCAGTGGCCTCAAATTGGCTGGGAGTGATTTCAACTCTCCCCTTCAGGCAGGGGATGTCCCCAGTTCTCATCCCCACCCCAACACACATGTTTCCTTTTAGCCAGCTCCACACAGGCAATGGCATAACTTTCTGGGGACTGCTGGGCAAATTGCCTGCCCTCCAGAATACAGGATTCATTCACGGAGTGAATATTCATTGGTTAGGTGTCAGGGTCAAGGTGAATAGGACAGGGGTCACTTCACTCAAGGAACTCACATTCTGTTGGAAAAGACAAATAAGTCTAGAACTGTGGCGCTGAATGGTCAGTGCTGGGAAAGGCCAGGATCTCTGAGGTTATCCAGTCTGGAGTAGAGGGGATGTTTAAAAAGCCCACTGAAAAGTAGAGAATCCTTGAGCTGAGTCTTGAAGGTTGTACAGAAAGTTAGACCGGTGGAGAAAAAGATAAAAGACACTCTAAGCAGAGCAGAATAACATGTGCAAAGGCCCTGTGGTGAGGGTAGCCAGAGCATATTGCAAATAGTACCCAGGCATATTGTGGCACTCAGATAATGAGACCAGAGAGGGGTAGCGAGTGGCAGGATCATTAAGGATCATTTTTCTTGAAACTGATTCAAGATTATTGAGAGATTCTTTTAGCAATGAAATGCTCAGTATATTTCCATTTGTGGAAGTTCTTTCCAGCTTTGTTGTGGAGAATGAATTGAGGAGGCAAGGTGTAGGCAAGGAGACCAAGGAGTCCTGGAGGCAGATGGCTGAGCATTCATGGATCTCATGGAGTTGAAGATCTCCATTCTAGTAGTTAAAGCTTAGATTCCTATCACACTGTTAGTGGGATAAGAATTTAATCTCTTAACACACTTCAATGTGAATGAGACTGGGGACCTCTCCCAAGAGCAAGTTTCCATGGTGGGAGGTCTAGAGGGCACTAAGGCATTGAAAACAAACTTCAGCTTTACCCACGTCCTGTCCTGTGAAGAGGAACCATTCAAGGGACCAGTAATGACCTTGGGTGGGATGTTTGTGGGCTGTTCTTCTGGACTAAATATTGTGCAGCAAAAACCAAAGTGTTATTGCCTCCAGATGCCCACATTCATGGCTTTCTTCTTAGAAGATGACAGTCAAGTTTCTTTTACTCCCTAAGACCATCAAAGTGGAAACACTAACTTCAGCCTCCCATGGCACTCAGGACAAAATGAAATATGCTCAGTATTAAGTCACTATTCCTTTGTCAAAGCAACTAGAACTCAAAACCAGCTAGGCAGGATGAGCCCAAGGAGGACTCCAATGGTCAACTTTCACGCTGACTCCCATGCTGGGCTACTTATTTAAAAAACACAGAAGGACACTTTGAGAGGCAGCAACTAGCATTCTCTTGCCAGCAGGGTTTGTTGACACATGGGATTTTCCTGCATCAGCTTGTCATCTGCCAGTGACCGCAGAGAACCCTAATGAGTCAGCCTCTTAAACCCTGAGGTATCCCTGGTTCCTTTGGTGAAGATGGAGAGGATGGAGGTGCCTGGAATTGGTCACAGGATCACTGGAGGATGGAATGACCCAGTGTCTGCTTGGCCTTCCCACCACCACGGACTTAGTATGGAGGCTCTGGGGCAGATGGTTACAGTAAGGTTACAGATCATGCTTTTAGTGCGTTTGTGTCCCTCTTGTCCCAACCCCCAGGATCTGAAGGAATGACTTAGCATTATTTTCATTGGTTGAAGCACCAATCTCTCCTGAGCCTAAGTGACAGCATGGACCCATATTCCTGACGCCTTTATTCTGGGAAACTCTTTACCTGCTTTCATTTACAAAGCATTTTCTTCCACTCTTGCCTTTGTGCTACGACAATCCTGGGAAGTGGGTATCATTTTCCCCATTTGACTAATAGGTAAACGAAGCCTCATCTAGTTTGAAGGACTTGACCCCAGTTCACAAATCTTTCATGTGACTTTGCCAGGACTGATCCCAACTGTTAAGTCCAGGGCTTTTTGCTGTCCTCTCCTTCCCGTCTGACTCATGCTGTTTACCACTGTTTTCTTGGGCCCAAGGGGATTCCATGTTCACCATTCTTCCTAGGCTCTTCTAGCTTTGGACTGGATCCCTCATTCTGCTGGCTCTGCTGCAGGCTTGAACCTACCTGTTTGTATAGACCACACACTCTACTCTGTTTTTTCACTTACCCCCAGCATTAGCAGTGCCAGAGAGAGGCTTGGCAGGGTGATGAGATAAGTGTACGTGAAGCAGAACAAGGCGTTCCAAGCTAAAGGCCAGTCATCTCTCTGACATCTGCTCCCCAGGAAAGAAGCTGCTTTCTGGCTCATGGTCAGTCTGCTTTCGTTCAGATAAGCCCAGCAAGTGGGCCTGGACCTGCCTCTTCCAGCTGGCAGATGCCCTCCTTGCCTTCGGGGCACACCTTAGATGTTATCTTTTCCTTGCAACATTGCCTGCCTTCTTGACCTAATGCAGGGTTAGATGCCCGTCTGGTAGCACTTGTCACACTGTGTTACCATCCTCCCCTTACCTGACCACCTCGCCAGCTACACCATGAGCATACATTGAGGTCATGACCGGCATTCTGTGTCAGGATATGGCATGGTTGGGACTAAGATGAGCTGGGAAGGCAGACTGCCTGGATTTCAACCCCAGCCCCTAATAGCTGTGTGACTACTTACAGGCTGAATTGTCATATCTGTAAGATAGGGCTAATAATCATTTCTAATCAAAAGGTTATGAGAATAAAATGGCATAAAGTCTAGAAAACAGTCAGCACTGTGAAGAGCACACAGTAGTTGCTAAACATGTGTTAGTGATTCTTTTTGCATCCCCAGTGTCTAGCACATGGAAGGGAAGGAACAGGAGCTAGGAGGAAGGAAGTGTTCATTGAATTAAGGAATGATGAACAATTGAATGGATGATGAACAAGTCACACAAGCATGAGGATAAGAACAGCCCCCAGAGATACCCTGAGACCATCCTGCCAGGTTTGTATGTCAAGGCCACTGTCTTGGGGGCTTCTGTGCCTGCAAATCGCCTATTTCATGCCAACACAAACCGTAACCTGAGAGGCATATTCCTTGCTGAGCAGAGAATTTCCTCAGGTTGTTTTATCCCTCCAGAAACAAGGAAGGGGCTAGGTCAGAAGAAGATGAGATGACAGAACACTGGGGAGAGGGGCTGGGGTAGGGAAGATGCTTGCTTTAAATCCTCAAGGGAATTTCTGGAAGGTCAAGCAGAGGCGGTAGATGTAGCCACCAGGCAACTGGGAGTAGCCTATGAGCTTTTGTGCTGCTGGAAGGGTGCAGGCATCTGAGATCTGACCTGGGATCTCAGTGTTTTGGCCTTTTTCTGCCGGCCCAGGTGTGTGACCCTCCTACCCGCTGGAATGTGGCTGTGCTGGAGATGTAATCAGTAGAATTCCTCCGGCTTCTCAAGGAATGCTCCTTTGGGAGAGAAAAGTACAAAGAGGTTGGAAAAATGTGAATCCTGCTTCTTGCAACTGAACAATTGTCCCATTGTAATGACTGTGTCCGGTAAAGGAGACGTATGATCAAATGACGTCTTCATCAGAAACCATCTACACTTAACCCTCCTGTCATTTGACACATTTGTAGGTGGGCACATCAATGTCATCCACTTCGTCCACTTTTGCTCTTGTGTGTGTTTGCTGAGCTATTTCATGTCTACTAAACTGTACGGGACATCTGTCTGTCTGGAATTGTCAGAGCTGTGAACACTAGCGTCATGCAATGTGTGGAATAGGTGGAGATCCCACTGATAAAATGGAGTCCTCTGTGCATCCCAGCATTTGTTCAGATTCTAGCTTAAGGCTATAAAAATCATCTCTCCTTAGGCTGTGGGCTTGGGAGCCAAAACCTTCTGCATCTACTAATAGCGGATTCACATCTAGGCCAAAAATGTGCTTATGATTGTGCATAGTTATCGGTTGCATGTATACTGTGTGTATACACACACGTGTGTGATTTGGGTGTGGGGTGTCCTCGTTAAAAGGGATGACGTTCTTTTTATAGAAAGACACTTGGTCATTTGGCTCCATAGAAAGGGAAGTTCTTCCTGGAGTAATTCGTGACTGAATAATTAACTCTAAGGCATGAAACCCCATGTGTGAGAAGAAGCCTGCTTTCCAAAAAAAATCAAGCCGGGGCCCAGGGATACCCATTGGGAAGGCCCAGGCAGCTTGCCTGGGGTCAGAGTTTCTCTTTGCTCTGGGCATCCTTTCTGACAGGTTTTCCCCAAATGGGGAAAAAGCACTTGTCAAGTATATTTTAAAAATTTTTTAAAAGAACATTTTGAATAGCCCCTGCTTCAGGCTCCCTGGGGGTTCCCTACTTATATTTTTAAAAGCTCAGGCCTTGGCAGGTCTCAGCTTTTCAGTTGGCATGAAACGGACTGGAAAATGCACTTGATCCTCCAACTTGTGCCTGGGGAGCAGGGTTTGGACCTAACAAAGGGCAGATGAGAAGCAGCATCTGGGACCTTTTGCAGGGTGGTGGGGGGCTACAGAGCAAGCTCCAAGGCACCAGTGCCAACCTGACAGCCCTCCTGCTACTGCTGCTGCGCCTGACTGCCTCCTCCAACAGCCCCCTCTGGCCAGAAATGTCTGTGGCTGCTAAGCTGACATCATCGTGTAACTACTCTTCGTAGAATAAACATCTCCCTGGTAGTCTGCCTTTGATAGTTTTAACAGTTCTCCAAACTGTCCCAAAAAGGTGAAAGCATATTGGATAAATACAATTTTGAAAATGCGTCTACATGTCACAGTGGGATTCTTTTTTCTCTCCTTTCTCCCTCCTTCCCTTTCTTCCTTCTTCCCTTTTCTCTTCCACCTTCTACCTTTCTTCCTCCTTTTTTCCTTCCTTCCTCTCCCATTTCCTCTCCCCTTTTCCTCCTCCCCATTTATCTATCCATCTTCCTTTCATTCTTTTGTGGGTAAAACACAAGCAAACTGTAATACCACATCTCACACTTAATGGACTAAGTGGGGAAGAAAAGTGAGGATTTCTAGGCAGAGAGAGGAGTTTTAAGTTACAACTTCTTGGCCCTATAGGCAGGGAACAGTGCACATTTCAGGTAGAGACAGCAAATGGTAATGTTTCAACACTAAATAGGTTCCCAGCCTCATGGGTCCTAACAAGGAATCTTAACCCGAGGTTCATGGGTGGCACTCAGGAGCTCTGTTACCTGAAATTGCAGACAAACTATCTATGCATATTCCTGGGGAAATGGTCCACCAGAACCATCTAAAAACCATTGTTGTTACAACCCCCAGGAACTTAAATGTTGGACTAGCTGTCTTTTGACCTGTCTGCACTCTACCTCTTCTCCCTTTAACAGTAGGACGACATTGTAATATAGTGGTTAAAAATGCAGGCTTGGAGTCACGCTACCTGGGAAGGAATCTCAGCTCCACTCATTACCAGCTGTGTGACCTTAAATATTTAATATCACTGAGTTTCAATTGACTCAGTGGGAGTATGGATTCTACTACTACATAGGAATGTTGAATGGACTAAATGAGATCATGCCCATAGCGATGGGCTACATCTCACTGGCTCAATATATATCAGTAGCCATTGGTGGTGTGGTGTCATGCCCTAGATCCATCCCTAATCCATAAAACATAGATGTACTTGTTGGAAGGTATACTCTAAGCCAAAGGACAGCAAACTGTGACTTTGGGCCAAATTCTGTCCAATGGCTATTTTGTAAATAAAGTTTTATTAAATTACAGCCACACTCACTTATTTACATATCTATGGCTGCTTTTCAGGCACAAGGGCAGAGTCCAGTAGTTGTGAAAAGAACCTTAAGACTTGCAGAGCCTAAAACATTTCTATCTGGCCCTTTGCAGAAAAACATTTGCTAACCCCTGCTCTAAACAATTAGAAAACAATAAATCATATATAATCTACCTTGGAGACACACACAGGTACACAAGGAGTCATAGACAAGGATGTTTATAACATCATTATTTTACTCTCAAATAGCTGGAAACAATCTAAATGTCAATCACAAGAAGAATGCTATACTTACACTGTGGCAGTGAAGAAGAATGCATTCTATCTACATTGAGTAATGTGGAAAAATTTCCAGTAGGGATTGTTGAGTGAAAAAGGCAAAGATGTTACCATTTGTGTAAAATGTGCAAAACATATTGTATATTTTCTCACAGTGCATATGTAATTATGCAAATGCATAGAAGGGACGCTGGAAAAATATGCAATGGACAGATAATACTTGTCTTGCCTTGAGGGAGGAATGGAGCTTAGAGGTTTTTGTCAATAGAGACTTGAGCCCTATCTGCAGTACTTTTACAGAATGCATTATGATCAGGAGAATGCATTCATGTACTTATGTAATTAAAATTGTTTTAAAAAGTATTGTTTGTAAAATGTAAGATACTTGGGCAGAAGGTTGAAGAATGGGTGTAATTCTGCTAGACTTCTGTGGTGGGGCAGGAACGAGATGTCAAGGAACCACAAGTGCCAATCAATGGTGGGCTGGAAAGGCAGTGAGGCCGCTTGACAGTGAGGACACAGATTGGTATGGCCCATTGAAGGCAGGAGAAGGTGATGCATGGGAGGGAAGTCATTTTTCACAATAGAGGGCCCCCTAGGGACTTAAAATGTTACACCTAATGCCACAGCGAGCCACTCCAGAGAGAGATGGCAGGTGGGAAGTCCATGGATACTTACACAAAAGCTGGACAGAGCCCCAGCCTCGGTCTGGCCTGCCTGAGTCAGGGGAGGAGGCTTTACTCTTCTCAATACCCTCATACCTTAGTTTTAATTTCTTCAGAGTATGTCCTAGGGACCAGAGAACTTGTTATGCTTCTCAGGGCTTCCTAAAACTGACTGGGCAATTGGATTTGGATTTTTTCATTAGGGGTGAAAATGCCTGCTTCTAAAATGGCTGCCATAACATGTAAAAGTGCCAGTCAGATGTGGTTTTCGGTGCAAGATGACTCTGCATTCATATTTTTAACATTAGGCAATCAGTTCAGATGGAAGAGAATTTACATGTGCTTCCCGGGATGATCAGTAGTTATACAATGAATAAGAAGAAACTAAATGGCTAGATCAGGGGATTTTGATTGAGACAAGGGTTTGCCTTGGTAGGAATACTTGGCAGAAACGGGAAATAGGGCAGGGAGATAAAGTTTCAAAACTACCGAGATTATTTTCAAACTTCATGTCTTTGACTAGCTGTTAGGAAAGCAGTCATTTCGTGTCCTCCTCCTGGTCCCTGTGGTTTAAGGTGGTGACCGTGAGTCATGAGCCATCCTGGGTCCTCCCCAGGCAGGGGTGGGCCGGCAAGCTGTCTCTATGAAGTGCCAGATAGTAAATATTACAGGTTTTGCAGGACATGTGGTCTCTGTCACAGCCACTCAGCTCTTCTGTTGTGATGCAAATGCAACTGTGGACAGTAAATAAATGAATGGAAATGGTTGTGTTCTAATAAAGCTTTATTTACAAAGCAGTGGCAGGTTAGGGCCACAGTTAGCAAACTTCTATCCTAAAGCAATGATTCTTCACACCTTGGTGTGTCAGCACTCTATTCTGCCCACAGGGGATCTGTAGTACATTTGGAGGGGGCATAGT